>NC_000002.12:14611339-14918095 GCF_000001405.40 Homo sapiens
CACTCACCCATTTTTTTTTATCATACTGAATCTGCTTGAAAAGTATCTTTCCAGGTTGATAACTCCTTTCCTTAAGTTAGTTATTCCATAGACAAAATACTTTTAAAAACGATCTGTACCTTCATTATCACCAAAGATCAAAGCTAAACTGTGGCAGGCATAGAACATGGGTCTGGAGAAGAAAATACAAGTGTGTGTTGAGGAAGATTAGAAGAAGCAAGAAGGACAAAACACAACTCAGAAACCAATGACCTAAAGGCCTATTTAAACCTCATCATATGCCCCAGTAATTTAATACAAACTTGTATTGCCTTATAGTTAGTTAACTCATCATAGGTCTGTGCCTTATTTCTCAAGCTCCAAATAAATTGTGAACTTCTCAAAGGCAAAATATTAAGCATCTCATAGCACCTAGTCTTGCTGTGAAAGGTCACAGAATAAGGAAGGAATAAAGAAAGGAAACAATTGAAGGAAGGGAGAAGGAGCAAGAATAAAAAGCAGTGACTCAATATTCCTTTATCCAAGAGAACTGGCCAAGGTCTCTTTTCGGATGTAGTATGTCTGCTTATGAATGGCCTTCCAGGGCCCAGTCTTAAGCTCTTCTCTGATGCCTGCTTAGAAATCAACTAAGAGACATTTATTTAATGAAGTGCCAATAGGTTCCAATTCTGTGCTAGCTGCAGGGCTTTTGAGCAGAGGGAAAAACTAGGTTCCCATCCCTGTGGAAGGGCAGGAAGGCTCCTGGGATGATCGCTATTCACCAAGAAAAGGAATAGAAGTACTGATTTGATATAAAATAAATAACAGTTAGTCATACACATTTGTTGTTTTTCTTTCTCCTTATGTAGGTGCTACATTGCTCCCTGAACTAATTGCCTAATTACAGATGGTGAAAGCATTTAAAGGATTAAAGTGAGATCCCTCACATGTAATGTGGAGGTAGAGATGTTTATTCATTGCTCCACTGAAAAATACTACATCTTTTACAGCCACTGAAACATTCATTAATCTGCCCCCTCTACCCATGTGTTTAACCAGTATTAATCTCTCTAAGGTATCACTAAATACCACTGGCCATTTATACTAAGCCCTTTAATTAATCACATTAGCCATCCTGTGTTGACCCTCTTCTCTCCTGCATGCCATTCATGCAATTTCCTAGGGAAAGAAGTAAAACACACATTTTTATCAATGGCCACAAGGCACGTGTAACCAATTATTCCTTTAAAATTGGAGTCACCAACCTTTCTGACAAGAAAGGTTAAAATGTTGCTATTTTTATTTTGACATATAAATGTGGCTGACATTTTTATTCTGCTCTATATTTTGTAGAGGAGGACAATAAGAGACATACACAAGGAAGAACCTACTGCTCAAAAACAAAATCAGAGTTCCGTGTAAATCAACATGCCTCTCTTCTTCAATGCCAGGACACTTGGGGGATGCATTAGTCATGATAAATCAGGTTATACTGCAGTAATAAACAACCCCCAAATTCCTAGTGGCATAACATAAAAGTTTATATCTCATTCATGCAAATTTCACTGCAAGTCTCAGTGATGCTCCTATGGTTTCTGAGCAATGCACTCTGCTTCAATTGTGTGGCCTCTTCCCTAACAGGAAGCCTCTTCCCTAACAGGGAGGATAATTTTCAGGCTGCAATACTCCAAGTGGGCTTTTTACCATCTCAGCCTGGGGTGACAGATGTCACTTCCAAGACTAATCATATAGTCCTGTTCAACTATGAAGAGACTAAGACATTCAGTCTTTTTTGTGTCCTGAAAGAAGAGAAGGGGAAGCAGATAATGATAAATACTGGTAATGTTTATCTGAGAAAACTAAGTTCACTTGTCTGTACTGAAACTACCTGTTGGTTATAATAATGAAACGTTATCTAATACAATGAATGCTAGATTACAAAGAACGTTCCATTTCCTTATCTCATTGGTTTTAATTGTATTATGTTTATATCATTATATTTTATTATGTAACTCAAAGACTAAACCTTGAGTGAATAGGAATTTAGTTGAGCGAGAAGTGCCCAAACTGTCTACCACTATGTATTTCTATCAGGTGAGGTTTTTTTGTTTGGTTGGTTGGTTTTTTTGAGATGAGGTCTCACTCTGTCACTCAGGCTGGGGTGCAGTGGCATGATCTTGGCTCACTGCAACCCCTGCCTCCTGGGCTCAAGGGATCCTCCCACCTCAACCTCCTGAGTAGCAGGGATCATGGGTGCACCCTAACTAATTTGTTGGTAAAGATGGGGTTTCACCATATTGCCCAGGCTGGTTTCAAGCTCCCGAGCTCAAGCGATCCACCTGCTTCAGCCCTGCAATGTTCTGGGATTACAGGAATGAACCACAACACCTGGCCTGTATTACTGAGTTCTTAAAAGCCTTCTTATGCTGGGCACCATGATTCAAGATGACAAGGACTTTCTAAGGTGGGGTGTATAATTTTTCATGTGGGGGGGGGGTCCATACTTTTCAGCAGATTCTCAAAAAGTTTTCATTTTGCTGGTCTATTGACTCCTCTGCAAAATGTCTCTTACTGATCTGATCCTCCAGAACATCTGTTAAGTGCATAGCATAGGCAAGTGGACAAAATAGGTCACTGAGAAAGGAATTTAAGAAAAGAAGTTGAGAGAGAAGAGATGTTCAGCAATTGGAGCGATGGAGTCTGGGACAACAGGTCCAGCAAGAGGAGGTGAATGTCTTGGAGAGTGGCAGGAAGGGAACCAGGAAACAGAGTACAGAAACAAAGGAGAGCAGCAATATTTAGAAGACAACCATTTGTGCATTTGCATTTTGCAGAGTCTCAGGAGAGTCCCTTATCCATTCCTAGGTGCTGATGCTCTGCCTCCAGAGTTTGCTTTCCACCAAGCCTCTGGTGAGAGGTTTGGTATGCATCCAGACACTTAGACCACATTTTCTAGAACTAGGGATTAGCATATACAAAGAAATGTTTTAAAAATGAGTGCTATGATTCATTTAGCATTCACATATTAAGTTTGAATAAATTATCCCTTATAGTATCCTTGTGTCTAAAAGCTAGATCTGCTCTTTACTGGTGGGATGGTAAAAGGGTGAGACTCTTGTGTAGAAAAATCCAGCAATGTCCATGGAAAACTAAATGAAACATTTAAAGAAAAAATTGTATAGAAATGAAATGTTATCTCACAAAAGATAGAAACCCGCAACCAATTACTACTGCTACCGCATAGTTCAATCTCTGAGGGAGGCTAAAGTCATTTTATTTTTTAAATTTAAAATCAAGGAAATTGGTTTATTCTGAAATCCCAAGAGGTTTTTCATAAAGTGACAATGTTCAAACACAGTTTAAAGGACATCTGGTGTACCTGAGCAAGTAAGCACACCTTTCCCACATAAGATAAACCTGCCCTCCCAGCTCAGCCTAAGTCACTAGCCCTTCCTTCTGCATTCCTGGGGGGAAAGAAACACTTTAGCTGAACTGCAAAATCTGTGGATTTAAAATAGTCTTCTGACTCTCTGCTTTGTCAATTAACATCACACCTGTTTGTCAGAAGCCACCTTAGAACCTCAGGGCCCCACAGACTTGACAGGACCCTCTGATGGCAACTAAAATTTCTGAGGATGTGCCATATGCCTGTAAAACAGCACCTTCGAAAATTACAGCTTGGCTTTTCTGACACATTCGAGTACCAATCTGCTTACATGTTTGTTACCCAGACAGACTTCTCAAAAAGGGGGAAAGGAACTTTGTCTTTTCATCTTTGACTTTATACCTAATGATATTAATCATATAGCAGGGACTTAATAACCTATTAAAAAGAAAGATGGAAGGAAGTAAGGAAGGAGGGAGGGAGGGAGGGAAGGAAGGAAGGAAGGAAGGAAAAAAGAAAGAGTCTCAGGAATAAATTTTCTACACTGACAGTAACAGTCAGGGACAGATGTTGGAACCCTGCCTGACCACATAGCTGCCTCTGAAGGCATCTCCTTCTGCATCTGAATTCCTTTGTCCCCCAGGGCCTGATTCTGAATTTGGAGGTATCCTTCTTGACTTGCTTTGTTACCTGGCTGCAACTGTCTCAATAAAAACATCTACTAAATGCTTGTGTTTTGCCAGGTGCATTACATGCTTCACATGCACTATCTCATATTTTAATATTTGAAAATCTGCAGTAAACATGGACACAGAAAGATTCATAAAATAGTAGATGTATATTTTAATGAATAATTATAAAATGATTTTCAATGTACATGCCACCCAAATTAAGTTAAAAGGATCTTATCAGAACCAGAAGCCCCCCATATGTCCCTTCTCTCTCTCCCACCCGTTAGAAACCCTATCCAGATGTTATGATAACAATGTTCTTGCTTTTCTTTTGGTTTTATATCCTATGTTCATGAATTTTCTTATCTAATTATCAAAGTTCCATAACTGGTAAGTATGCAATGACCATCATGTGTTAGGGATGAGACATCTGATGATGTCTCGGAGTTCAATGCCATGGCCTGGAACATATGGGTAGCTGAGGCCCAGTAGCCTTACTGGGGCAGGCTGTTCAGAGCTCCCGCTTGTCTTGGAAGCAACTCCAATTTTTGCCCAGAGCTTTCTGATTCGCAGCTGCTAAGCAGCTCACGTTCAGAATTCCTGAACCAGCTTCATCTCTCAGAGAGCACAGCGGGACTCATGTTCACATCAGCCCATTTGACTCAGCTGGAAAAAAATGAAAACGGAAAAGAAAAAAAGTCAGTGTTAGGTCACCCGGCACAGCCCCTCGCCCGCCAGCATGGTGAAATGCTAGCTTTGAGTACAGTAGTACTGGAGAGGCTCTGATGCTGTTTTCCACGTGAACATACCCTTCATTTAAAAATCTTGTTAAACCAAGAGGTTGGATAGCATCTCAGAAATTATCCTGTCAAACCTCTTAAACTTTGAAAGAGCAAGAAACTCAGGCCTACAGGGGGGACATGACTTCTTCAAGGTCACACAAATGTGATAATGCACAGTGGTGGATAATCAGGTCAGGTGAATAAAATTCCTTTAAACATGACAGGCACCCAGCGAAGGTGAGGATTTAATGGTGTTTCCTTTCCATTCCAGGATGGACAACCCAGCTGGCTCATGCTCCGTTTTGATGAGGTTCTGGGAAGCAAGCCAGGTAACTCGAGGGATTTAGATAAAACTAAATAAGAATTGCTTCACTTTCTTTTTCCTAAGCCCAACATTGAGGCCAGAGTCAAGTAATTCAGGCAATGGTAGGTCACCACTGTCCCCACATGAATATACTCAAGGCCATTGGCTTGTGTGAGTCAGTAATAATCCCTCACATCCGCAGGAGACTTTGAACAGCTCTCTACAGTTTACAAAATACTTCCAGACAGATTATCCCATATGATCAACATAAGGATCCTCTGGAAAGGGGCAAGGCTGCTCATTTTATTCCTATTTTTATTATTTATTTATTTATTTTATTTTTTATTTTTTTTGAGACAGGGTTTCACTCTGTCACCTAGTCTGAAGTGCACTGGCATGATCTTGGTTTACCGCAACCTCTGCCTCCCGGGTTCAAGCGATTCTCATTCTTCAGCTTCCCAAGTAGCTGGGACTACAGGCGTGCACTGCCATGCCCAGCTAATTTTTGTATTTTTAGTACAGACGTGGTTTCACCATGTTGGCCAGGATGCTCTGGAACTCCTGACCTCAAGTGATCTGCCTGCCTCAGCCTCCCAAAGTGCTGGATTACAGGCGTGAGCCACCACGCCCGGCCTATTCCTATTTTTAAATGAAGAAACTGAATACTCATCTGAGCCCATAAAACACACAGAGCTGGGGTTACTGGTTTCTATTTCATCATAGTATTTAATGACAGGTAAGAAGAGAGCCCAGAAGACAGTGTCACGTGCTTCATCCCTCACCCTGTGATTAGGTGACACCAAAAACTATTACAAAATGTTCCACTTATTAACTCTGTGTCCCAATCATCTCTCCTCGATATGCCCCCAATATGCAAGGATTTCAGGGGAGATAATTTGATTTAATCAGAATTTTTTAAATGAAGAATTTTTAGAGTTATAAATACCAGTAACTATGATATTATCCTAAAATGATTCAGCCCATCATGATTTCCCAATGTGGTATCTGTATATGCAGGTTGAGCATCCCTAATCCAAAATCCAAAATTCTCCAAAATCTGAAACTTTTTGAGTGCTGACATGACAGCTTTGCTTTCTAATGGTTCAATGTACATGAACTTTGCTTCATGAACAAAATTATTTAAAATATTGTTTGAAATTATCTTCAGACTATGTGTAGAAGGTGTATATGAAACAAATCTCAAGTCTAGATTTGGGTACCATTCCCAATATATTTCATTATATATATGCACGTTTCAAAAAATATGAGAAGTTCCAAAATCCAGAGCACGTCTGGTCTCAAGCATTTTGAATAAGGAATACTCAACATATATTTAAGTCAGCATGTTGGAGCTACAGGCAACTTCACAAATTATCTTGGCCCATCTCTCTCATTGTGGTTAAAGAAACTAAAACCAAGAAAAAGGAAGTCATTTTTTCCCAGCTGACATAACAAATCCATGGGCGAGGTAAGACAAACATCAGTATCTCCTGAGCCCCAACTCCATGTCCTTTCTACCCCACTGACACATCCTAACCCCCTTGTCTTTCATAGAGCATCCCCCAAACTGATTTGTGCTTAAGCAATTCACACAGAGCATTTTGTCAGGGACCTACCAGTACTTGTCAATGTTTCCCGTTTATTGTCCCCTCTCTGAGCCTGAGGTCCTCATCTATAAAATGCAAATAATCTCTTTGCTTCCCACCTCACGTGTGGGGCTGACATGCAAGTGAGAGTGGTTATTATCAGGATTTATCCTTGGATTTGCATTCTGCACAATCTTTGCAAGCCACTGCACCTCTCTTTGCCTCAGTTTTTCTACCTCTAAAGAGGATATTCTACTGCTTTGTATTTAGCCCAGAGTAATGCTAGAATGAAAAAATATGTGTAGACATTAACATACCCTGATCTCTTCTAAATAAAATACATTTTAGTTATTAACATCCTCATCAATTTCTCATTACTATTCCATTGATCTACATTGATCATGCTTTTACTTATTCAACTAGCACTTACTGTGTGCCCAGCACAATGAAGAGAGGAAGGGGCAGAGAATATCCAGTCCCTGCCTTCAGAAAACAGACAATTCCAACACAAAATGACATAGACACAAATAAAATAGAAAAGAAATGACTCTCAAAGAGTACATGTAAGTGTCTCAGGGATGGCAGGAAAGTAATGTCTCATTCCTAGATTAATCCATTAGAAGGAAGGATTTTCCACTGCTTTGGAATAAAACAAAATAAAGGAGACAATAATAATTATAATGAGACTCCTCCTCCATGACCCCCACCCCTGCCAAAATCAGTATAAGAGAATTCTAGACTAGCAGGCAGTGTGTTTTCTAGAAAGCCTCCCACTGTCTGCAGAGCACGGTGGCTCTAGAAACCCAGTCACAATTAGTGGCTTCTACGAATTTCATTGCTCTGTCTGCACTGCCTTTGGTATTAGTACCTCCCCTCCCTTTTCGTACAGTTGTTTGTAAATCTATCTTTGCTCCCTTGCTAGTCCAGGTTTTATTCACTGTTTCCTCCCTCTTTTACCTTCCATCCACACCTATGCTTTAACTGCACATGGCAGCACTCAGAGATATTGCTCGATGAAGACTGAACTGAATGAAATTGACCACCTGACAAAAGACAGGCTTGCCAATTTTCACAGTGTGGTTACACCCTCATTATGTCCCTATAATTCTTCTATTAGGGATCTATTTAAGCTAAGTTGTGTAACTGAGTGAAGCCAGGCCAGGATTTTCCCCCACCCAGAGAGCTACTGGGAAGCTGCAGAGCATCCCCCAGAAATGTATTCTTTTAAAAAATCATGATCACTGAAAACACAGACACACATATGCACACTGTAAAACAGACAAAAGCAAGCAAATGCAGAGCCTAATCAAGATGGCAAAGGAGGTGTGGCTTAGCTTTCATGACCGCTCATCAGCTTGCATGCACTGCGTTGGTCTATTTCTACAGCCATCCAGCTGCTTGCGACTGTCACGGACTGCTCCTGGTCCCTACTGCAAGGCTTCACTCCATGGTCAACCTTCCTGTCCTGAACGACTATTCCAGACTCCTACTTCTCTCATTATCCAGCAAAACTTTATGTGTCCACAGGAAGCTGATTTACAGATCATGCCAACTTTGAAAACTAAAAATACCTCAAGCCCCCTCCTAGACATTCTGATTCAGTAGGTCTGGAATGGAGCCCAGCAATGCAAGTTTTAAGGATGATCTCTGGTTGATTCCAATGTGTACTCCTGGTTGAGACCCATAATGGAGTCAGACTGTTATCTAATTCACATGATAAATGGAGGTCCAATAAGAAAATATATGCTGTTTAAAAGTCACCCAGAGACTTCATGATTAAAAAAGGATTCAAGTCTCCTGATTCTTATTCTGTATTCCTCTTTTTAGAACAATAGAGTTGACAAAAGAAAGGAAAATTAACTCCTGTTACTAATCATACTCCATTCTATAAAGAGACTGCAGCAGAAAATATATATAACTATATTTTATATATAATATGTATTTGTAAATATATATTTCAAAGCCTTAAGAGTCATACTTATCATAATCAGAAAAGAGGATTTTGTCTGAATATGCAGCTTGCATTTAAAAACAAGAAAATATAAAGAAATGGAAAGTACTATGGTTCAAATTTTCTATTGAAACCAGTTCTATGAATTAGTTGAGAGATTCTGCCAATATTCAATGTGGAAGAAGTATGAATAGCTGCAGTCATCTGGATAGAATTTCCCCTTTGCTTTTCAATCATGTATCATTATTTATAAATTTTAAACTATCACTTTTGAGATAATAAACTTGAAAAATCAAAGTCTTATAGAGGCACAGCATTTTTATTATAAATGAAACAGCAGGGCAGGGGGAAATTGTTAGTGTTTCATTTTAGTTAAAACATTCCATTTCAATGAAGGTCCTTGAGGGCAGGAGGCAATACATACACATTTCAAATCGGTGGCATTACACCCAAACAGAGATATTAAGAAAAAATGCAATAAAAGATTGTGTTATATATAAGAGGGAAAAATGGGGCCCATTCTCATTGGTAACATAGCAACACTTAACAACACTTTGGCTGGGATCAGAATTTCTGTATCCCTAAAATAAAAAAAAAACAAAGAAAGAAAGGAAAACTATGCATGCACATACCTAATTCTATCAAAGGACTACAGTAATAATCAGAAGTAGACAAGTTTCATTTCTTTTATCTCTCTTCTATTTATGGTATAATTCAATACAAAGTATAATTCAGTGGAACATGACTAAGAGATATTCTTAAATTCTGATCAATGAACACTGTCCATTTTCTGAACTCAGGAAATGGAGTCAAGTACACAAGATTATGAATTAATTGAAAGAAGGTAATTTTTTTTAAGTGTGAGAAAAACAGGGGTAGATGGGGCTATCAACACTTGGTTATAACTTTATCTCCAATCTAAGATGTCTGTTTTCATTTAGTTATCAAAAAAATGTGCAATTCATTCAAAAGATATTAAGAACCAAGAATATCAATGTGAAATTTAAAAAAAAAAGAAAACAAAACATGATTTTGTATCTACCCCATAAGAGGATATCTGGTCATGCTAGTCAGAATAGACTGTGCTTTGCTGTGTTCACAAATTAATCCTCAAATCTCAGTAGTTTACCAAAATAAAGCTTCTTTTTTGGTTTGGTTTGTTTTTGGTCTGATTTGAAGTCAATTATGTCTACAAGATTACTTCATCTCTGATGGCTTCCATCTTTCTACTTAGGGTGTTAGAGCTCCTCCTTTCAAATGAACAGAGAGGCAAAGCAAGAAGAGCTCCCAACACTCAGAACTGCCTCAGGCTTAACATGACACATCACATCTGCTCACATTCCCAACAGTGAGAACTCAGGAATATGGGGTTAGAACTGTAACTATGCAGAAGCTGGAGATATGTAACCTCCTTGTATATCTAGAAAGAGAAATGGTGACCATAACATAGCATCGTATCTGCCACAGAGAGTCAATCAGATGTATGGGAAAATCAGAAGTAGAAGAGAGTGGTGTCATTCCGAGTGGTCAAGGAAAGTTTTCCCAGGAAGGTAAGATTAGAGCAGCCTTCAAGAATAGACTAGGTAGAAAAAACAGAGCACATGACACAGGGAAAGAATTTCAAAACCAAAGCTCTGAAGGCAGAGAGCAGTGTTATTTCCCTACCAAAAAACTGTTAGTGAATAATGAAAGACAAGTATTCACAAGCAGGTGGGGAGGAGCTTATTTTGAATTTTAGAGAGGAATATAAATACCTTTTTTGTAGAGTAGCATTATGGTCTCTGAAGCATGACTGTCCAGGTATTCTAGGTATGCCCTGGATGTCCAATCAAGAAAACTAGAAGTCATCACTTTCCCTAATTCATCCTTTTATCAAAATTATCCAAAGGATCACAAATCACTATTGATTCTATTTTCTACATAGATCTAAAACCCATACACTCCTCTATTCCCCCACTATCTGTGCCCTATTCCAGCACCTTAAGCTGGCTTACTTGGTGCTAGGCACTAATGTTTGTTTTCCTGCGAAATTCTTATGTTGAAACTCTAATTCCCAGTGTGTTGGAATTTGGTATTTGGAGATAGGACCTTTGAAAGGTAATTAGGTCTTGAAGGCAGAGCTCATATGAAGGGATCAGTGGCCTTATAAGGAAAGTGTAAAACTCATGACTTCTTACCCCAACCATGTGAGCACACGGCAAGAAGATAGATTTACTGTATTAGTCCGTTTTCATGCTGCTGATAAAGACATAACCAAGACTGGGAAGAAAAATAGGTTTAATGAACACATAGTTCCACATAGTTGAGGAGGCCTCACAATTATGGCAGAAGGCAAAAGGCACTTCTTACATGTCAGCGGCAAGACAGAATGAAAGAAGCAAAAGTAGCAACCCCTCATAAAACCTTCAGATCTTGTCTCATTCACAGCCACGAGAACAGTATGAAGGAAACCGCCCCCATGATTCAATTATCTTCCACCAGGTCCCTTCCACAACATGTGGGAATCATGGGAATACAATTCAAGATGAGATTTGGGTGGGGACACAGAGCCAAACCATATCATTCTGTCCCTGCCCCCTCCCAAATTTCATGTCCTCGAATTTCAAAACCAATCATGCCCTCCCATCAGTCCCCCAAAGTCTTAACTCATTTCAGCCTTAACTCAAAAGTCCATAGTCCAAAGTCTTATCTGAGACAAGGCAAGTCCCTTCCGCCTATGAGCCTGTAAAGTCAAAAGCAAGTTACTTCCTTGATACAATGGGGGTGCAGGCATTGGGTAAATACAGCCATTCCAAATGGGAGAAATTGGCCAAAACAAAGGAGCTACTGGCTCCAACCAAGTCTGAAATCCAGCAGTATGCAAACTAAGAAACAGGCCCTTACCGGAAACCAACTAGGCCCACACTTGATCTTGGACCTCTAGCCTTAAGAACTGTGAGAAATAAGTTTCTATTGTTTAAGGCACCCAGTCTATGGTATTTTTATAGCAGCACAAATGGGCTAAGATACCTGATCTCTTACCACATCCCTTTCGGTGGTCTCCCTGCCCCTGGCTTCTTTCTTCTTTAGTATAAACCTGACACTATGGGCCCAAGGTATATCATGAGGACCCCTTTCTGACTTGATTCATGCTTACTTCACATTCTACTAATATCAAACCACTTCATGTTTTTGTGAAAATATCACATTTTTTATGACTCTTGAAATTTATGTATGCTGCTCCTTGTAGCTGAAAGGACTTTCCACTCTTTCCTGGTCAGAAAAATTATATTTATTCTATTAAACTTCTTTATAAAACAGCCTCCTCCTTATCTCTTCCAGAGTTAATAATTCCCTCTTCTGTGCTTTTAAAAAGTTTTATTGCTTCCATTAGTTTGCATTTGTTCATATCTTAGCCACCCCTCCACATATAATGTGAGCTCCACTGAGAACAGGGAATGTGTCTTCTGCACCTTTGCAACCCAGGTCTAAGTCCTATCTCTGATTCACAGAAGCTCAATAAATGCTTTGAAATAAAATGTGAAAGTTAACACTATGGATAGTATCTAAGGTATATTCTAAATCAAACATTTAAGCTTATTACTATGTGCTCTAGAGTAATAATAATGAAATACTACGGAATGTTAAAAAGAAGGAATATAGAAAAAGAAAATGTTATTGACTCAGTAGGGTAGGATTCCTTAATAAGACCTGATAGTGCCCGGGCATGGTGGCTCACGCCTGTAATCCCAGCACTTTGGGAGGGTGAGAAGGGCGGATCACCTGAAGTCAGGAGTTCGAGACCAGCCCAGTCAAGAGGTCAGGAGTTCGAGACCAGCCTGGCCAACGTGGTGAAACCCTGTCTCTACTAAAAATACAATAATTAGCCGGGCGTGGGGGTGCATGCCCGTAATCCCAGCCACTTGGGAGGCTGAGATGGGAGAATTGCTTGAAGCCAGGAGGCGGAGGTTGCAGTGAGCTGAGATTACACCATTGCACTCTAGCCTGGGCAACAAGAGCAAGACTCCGTCTCAAAAAAAAACAGGTCTGATACTTACTAACACCTTATTCTGGGTTAGATGCTGTGCTAAGCGTTTTAGTATATTATTTTATTTAATACTCATCAAAACCTTTTAAGGAAAAATACTATTATTCATATTTGAAAGATAAATAAACTGAGACACATGGGAACTAGGCATCTTCCCTAAAACCATACCGTGAATAAGTAGGTGAGCCAGAATTTGAATCCAGGCACTCAGAATAGAACCCTGAGACTAAAGCTGACCTACGGTAGGAGAACAAGCTCAGACACTAGGATCAAAGGCAAAGACACAGAGAGCAACTAAGACAATATTAGAGCAAGAGGGATGAGGGAATGGAAACATGAGGACATGAGTAAATTGAGCTCCTTGCTCTTAGTAATTTAGAAATGGGCTGAGAATTTGCTGGTAGGAGTGGCATGTTAAGTACATGTTTTAAAATAAAAACCATACTTTATTAACTATGTGCTATGTCTGTAGTTAGATTCATTTTGACAAATTGAAAACAAATAAATACCTCATTATGATAAATTTACCTCATTATGATAAAGATAATTACTAAGGAAGGAAAACAAAATAAATCATCATTGGTAGCTATAAAAAAGTGCCATGACACCAGAAATAAACACCTAGAAGAACAAGTGAAACACATATCTAAGCAGGCACTTTACTGTTTTAAATAAGCACATATCTACTTTTTTAAAAAAATTTGAAGGTATCTCTATCAATCAGCAATGCATTTATTGCAAGTTTTCCATAGATTCCCTACCCTGTGCTATCGGTTGTAGGAAAATTTAAGTAAGGAGGAGGAGGTAGGTAGAGGAAATAGAAAAAGAGAGAGAGAAAGCACCTTTGACTCCCAAAGCTATCACTCTCAATTCAAATTCATTTGTATTCAATCAATGTGTATTAAACTTCCACCTTGCAGCATGGATCGTGCTCAATGATGGAAATACTGGTGGGAACATCATAGATACAGTCCCTCCCCTAAAAGCTCATAGTCTCATAGTGGATACAGACACAGAGCTAGGTAGTGACAATATTACAGGGAAAGGACAGAGAACAGTAGGAACACCTAGTGGGGCACCCAAGGCAGATTTTGTAAGTCAGAGAAGGCTGCCAGGAGGAAGTGAAATCTAAACCGAGATGAAGAAAGAAATTTTTGTCAAAAGAAGATTGGAAGAAAGAATCTCAGCAGAGGAAACATAAGCAGTAACATAAGAAACAGCACAGGCTCTCAATGAGGCAGAGTATAGTTAAAAACAAACAAATAGGCCAGGCAGGATGGCTCACGCCTATAATCCCAGCACTTTGGGAGGCTGAGGCAGGCAGATCACTTGAGGTCAGGAGTTCATGTCTTGCCTGGCCAACATGGTGAAACCCTGTCTCTACTAAAAATACAAAAATTAACCAGGAGTGGTGATGGGCGCCTGTAATCCCAGCTACTCCAGAGGCTGAGGCAAGAGAATTGCTGGAACCTGGGAGGTGGAGGTTGCAGTGAGCCGAGGTCACACCACTGCTCTCCAGCCTGGGCGACAGAGCAAGACTCTGCCTCAAAAACAAACAAACAAACAAACAAACATACAAACAAGCTTAATCAGAAAGGCTGAAGCAAGAAGCAAGAGGGCAGGTAGCAAAAGATAAGGTGGAGCAGTAAACAAGGGCAAGATCATGAATCTGCCATATGGTTGTTCAATATTTTCCTGAGGGCAACAGAGAGTTACTGAGAGTTTCAAGCAGGGAAGTGACCTAAAAAATGTACATTTTAGAAATCACTCTGTATACAGTACAGGGAGATGACCACGGGGAACAACAATGTTGGGGTTGGGGGAATAATTCGTAGCCAACTGCAGCAACGTAGATGGGAGTGCCTGGTGCCTGGGACTAAGGTGAGCTGTAGGAAGGGACTAAAGGGGACAGATGAGAAAGAATATGCATGAGGGAGACGTAACAGGAGTTGGACATGGCCATATGTAGCCCGGGGTAAGGGAAAAGTGATAGATAATGCCCAGGCACTGGCTTGCAAAACTGGGACGGTAACAGTGCCTATCAGCAAAATGAAAGACAAAAAGAAAAGCAAAAGAAGTGCTCAGAGCTTGGTACATCCTGGCCTTTCCATGTCTGTGGAACTGCCACAAGGATGTGTCTTCTAGGCAGTTAGATGTTTGGGTCTATAGTTCCATTAGGGAGTTATCAGATAGACATGGGATGAAAGCCAAAGAAGCAGACAAGATCACCTTCAATATGACTTTTCCAAAAGCCAGTCAATGAGGATGCATTGAGAAGAGAACGTGGAAACAGAAGAAGTCCTGAAGAAAACCACTATTGAAAGAAGTTAAAGGAAATCAGTCCACAAAATGTTGTAAGATGAATAGCCAGAGAGGTTGAAGGAAACCAGGAGAGTGAATGTAGTACAATGGAAGGAAAGGAAGAGCCTAGCTCAACAAGGAAGAAGTTGTCATCTGTGCACATGCTTCTCAGAAGTAAGGTAAGAACCCAAAAACATCCATCACATTCAATGCTGATGAGATCACTGTTCCCCTTGGTGAGAGCTGCTCAGTGATGGAGCGATGGTTGCACAAGACAGCCTGTGGTGGATTGGGATAAACTGCAAGATGGGAGAGTATCTCAAGGGAGAGGTACAGTTAGGAGATGTTTTTACGATGTGAGAGACAAATATGACTCCATGCAACTGGGAAGCAGTTAGGAGAATAGGTGGGGTTATATACGAAGGTGGAGAGAGGGGTTTTATTAAAATTGTGAGGTCCTTGAGAGGGCACAAACAGGTGGCATTCAGAGCCCAGGTTGATGTACTTGTCTTTGCCAGGATGGGGCCAGCAAAGGCACTAACAGAAGGGCAATCCAGATGCAACACAAAGAGCATAAAAGTTACTCTTTGCAGAGACAGAACCAAGATTTTCATAATCAGTCAATCAGTAGCCTAAAAGGGAATTTGATACCTAGGAACAGAAAGTTTTCCTGTTTATGCAGGTTTCTGCTCTAACCACAGCCTATGAGCACAGTGGGCGGGGGCACGGAGTTTGAGCAAGGAGAAAAAAAGATAAAGCCTCAGCTCTACCATGCACCTGCAATATGACTTTTAAACAAGCCACTTGACTTCACAATGCAAACTGATACCTTTATTTACCAGCTTCGTATGAGCAAGTCTAAAATGAGTCTCACTGCTGTTGAAATGAACCAGAGGATGTCTAGAGAATGAAATTCCAAGTATTTATTAAGTGCCTACTCCTCAAGGGCTGTCCCTGTACTTAAGAAGAATATTTTTTTTGTTACATTTGAGTAGCATTTGACTTGTAATTACTACACAGCATCCAAAATGCCTGGAAAGACTGTTCAAAATGCAAATTTCCTAGAGCCAATCCTAAGATTAAGTTTCAGTAGCTTGGGAATAGAGCCTGGGAATCTGCATTTTTATCAGGTTCCCTGATGATGCTAGAGGACCATTTGGAAACCCAACACTATACATCACATAGCACACCTTCCCACACATTGTCTAATTTAATACATGTGTAGGGTATTGAAGCGTTCAAATTAGAGAAAGCTGAAACAAACACAAATACCGACACCTCACTAACTAAAACAGAGACCATTATTCACGTGCGCCTTGAGTCAGGCAAGGTGTATTTATTGAGTGCACATTGCACCAAACCCTATACTTGGCAAAGAGAATATGGACTTGAATTCGATTTTGGACTTTTCTTCAAATATTCTTTAGTCTATTAATAAGGAAAAAGAGGAACGTCAACCCATGATGCCAGCTCAATTTGATAAGTGTTTTGACAAATTTCTGACATATCTTGTGTCCAATATACAGATGGTGCTATGGAAGCATAAAGGAGGGTCTCAATTAGAGTGGGCTGAGGGGACAGATATATTGGAGGGGCTGACGCTTGATAACCTGGGTTATTAATTTTGAGTGGAGGTTAGATCAGACAGGCAGGGAAAGACATTCCAGAGAAAAAGAAGAGTAAGCAGTGTGTCTGTAATAGTGACCCATGCCTACCCAGGAAAGTTCAACCATCACTCATATGGGGAAGTGGGCCCAAACAAAAGGCATGAACTATCCTAAAATTGGGAGAGAACACAGAGAAAAATGAATGCTAGGTGAAGATATCTTTGTATAATCCACAAAAAAATAAAATATTAAACCAATTAGTGCTAAAGGTTTTACCCAGGGAGCATTCATGAGTCTTTAATGGTTCGCTGATAAGAAGCCACAAAAGACACTTTAATATGAACACTCAGTTATGGGAAGGAAATTAGAGAACATGGAAATGTGGAAGCCAAACTTGGAAATGGGCACTGAAGAGGAAATTGATAGCCAGAGTGTCAATGCATGCATGCGGGTTAAGGGAAGCAGGATACCAGCTGCAAGAAGTTTACTGGGAGGGGTTTCCCACGCCATTGTTGTGGTCTACAAAAGTAGAAAGCAGGTAAGATGTTCAGAGAGCTGGGTAAGTTAGTCACATGGAAGCTGTGAAAATTTCTAGAACAAATAGTAGGGAGATATGGGGTAGTACCTAGAGGGGAGAGAAGTGTTCATTAGTGATTTCTTTACATTCTAGGTGATGTGAACCTGCTGAAATGCTGCAGGGATTTCAGGCAAGTTAGCCTTGGCAGTGAGAACAGATACAAAGAGAGAAGGAGGTAGGAGGTGTGTGTGGGGACGGGGGAAGTGGGGGAGATTTTTATTGTTCTGAGATAGGTCTAAAATGAAGGACAGTATATCAGTCAGTACAGGCTAACTGCTATAATAAATAACCACACAATTTTGGAGTGGCTTAACCCAAGAAGATTTATTTCTTCACAGTCCAATGCAGTTTTCTTGGGAGGGGAAATTATCAGCTCTACACAGTCATTCAGGAGCTCCGGCCTTCTTCCATCTAGTGGCTCCTCCATCTCTTAGATCCTAGGAGTCCTACCATGAATCCTCTACAAATGGCCAAATTGGCAAAAGAAAGCTCTGGAAGATTGTGTTAATAATAGTTTCAGTTTCAGGAGCTTTCAGGAGCGGCACCTGGGAGTGGCTTATTCTACTTCCACCCACATTCCATTTGCCAGAACTCAGTCACAGGGCATGGGGCAAATGACTGCAGGCATGCTGGGACTTGTCATTTAGCTGGGTGCCCAGAAGGAAGGGAAATGGGATTGGTGAAGCCATATAACCATCTCTAATCCAGATGGACACAGAGTATTCTTTAGCTCAGACCAGGGTGAGTATGTTAACTGCCTAAGGCAGTGAAGGACAGGAGATGGAACAGTTCATTTCATTAAAGGATAAAGTGGGGCATATAATTTTCCTGAACCCTTACTCCAAGCTCCAAGGCCAATTTTAAAGGATGACAGTTTGAGCCAAGGACCTGTTCAGTAAAATTTGGAGTAAAGCTTTTCAAATAGTGCCAAAGAAGCAACCAAAAACAAAAAAAAAAAAAGAGAGAGAGAGGATACATCAGATGGCACCAGCAGAAAAGATCACATACATTTGATTGACTCCTAATCACTCCCCTGTAACTTTTTTCCCCACACAAATTCCTCACACCGGAAATGTTCATTTAAAACAATTAAAAATCCTTCAGGGAACCCCCACCCCACTCCCTGCTACCACATGATCAGCCCAGGGGCTCACATGCTGAAATCTATAGAGAGCTTTAGGTCTCAGAGTATTTGAAGGATAGGCAGGGATCTCACCACCTTAACACAGAAGCAGTCCTACACCCCAATCAGGGAAAGCCTTGGACACTATCTATTGCTACCTTTAGCCTGGGGCAAAGGAGAAAGAGAACTGCACAGCTGTCCTAAACAAGTAGGGTATGAGACCTCTCTCTTCCACCAAGAATAATAATAAGATAGCCTTGATTGAAAACTCACTGTGCGTCAGACACTATGCTTACATGTATGAACTCACAACAATTCAGTGAGGTAACCACTATTATTATCTCTTTTTTACAGATAAGGAAGTTTCCTGATGCCCACAAAGTTTAAATAACGGACTCGAGGTTACCCAGCAATAAATGTTGAAAAAGAGTTTAAATTAGTTGGCTTTCAGAGTTTGTGTTTTGGACAACTATATTCTACTTTGGACAGCACTGTATTTTCTCATTGTAAAAGCAGGCAGGATGGAGTAAAAAATAAAAGTCAAAACAATTTGAAAACAATATTTTGTGATGAACATAAAACATTTTCTACAATCAGCATCCTTCATTTGATTGTCTTACTTTATTATCTGGTAAGTGCCAAAAGAAGACAAAGTGTAGATGTATTTTCCTTAGTTTACTTTTAGCTCCCTTTATTTCAAGCCTCACAGTCAATGTGTTCCCTGCCTTATGTTTCAAGGGGGCTCCAGGGTATTTTTTCTCCCATGTGATTACAAAAGCAGTTAGCCGTTTAGCCTAGCAGGGGGAATGAGAGGAAACGGAGAGGCCAAAAATTTTAAACTTTAGGCACTATATCTCCAATAACTGACAACATTTTATCTTAATTATGCTTTATAGTATTGGAATACTAAACAAAGAGGAACGACCTGCTTACTCTGTAGTCTGGAGCAGAATGAAATAGAACACGTAGGGCAGAACACAACAAATGAGTTGTAAATGTCTGTGCACAAGGCTTGATCTTGGGGATGGAGGGAGGATATTTTTTAAGTTATTCAAACGCTGAGTTGCTTTCAAAGAGTTCTTCTCAGACATCAACAATGAACTCTTCAGATACCCTCATCCCAGACAGCCCTGAAGTCCAGTTTATAACAAGACCAATAACTCACTCCTTATCTCTAAAGCTACTTGTTCAATTCTCTTGACTTCAGGGCCAAAATGAGTTGTTTATTACTTATGGCAAGTATAAAAAAGGCCATCTCAACCTGTGGTCAGTTCCACGAATGGCAACTTGTTTTCTGATAACTTGCATGCACATGGACAATAGCCAAATTTCCAAAAAGATTTAGGTACATCAATTGTATACCGATGGTCATTTAAAACCATTTTTTCCAGCAATATTTTAGCATCTAATTTGATAAATCACTGCATTTGGAGGCTGTGGGGGTGTACAGAGACCTTCAGAAAGCAAACATAAACTGGAGGCTTGGCGGTTTGAAGATATTCAAGCAGAAAAGTCTAGCAAAGAAAAAGGGGGTTGTAATATGGATCAGTCTCCATGTAACCTTGAGCCAATCATCTAACTTCTCTGAAACACCAGTTTTCTCATTTTATGAAACAAGATTTTATTCAATAAACACTATAACTTAGTGAAAGACTGGATCTGGTATCCCGTAGGCTTGGATGGATTGCTGGTACTAGTATTGGAGCTTTTGTTTCCCTGTTTGTTACAATTCGGATATTAGTGAGTACCCTACAGAGGAATAATGATTAAATTGTCTACTTAATTTACTCTTAAGTGTCTGACCACGTATAAGTGGTCAATACAGGCTGTTTTCATTTTTACTATTACTGATGGAACACACTGCATGACTAGCATTGGGAAAGAGGCCCAGAATACAAGGTTGTGCAGAATGCAAAGTCTATTCTCAAGGAATTCGCTTTGTAGGGAAGAGGTGGGGGGTTCAAATAGGAAGTATCAAATTCCTCATTGGGAAAGAAAAGAGGCTTCATAGAAAAGCTGCTGGAGCCCAGGCTTAAAGATGAGTAGCATTGGGGCCAGAACCAGATGTCTAAGAACTCTTTGAGGCTTAATGTTAGGAACTTTTGAAACTATTGGTCTGGAATGTTGTATATATGAAGTTCATTTTTTCAGCATCCAATATTCAGAACACATTCATTCATTAACTTTCCATCCAGAAATGTAATCATTAACTACTGCTGGAGCCTCCTTTCCCACAAAACCAAACAAAACTTGCTTAGCAATCCCAATTCTGAGGCTTGGAAAACACTTTTACATCCTACTCTCTGCTTGCATGTATGAACTCACATACATGAGTTGTGAGGTACTCCTCCTATATTCAGAAAATTGGAGGCCAATATCATAGGCACAGCCAGGGAATGCACCGGCCAAAGCTCAGGCTTTTGGGTGGCATTTGACACCAAGCTCCTTTTAAATCGGGCATCAGCTCTGGGTCAGCAGCCTCACTCCAGTCAAAGAAGAGGAGCCAAACGTCGCAGGAGCAATTTCAAAGACGTCTGGGGAACGAAAAGGGTCTTCGATCCAAGGACCAGCCTAGGGGCCATCGGGAACCAAGGCTCTGGGGGATCCCAGCAGGGCCCAGACGCCCGCCTCGGGCAATGTCGCTGCCTGCCCCGGGCCGCTCGCAGTGCCTGGGCCATACTGGGGTGCCCTGGGGTTTCTTCTCCATACCCAGACTCAGCTTCCCCGCTGGAGTCTGTCTTCCTGGAACACGGAACGCGGGCGGGCTGTGTTCTCAGTCACAATCAGCTCGGATGAGCTGGGGGGCGCGGGCGCAAGCGGGCATCGGCACCTGGCAGAAAGCGCCGCGCCCCCCGCGGGTGCGCACACCTCCGCTCCCCGGGGCGGCGCGCGGTCGGGTGTGCGGGGTACGGGGCGGGGCGGAGCGGAGCAGAGCAAAGCGCACAGGAGGCCCGCCTCTGCTCCCCTCCCCCGCCGGCGAAGATTGACACAGCTCGAGCACCCGCCCCAACCAATGAGCGCGTCCTGGGGCGGGCCCTGGGACCGGCTGCTCCGGCTACTTAGAGTCGTCGGCGCGGCGGTGGGAAAGCAGAGCCGAGCCGGGACTGTCCAGTGGGAGCAGGCGCCCCGGCCAGCGCAGACCTGGAGGCGCACGGGCGCCGCACCGCACGATTCGGCTCGGGGTAGAGCGGAGCCGCAGCCCCACGCGCAGCCCAGGACCCACTCGCCACCGCCGCTTCCTCAGCACCCATGGGGACCAGGAGACTTTAAAGGAGTTTGGGGTTTCGGGAGCAGGGAAATCACGGGTAGGGAGAAGCGGCTTTCTTTGCCTTGGAAACGGTTTTTCTTCATCCGATTGTTTGGATCCTGTGCTGGGTAGGAGGGAGAGGGGTCTTTGGGCTAAAAGTGAACCTCTCTACACACACACGCTCCCACCCACACCCACACACATACACTGCACTGGCTTTCTCCATCCTTCCCCTGCCTCTTTGTTAGGTTATTTTAGACAGAGCAGCCTCGCCCTGGCGCAGTCCCATTGGCCCTGATGGGGACAAGGCAAGAGAAGTAAGGGGCAGAGTGCACCTGCCTGTGAGGGCAGGTGTGCCCGGGTGCTTGGGCGTACGTGCAACGGCGAGCGTGCAAGCGTGGAGCTGAAATTGTGTACGAATGTGTGGGGTCTAAGTGTGCCAGTGTGTCGTCGCGAAGGTTTGTCATTGTGGGTGTATGTGACATACACCAGTATACCAGGCTGCCAGTGTCTGGACTCCCAAGTGTCCAAAATGTTGCTGGTGTCAAGTGAATGCCTGAGAATGTGTCTGATTGTCATTGTGCGAGCCGCTGTAAGGGGAGGAAGGCAACCTAGTGCAAAACTGGGAGGTGGGCTGGAGAGGGTGGGGACAGAAATGGGAGCTTGCTCCCAGCTCACTGGCCTTAGGCTCCCTTCTCCCTTTCAGCCCACCCCTCGGTCCTTCCTGGGTGTCCGTCTCCCACACTGCCACAGCCAGCACTCTCCTCCCCACCGGGACCCCGCAAGCTCTCCAGCCAGCCTGGGTGTTTTCTTCTGGGAGTTGGACCGAGTTCCCGGAAGGGGTCGGAGGCTGTGTGGTGGCGTCTGCTCTCGCCTGACCTGTGGCGGCTTCTCCGCCCCTCGTACCCCTGGGGAGGCACGGAGGACTCGGCTGGAAAGGGTGACTCCGGTGAGGGCACGTAAGCTAGCCGGCAGGTCCCAGGGGCACTGCACGTCTTGGGGAGGGACACCGAAAGGGGCAGCCCGGACTCTGACGGTGTCTCTGCCTCTCTGTGCCTCCGCAGATCCCCGCTCCTGGCCCTCGCCTCGCCACCTCATTGATGGGCAACCAACTGGACCGCATCACCCACCTCAACTACAGCGAGTTGCCCACAGGGGACCCGTCGGGGATTGAAAAGGACGAACTGCGGGTCGGGGTTGCCTACTTCTTCTCGGATGATGAGGAAGACCTGGACGAACGCGGGCAGCCCGACAAGTTTGGCGTGAAGGCCCCCCCGGGTTGCACCCCCTGCCCGGAGAGCCCCAGCCGCCACCACCACCACCTGCTGCACCAGCTGGTCCTCAACGAGACTCAGTTTTCCGCCTTTCGGGGCCAGGAATGCATCTTTTCCAAAGTGAGCGGTGGCCCTCAGGGCGCCGACCTAAGCGTCTACGCGGTCACCGCGCTGCCAGCGCTCTGCGAACCCGGCGACCTGCTGGAGCTGCTGTGGCTGCAGCCCGCGCCGGAGCCGCCCGCGCCCGCCCCGCACTGGGCCGTCTACGTGGGCGGCGGGCAGATCATCCACCTGCACCAAGGCGAGATCCGCCAGGACAGCCTGTATGAGGCGGGCGCGGCCAACGTGGGCCGGGTGGTGAATAGCTGGTACCGCTACCGCCCGCTGGTGGCCGAGCTGGTGGTGCAGAACGCCTGCGGCCACCTGGGCCTCAAGAGCGAGGAGATCTGCTGGACGAACTCGGAGAGCTTCGCCGCCTGGTGCCGCTTTGGCAAGCGGGAGTTCAAGGCGGGAGGGGAGGTGCCGGCAGGCACGCAGCCCCCGCAGCAGCAGTACTATCTCAAGGTGCACCTGGGAGAGAACAAGGTCCACACCGCCAGGTTTCACAGCCTGGAAGACCTCATCCGCGAGAAGCGCCGTATCGACGCCAGCGGCCGCCTGCGAGTGCTCCAGGAGCTCGCCGACCTCGTGGACGACAAGGAGTAGCCGCCTAGGGGCTGCCGGCCCCTCTGCCTCCCCCGCACCTCGCTCCCTTCCCTTCCCCGCACCCGGACTTCGCAGTCAGCGGTTCTCAACCTCTGCCCCGCCCCGCCACGCGCGTCCGCCGCCGGTGGCCCGGGCCCGGGCTGCACCCCCGCATCCCCAAGCCAGCGGCAGGAAGTCTCAGGAACTGCCCCAGGGCCGAAAGGGCGCCGCTGCGAGCGCCTGGCTGACAGCCACAGCGGTGGTGACGGTGCTGGGAGACCCCGCGTGCGCTTTCCCCTTGAGATGTAAACCGGGAACGGGGAAGGGGCTGAGGGGAGAAAGGACATGGCCTTCCCCGCGAGTCCATGGCCAGTGACTGTGGCCCGACTCGAAAACAACCCTCTTCTCAAAAGGGACCATCACCGCCCCGAGCGTGCGCACACAGACCGGTCGGAGGCGAGAACTGGTCTCTACAGGGCACAGTTCAGCTCCTCTGTGGATGCGTCCCCAGATCGCAGGATTTCCAAGAAATCGAGCCTGTCCCTTGTGCACTTGGGAATAATTCCCCAAGACAGCACTTCGGGATTCCGGGTTATCCTGAGGCTGCCCGGGACTTTTCCAGCTCTCCAGCCCCAGGTCTCCTGACATTGTGTTCCAGGCTGCGGGCTAAGCCAGACAGTGTTTGCCTCCGGTTCTTTCCACCGTGGGAAGCGAACGCCACCCCCACCCGCCTTTGCCTGCGAGTCTCCCTCGCTGGCAGAAGGGAAGCCGGCCCGGTCCCGGGAGGAAGATGGCGCTGCGAATTCGGTGAGGACAGCCGGCCCCGCCCCCGACAAGGAGCTCGCTCGTTCACCTGGTGTCTGGGAACTTGAATGTGTGAAGGGCGCTTATTGTTCTGAACCCTTGATTGCTCCCTCCTCGGGCTGCATTTCAAAAATAGTCATATTTTTAAAGGAGTTGGAGGAGAGGGAGGGGGAGGACATGGCACCATTCCAGAAACCAGCATTGTTACAACACCATAGCCAGTATATTTAGTTTGGCTTTTCCTAACATAGAAATCTTCAAAGCTGGGGAAGTGGAAATAAAGTTTTAAAAATGAGAGAGCAGTTTTCCAACTATGTCAACAAAGCCTATCGTGTTGATGTTTTTATTGACCATTTTAGCAACAGGCTAATAAAATTTCAAATTGAAATTTTTATTTTCATGGCTTTAATCCATGATAGTTTAAATACTGGGGGCCATTAAGAGTGGATGTAGCTAAGAGCTTAGCTAACATTGCCTTTTCACTCTATTTTTCTCAGATATTGTAAGCATTCTGTTTTTCAATATTGTAGTTAATTTTTTGGCTTTCAACAGCAGCCCTAGTAATGGTGGAGTTGTTAATTAATGTGTATATTGTACTGAATTTCTGTCAGTTAAGGGGTTCACTGCTTTGGTGGAAATTGGTGGAAATTGCTAGCAGGTTCCACGATGTTTATTTTTTTCTCCATGTTGTATATCATTACCATTTCACATACGCGTTTCTATTTTTCTTCCTCTCCTCCTGATCTCCTTAAAAATGAATCTAGAGTTGGTGGCTTTTTCCCCCTCCTCTTTGGCCAGTTCCACAGTTCAGTTCTTCCTGAAAACAGGGATGATGAACTTGTAGGATCAGGACAAATGTGTGTTTTTCAAAAACTTAAGGCTGGGTGTGAAACACCTTCTGTGGACAAGGATTTGTAAACTTCTCTCCTCCCTCCAGCTGCGGCCCCAGCCTAACTGATAGTTACTTGATTCAGTGTGCTAGACACTTAAATAGCATCTATGTCTCTTTCAAGGGAATTTGTCAAATAATGCTGTTTAGCTAATTGTTGCAAGCAATTGCATATTAACAGCTGTGATTTTGTTGGACAGCAAGTATTATGGCCAAAGCCAGTTTCTTGGCATTTCAAAAATAATGCAATAAAAACTAGTTGAGGTTAGCTGAGGCTGGAAATGCCTTTTTCATGGTAAATGATTCACTTCTATATTTTTCTTTCTTTTTCTTTTTTTTTCTTTGGTTTTCATCCTGGATTCATCCCCTGATCTTAAATCAAAACGTCAGATCAATGAACTATGAACTAAAGTATTTTTCTTAAGCCTATTGAGTGATTTATTTTTTAAAAAATGTTTAAATGCATATGCTTTTCTTTCAGCACAAACAACAGCAAAAACTTTTGTAATAACTAACTTACCTTTGCATGTATGAAGAACTGAGTCATTTATTTCCCTAACTTACTCCTCTTTCAAGTAACAGGTGGCAGATCATAAAATGAATTCTTTATTGTATCTACACACTCCACATTCTTTACTGTGTCCTACTACTGTATCTTGGCTCCCTGCTGTATTAAACACCATCTTAAGCACTTGTTCCTGCAGGACTCCTTCTTGACATTTTGTCTCCCCCTTCAAAGTCACTCAAAGAGTGGGACTTCATCAAAAGAAATGAATTAGTCTCTATCACACCGAATACTAAGATTTATTTCCTCTGATGGTACATAGATTTCTCTCTCACTAAGAGGGTCACTCTCATAGAGGAATGTCTTGTCAGTTTTATACTTGCTGAGGCTAGACTGACAATAAAAATGAGCTGGGCAGTTAAATTAGCATTTGTTACTATATTGGCCTATAAAGGATCAGGTTGATGATAATACCTCTAAAAATATGCAATAATAAAACAATAGTTATGAAAGAAACTTGAAAGGTTTGCAAGGTTTCTCCTATCCCTGTTAAAATTATCATTTATTATCTCTTTGTCAGTGTTAGTAAGGTAACCCATGACAGAATAATTTGAGTGATAGTTCATCATGCAGAGGATATGATCAAGATATTACCTAATGGTTTTATCCTGAAAAAGGTGTATACTTTTAGGGCACTGTTAACAATGCGAGTGAAACCAAGATGGTGCAAGTTCCCTTTGCAGATGGCGTGGGCACACTTGATTTTTATTATGAGTGAATGTAATCTTTCTGTATTTTACCAGAGTTACAGCAATTACCTGAAAAGTTTCCTAACATTTTAATAATGTTAGGGATTTCGTTTTGGTTTTAGTTGTCCTCAAGAGACAACAGGTTCACAGTAATTTCCATGATGTTGGGTGTGGCTAAGCTGGGGATTGGTTCTGTTCCCCCTGCTCCCGTGTAGAGAAAAGCTATATTTATACTGCATTCTTTCTCAACTTTCAGGTAAAACAAACTATGATTTAAAAAAAGAAAAAAGAAAAGACAGGTACTTTTACTTCAAAGAGTGCTTTGCTACATTTTTATTTAAACCAAAAATCAAATAAAATAAGGAGGGGGGCTGGGTATACTTTAAACAAAACCAGTCCTGAAATGCTGTTATTCTCAAAGTACATTCCAAAAAAAAAAAAAAAAAAAAACTATAGAATTTACGTATGTTACATTTTTAAGTATGAGTTAAATTGATATAAAGTGTTCCTCAATATTTAATAATGTAAGCTGTTGTCATGACAGTATTTTTTAAAAATAATAACGTATATTATAGTTACGAAACACTTGTGCCAGATTAGAACATCAAGCACAGAAGCAGCTGTATGATTTACCTGTTTTTTTGAAACTTTAATGTTTACCTTCCCCTATGTTTAATTTTTCTGTGGTGAACACTTTTGTTAGAACATGGCTTTTTTATTTTTCTTGGAAAAATATGCTATTAGTATTTACAAAATAATTAATTACCTGAATAAGCAGTATATACTAAAAGTCTTCAAACATTACTTTATTGATTACTTATGTTTTGTGGTGCGCTTTCAACATCCCTAAGAGTTAAATGTCTTAGTCATCTAATACATGGAACAGGGTCAAACTTCAATGAAATTAATACTTATTGCACAATCATAATATAGCAACCTAATTTTCTTTTATTTATAGGCATATCTTTAAAGCTTTCTTCTCTTTTTTGAACAAATGAAGAGAATCCAGTTAGTTTTTGCCTTTCAGAGGTGATTTGCCACGTGCACAAAGGGTCTGTAGGTGAAAAGACAGGCTTTTGGGTTTCTTGAAACATCAAAAACTGAATTTAGAGAATGGTTATCTAACACTCAAGTCAATGTTTTTTTTGAAATTACTAGCTATTGGTATAATATACATATATGTACATGTATACATATACATACACACATATGTACATTTACACATATGTAAGTATACACTCATATACATATATACACATGTATATATACTTGTGTACACATACATTTTTGCCTATAGCTAGCAATTATTTCATTCAGATACACACACACACACACACACACACAGGCTACTTAAAATAGAGAGTGACTTGAGATATACAAAAACAGGAAGAAAAGCCCTGGAGGTCATATAGCTAATGTATAACTGCACAGCAAGCAGCTATGTCTAAAGCTAACAATAAAAAGAAAATGTGGGAGTTGTGCAATTAGTTTTATTCTCATTTTTTGGAAGAATATGTTCCTGGTTTCTCTAACTAAAAGGAAAAAATTCAAAGGAAAGTTGTAAATATTAGGAAGTAACTGAAAAATAAGAAGCAAGATAAAGTGGGGAGGCTATGAGATCATATAATGAGCTAATAAACTTTTCAACAGGGGACACCTGTTCTCCCTTCTAACTGAAGACACTAAAGAGAAGCTAAGATCCTATCTTTCAATCATTTAGTAATTCATAAAATCCCATTATTTCATAACTCAAAGTTTACCTTTGAGGTTGTATGTTTACCTCATTTGAACTCGAAATAGAAGAGGTTTAAGTATTTGAATAAGTTGGGAAAAAAAGGAAAAATAGTCTTCCCTGCCCTTGTCACTGATGGTGACACTACTTGTAATTACTGTATTTTTTGGCAGAACACTCAGATGAACAGATTCCTATGCTGTGGACTTTTATCATTCTTTTTGATGGCTGATAGTAGAAAGCACACAGTAGGTACTCCATAAATGTAAGACTATGGCAGCTGTCTAGTACAAGTGCTTCTCACTGATTCTTGGTTACCAGGAAAACCAGAAAGCCCGTCACTTGCCTTGCCTGCAAAGGCGAGCCTAAAGAAATTTCTCTAACCAAAATTGGCAGGTTCTTTCCACCACAAAAGGCTCTTGGAAATATAACTTATGGGGCTTAAGGCTAATTTGAGTTGAAGGGTATTTGTAATATTTGATTTGCTTTTAGCAGAGAAAACAATAAAAGAATCCAGGAAAAGTAGAAAATGTTCTCTTGTCATTTGGTCAGAAAGGGAAAAGCGAAGGGAAAAGCAAAATAGTTCCAACTGTAACTTTCACAACTTCATCTCTCATTCACCTCAAGGAGAGATTTTTCTCGCATGAAATCACAAGATTATTCCTTCAGAAGGAAGCTTATTGTAGCTCTTGCTAAAAATTTTCTTTGGTATATGGGAATAGATTTACTAGATGTACACTTAACTCTGGGAAAATTAGATTTGATGGAGTTTGGTCATGGGTGTTTTTCTAAATACACATTACTCATTTATATATTAAAATAATTGCTATGCCTCTTGGCTTTTATAATCCAGTTCTTAATATGAACATGAGTTCTGAACTTTATTTTGTCCAAAGGATAGATACTTATGAAATACTAGGTATGAATAGAGTCAGTGTCCTAAATTTCAAGCACAAAATGAATGCTTCAAAAGTTACTTTGAGCATCATTTAATGTTTCAAAAAATTGAAAAAGATCATATAAGGCTATTGCTTATATGTATCCTAAGGAAATTCTTGCCATCAATGGGTGATACAGACATTAATGTTCTATTTGAGAGCTTCTTTATTATAAGTACACTGACATTTACTTTAGCAAATAAGTTATTATTCTAAATTCAGTTATTTTCCCTGTGACAGCCCTGTGACATACCAGCTCTTTGCTCACTTCCAAGTCCACTGTAGATTTCAGATTCTGCAAGGGGGTGAGCAGATCTAGGGAGATCATACCCATGATGACTTTGTAAAACATCTCTCAACTCCCAACAGCACACGCACTTTATTTCTTCCCACCTTTCACTTCTCAGTGCAAGTGTCTGCCCAGGGGGTCTGAGCTAGAGGGAGGCAAGGCTCAGAGGTAGGATTACCAGATTTAGCAAATAAAAATACAGGATGCTCAGTTACATTTGAATTTCAGATAAATTATTGTTGATTTTAGGATTATAGTTTTAGGATAAATATGTTCCCTGCAATATTTAGGTTGTTTGTACTAAAACTTATCTGTTTATCTGAAATTCAAATGTAAGTGCATGTCCAGTATATTATCTGTCAACCCTTCTCAAGGATAATTTTATCAACTCTAAGAAGCAATAGAGCCCCCTGACTTTTTGGAGCTGGCGAACTAAGGACACACCCCCTACCCACAACATTGAGGTCCTGTGAGATTTTCCATGTGTCTTTTAAGGCCAGAGTCAAATTCAGTCCCAGGAATGAGCACATAGTGCAGGAGAAGCCTCAGAAGAGTTCACAGCCCCCATGGTCGTTGAGAGAGAGTTGGTTGTGTGTATGTGTAGGTGCGGGTGGGTAGGTGTTTCTTGTACTCTCTTGATTCTATTTTATAACAGACACCATCCTTTACCTGGGGATATGACGAATACTTTCCTAGGTATAGTCAGGAATACTGTATACTACTGTTTTTTATCCCACCTATTTATCCCAATCTGGATTGTCACTTTACACCTGGCTATTTCTATAGCTTCCTCACCTGTCTCTACCCCTCTAGCTCCTCTATCCAAACACCTGTGCCTATAGTGATGTATCTAACCACAGAATCATCACTCCCAAGTAAAGCCTGAGCTCCTTAGTGGGGCAGTCAGCATATTCCATGGTCTGGCCCCTATCTTCACCGACTTGCATTTCCTTCAACTCTCAGCTTATACTTGGGTCGCACAGGACTTTTTGTAGAACACGTAGTTTTCATTCATACTTCCATGGCTTTCTATGTTGTCCCCTTAACCTGATTACCATTCTAAATTCCAGAACAGCAAACTCTTATTCATCTATGCTTTATGCCGAGCTCCATGCTAGCCCCTCAGGTGGCTTTAGTCATTTTCTTTTGTAGCTCCCATTGTAGTTTGTTAGCACCCCCAGACTCTCTCTTCAACTACAAATACCAATTTATGTCTGTCTCTTCCTAGGTCTACTGGGGAAGGCTCTGTGACTTGCTCTTTTTTGCTGCTGGAAAGTCTAACACTTGCAGTAGGTGCTAAATTAGAGTCTATTCACTCAATGGAGGAACTGGGGAAGGTATGTGAGGAATACCGCCCAGCATCTATCTAGGAGGTAAACCACGGTAGGAATGGGCTAACGGTGTGTATCAACTTATACGAGATTCTCCTTAAGAATCATACAGTAGAAATTTAGTTTCTGTTTAGAAAATAAGCTGGAATGATGTGAACCTTCACTGTGGTATATTATACTGCAAGTGATGGGAGATTAGCTATACAGAGTTTAAAAGGTTTCTCTGTCCTGGGTATAATGGTACAAACATTTCTTCTTGAATGAACTTTATGAGTTTCATTACTATGGAAATATAGATTTTTCTCCTCTTGGTCATTTAATTTCTGCCCAGGTGAGGTAGTTGTGGGTGTTGCAAATTTCAAAGGCACCTGAGGTTTGATTTGCAAGAATTAAAGATGAGACTAGACATTTCTTGAATAGACCACTGTAGTGAATGGGCTGTAGACTGCCCGAGATGTTCAGTCAGCGGAGAAAGAGTCTACTGAAAACCTAAGTATTGTTTACCTTTTGGAAAGTAAAATCTCTCCCAATCTTACTAAGCAAATTCATCTACATTCACCTACAGCATGTATGGGGTCGGGGGGTGGGGGCAGAAAATCACCTTGCCTGACCTTCCAGTAGGGGGAGCAGAAGAAAAACAGCCTCCTTTGATTGACGGTTGGACCTCCAGGCTGGTTGAACAGCTAGAATAATTTGAAATGCAATTGAGCACTGAGAATGTAACTAGATTAATGTCTTATGAAATATATATGCTTTTATATTGATGTGTTCCTTGGAACTCCTAGGAGGAGCACCCCTTACTTTTATAGGGACTTATTATTCTCTTAGCACCTCTGGACATTTAATTTAGTTTAATCTGGTTCTGGACATGGTTAAGGTTGCCTGTATCTAAGACAAGCTACTTTAATTTGGGATTTTAAACCACAATATCCTGTTGAGAAAAAAAGTGTCAAAATTCTAGAGAGCTTCTTTAGAGTGAAATATTATTACTAATTTGGGATTCGAAATCCAGGTAAATAGAGGTTCTGGTAAAATATTGCTTATGCCCTGAGAGCAATTTCCAGAGTAGACAGTGGAGGAGATTTTTCATTATGCAGCCTCACTATTCTGATTTCAGAAATCAGTGCCCCTTGCATGTGTCTGCTTTATTTGTGTATAATTTTATAAGACAGGATCTATGAAAGAAAATGAGAGGAGAGGTAGTTACTCCATCCTTTATAGGCCAACAAAACAAAGGCTCTAAATCCAGATTAATTCTGCGTATGTTACTTCCTTACAGCCTTTAAGGACTTTCCATAACTCATAAGATAAAACCCAGACTCCCTGGCAGCACGCAAGCTCTGCTCCAGTCTGTCCGGTACTCCCCTCCTCCAACCTCAACACCCAGCCTCTGAAGCTTCATCCCCTGATCTTCACAGTGCATTCTCACTGGGAGCCATCTGTACTGGACCACCTACCTTTCCCCAAAAGCCTAGTAGTTGTATGCCTTTGCTCAAGCTGTTTCACTTGTGTGGAGCATTCTTCTCCTCTACTTGGCACATGTAAAAGTCCTCCTCATCCAGAGTCCTGGTGAGAATGCTGTTCACTTACCAGCTGTTCTGTGAAGCTTCTCCTTTTCCTACAACACCCCCTACAAAAACAGCTAAAACTGGCCAAATTCATCCTCTCCCATTTGAACTTCTGGTGTAGCACTTTCTCCAAACATTTAATGATCATGCCGTCCATTTAATATTACAGTTTTCAGCCCCTAAACTATGTCAAACATAGTCTGTTTAAGTTAATGAGAACCTGATTGCCTTCTGAAATAAGTTTGAGGAAGGTGTCTTGGCACTTTGATCTTTGATTGGTTAGTAACTAGTATCTGGTCTATAGTAGGTCCTCGATCAATACTGACTTAATTCTCTGAATCTAATTTAATTCAAAAACAACTATTCTACAGCAAGAACAGTAAGTTGTATTTTGAAATTAATGTCCTAGTGGGAGATAAACTCCTTAAACATGTGTTGGGTCCCTAATAAAGGCAAGCATTTTTTTTTTAATTTCACGTGGATACAAAGCATAGTCTAGATTTCAAGAACGAGACAGGACAAAGGAGACAGGCCCACTATTAGCTATAATCCATTATAGCCTGGAATATAGGTAATTACCCAGGTATAATTTTTTAAAAAATACCATAGGAGTTCAAAGGAAGAATCACTTGAAGGTATACATCAGCTTCAAAAAACAGTCATTGACTGGCATGGCATATTTGGATGATGTTTCTGAGATAATTACACATTTTTGTTAATTTTTTATTATTAGGTAGAAATATAGATAAATATACTTTCTTGTTATTTAAATATAATAGACTATCTTCTGTCATTGTATATTAAATACTATTTTAGAGTGAGTTTGGTCTTATGAAGTCTGTAGAAGTACAGTTTAAATGTGTTTAAGCGAAGTCCTTTTGATGTTGAACTACCAAGATCAGCAGATTATTAGCATTAGATTTAACAATTAATTCACCTCCCAGTGTATACTTGTAGACATGGTCTTTGATTGATAGATTGATTGGATGCCTAAGATTCAGTTCACAGGGTTGGGACAGGTTCTTTAATCGGTAACTGTGAAAATGCAAGAGCTTCTTGGAGTGGGGCTGGACCCAAAGCCGTGATGACCTGAGAGGATAGTCTCACCCAAGGAGAGAGGCCGAGCTGATAGACAGGAAGACAGGTTCATAGGCCAGTGCTGAGGAGCTAGGGGAGCTATAAAGAGAAAGAACAAGCAGGATGTTGGAGCTATGAGGACAACTATCAGATGCAGTGTGCAGAATGTTGCAGGACCAAGACCCTTTTCCAAAGTAGAAATAATAATTGAGGTGCAACAGTTGCTAAAAGGGAATTAACAACTCTAAAAAAATGGTATTGGCTCACAATCTATATAAATATTTCAATTTTAAAGCATATTGTGTTTAATTTAAAATGGCCTTCTGAAGGAAAAAGCAAAACAGAAAACCTGTTAACTTTGACAGTATTCTTTCAATATAAATAATTGAATTTCTTTGAAGAAAAACAAATCTGAGCCTCTTGTCCAAAGAAATCTTGAATTTGCTCATGTGTTTCCAATGGCCTTTGGCACATAGCATTGGCTTTCTAAATGCCTCTAATAACTACAGTAAATGTCTCTATGAAATTCAGCACATCATACAAATGAAATGTTCCTTCTTGTGTGCAATTCCCATTTACTTTAAGAAGGAGAAATTCCAGATTATATACAAAGATTGATAAGTTTGCCAAAATATCCAGGTATATAACCATCAGCTTCTGGACTGCAATTCCTTAATGTTAATGAATTCCAAAGAAAAACAGCTGACTTTATGCATTTATTTTAATAAGGCTGTGAAAACAGTCCATTTACAGTGTAAAAACCCCTTGTCTTTTAAAAATGCTAGACGGAATCTTTTAATAAATTAAATTTATCTGCCTGTCAAATTGACAAGAACCTTCAAGGAGTATTGCTGATGTTGTAGTTCTACTTTTCCAATAGGATTACATCTGGAATTTAATAAGGGCTGCTTAGAGGAAGAATCTATCCATCAGGGTAATTTTAAGTAACAAATATTTATATAATATCTTAAGTCTCCAACCTTATAGGGCCACAATGATTTTGTTTCCTTTGAAAAAACCTTTTATTACTTACAATAGTGTCCTGAATATCATATTTGCTTATAAAGATGAAATAACGCAAGGAGGCAACTAAGTCTACAACATCAGAAGAATAATTATTGACATTTGCTCAGAAATGTATAGCTTACATAGTCAATTGTCCTCATGACCAACCTTGTGTCTGTCAGGTCTTACTGTTCCCTGCATACAAATAGGGACACTGAGGCTTGGAAGGGGAAAACACCCAACTCAGTATCACTTATCTTGCATTTAGTACACCCAGCACTTTAACTCAGGGGTTCTGATCCAAAACGTTAACATCTGTCTGTCCTTTGTAAGATTTTCCTGGAATAATCAAATGTCTCCCTCCACCTTTTTCTTATAGAACAAAACCCATTTAATGTTTTCAGTGAATGCCTGGGGTATTTATATCAAAGTTCTAGTAGTGGCCAGTTAATGAAGATGAGCTCTTAATTTTTCACAATGATCTACCTTAGAGAGGTAGGTATCAGGGTATTCAAAAAGGCAAATCCATTCAAACTCTGGACCAATTGTATAACACACACTAACCACCTATACTTGATGTCCAACCTCCTGGAATGAAAGTCTCAAGTACATGTCCAAATGTCAAAATGGAATCAAGCCTCAATTTTCAGATTCTTTTGTTTTTCATCCTCAACTTTAGAAACAGAGGTGCATCTGTTGGATAATAGTCAAGGCGTCTGTGTCGGTAACCAGGGGTCCAAGGTAATTCTCAAAGGACTTTTCATTTATTCATCAATAAATACTATGCTATTGATCATGTGTTGGGAAAAATGTCTTTCAAAAATAAGTTGAACAAGAACAAACGTCAATGCATAGCATGCTTTTAATAAGAAGTTAAATATTCTGGATAAAAAGTGTATTTGCAATTTTAATCAAAATTTTTCCAGCAACAACCTGCAATAGTTGTACAAAATAATAACTGTTTAGTGACTGGCCAGGCCTAACAGCAGGGTAATGACATGAGACAGGCCAGGCACTAATCTGGATGAAGGACCTATTTACACATGTAAAGATCCCTATTTAACTTAGCTGGAAGAGCATTACCATGAGATGCTGCAGTAAAACAAGTTACCCATGACCATTCTCATTAAAACATATCTGGTATCCATTTCTAAATTAGATTAGTTATTCCTCATGAACCATGAACTCACTGGAGATCAAAATAGACCCAAATAAATGAAACCCACTCAGTAAATAGTCTCAGAGAAAGATGGTATATGGGAAAGGACATTGGACTTGAAAAACACGTGGCTACACATCCAACTCTTTGCTTCTTGGACAAGTCACTGCCCTGAGCCTCTATCCCTCAGCCTTTTAACAGGAGACTATGAACCCTAACTCACAATGTTAGGATGAAGCTGACTAAATGTCTATAAATCTGTCCACCCACAATCCTTTGTACATAAAAGGCAATCAGCAGACATTAGCTGAATTAAGTTAAAATACTAAGTGAATTTTCTTTTATCACTGAGATTGCAGGTTTCCCAATTTTTGAATGTGTTTTATTTGTCTTTATAGGTGATAAATCTTTGGAGAGAATGGGTCTTCTCTTACTTATTTTTTAACCCCCTTAGCTGAATTTCAGACATGAAGTAGTTCAAACACTTCTTGATAAAAGTCAAAGGGCAACTAAAATTTTATCCAAATAGAGGTGCTCTGAGGACAATGAAAATGGGTGTTTCTTAGAATGAATATATGAACTACTTGCTGTGGACTCAATAATTTTACCCTCCCCAAATCCATATGTTGAAATCCTAACCCCCAAAGTGATGATATTAGGAGATGGGGCCCTTGGGAGGTGTTAGGTCATGAGGGTGGACCCCTCATGAATTGGAATAGTACCCCTATAAAAAGACACTTAAGACCTTGCTTTTTCTCTCTATTAGCCATGTGAGGATACAATGAGAATATAGCAATCTGTAACTATTAAAAGGGCCCTCACCAGAACTTGATCATGCTGACACTGTGATCTCAGATTTTCAGCCTCCAGAACTGTGAGGATAAGTCACTCAGTTCATGGTATTTTAACCCAAATGGACTATGACACTATTCTATTAAAGGAAGTACAAATACTTCCTCCTAATATTTTATTCAATGACTGCATCTAAGCTGCACTGAAAGTCTAAAAATAGTACCCACAGCTGTGTTCCCATGGCCAGAGGATTCTCCAGGCATTATCCTCCTACCCTTCACTGAGAACTATTGCACTCTCGTCTATGTTCACTGCTTTTAAGGACTTCCCAATGCTTACAGTTAACTTCTCTGCCCTTTCAACTGAAAACTCTATTGCAAGGTTTATCTCTGTTGTATATTGGAGGAAGGTCTTACACGCATGATTCTTTATTATAAAAGTTATGTTTTTATTTGTGTCTTTACTCAGACTTTTAAAAGTGAGAGGAAAATTGTATAAATATTGTATCCCTCAGTCTGTAGAGGCATCAGTTCCTCATAGACTCTGTCTCCCCTTTGGAGCCTCTGCCTATTTTATTAGCACAGCAGTTCTCAACCTTCTTGGTCTTAGGGCCTTTAAATTACTGGGGAGGCCATAGAGTTTTTTTCTATGGAAATTATATTTGTCAACATTTGCCACGATAGAAATAATACTAGATTTTAAAATATTAACACTTTTTAAAATTCCAAATCACAAAACTATTACCTGTCACATAGTGATGCTTTTTGTAAAAGGAACTATATATTCCAAAGAGAAGAGTGAGAAGAGTGGCATTGTTTCACACTTTTGCAAATTTTTTAAATGACTGTTTTAATAGAAGACAACTGGATTCTTATGTCTGCCTTTGCATTCAAACTGTTCTCATATAACACATCCTGTAACCTTTGTCAAACCCCTGTAAACACTTGTATAAGAATTAGAGGAGAAAAGCCAAAATGGTAGAATTGTGAAAATGGTTTTGAGCTTGTGCATCCTGTAAAAGAGTCTCCGGGATCCCACAGGATTCAGGACCACACTTTGAGAACCACTGCAATGAGATCTTGCCTAGCTTTCCAAGTAGCTTCCAACTAGCTTCTCCTGGTGTTCATACTCAGGACGTCCATCTGCCAAATCACCACATCAGTGAAATACACATGTAACTGGCATGAAGTAATACAATCAAAACTATCCTGTTTTTTTGAATCCCACATTTATTCATGAAGGTAGTTTCTCCCCTGTCACTGGGTAAAGTCAGGCCAGTTCATTAATGTTTCTCTTCTCTCTTAGGTAACAGAAAGTTCTATGGTGCTCCAAGTTGCAGAAACAAAATCTCAAGTGGAGCTTGAAAAGCCTATACCCTTCAAAGAGTCAATTTACAACTTCATTAAAAGTCCTGGGACTTGCCTCTCTCCCAGTGGGAACAGCTTTGCCTGTCTTTTACTTTTTGACCTATGTTGATAACTCTAGACCCCACTCCTCTAGAGCATGAGCATGTGTAGGGGTTGGGGGAGGGGGGATGTGGAGAGGATGGTGGAGGAAGGCTAGTAAAGCAGTCAGGAAATATATGACTTCATTGGCACTTTTATTAAATAAAAACATTGTGTTTTTCTTGTGCCTAGCAGAATTTTAGAGTTGGATCTTTGTCTCATGGATGCTCTTAGGAGACCCACCAACCACCAACTCCTTGTATTGCAACTGGACCCCCTCGACCTGGGTGAATGTACTCTTTTCAGCAACCATATCCTCCCTCCTGTTGCCAGGTAAGGTGAGAAGCAATTCCTCTGCCTAGAAGCTCTGCCGGGTGAAATATCAGGAGATCCCACCCAAGCTTTCTCTTGCGTGTAGCCTATATCCAGCACGGGAGCATAGGCTAATCCTGCAGTTGGCCAGCCTCTTGTCCTCTGGATATCCTGGGATGGAATCCTAATGAAGGAAACTCCAGTGGTTTACTGAAGCCCTTTGTGCTAGGCCTGAGGTGAGATAGAATTGCTCCATCCTATGCCCAGGAGGCCTGCGTGGACTCACAGTGCACCACCATCCTCAGAAATCCTCTCTCCCTGTAGGCTGTGGTCTGAATCTTTGTGTCTTCCCAAAATTCATATGTTGAAATCCTAACGCCCCAGGTGATGATATTAGAAGATGGGGCCTTTCAGGAGTTGACTAAAACTTCAGGGAAAAGCCCTCACAAATGGGATTAGTTCCCTTATAAAATAGGTCCAAGGAAACTTGCTCACTTCTAACACCATGTGAGGACACAGTGAGAAGGCACCATCTATAAGCCAGAAAGCAGTCCCTCACCAGACATAGATCTGCTGGCACCTTGATCTTGGACTTCTCACCCTCCAGAACTGGGAGAAATAAGTGTATATTGTTTATAAGCTACACAGTTTATGATATTATAGCAGCCCAAACAGACATTGTATTTCCTCAATGTTGGTTTAAGAGTTGTCTGAACCAGTTTCTTGTTATCATACTGTGGATGTTTCTAGCTCTCACTGTAGCATTCCACCTCTTTTCTGTCTCAGTGACTTAGTCAAAGCATCTAGTTGAACACTCTGTTATTTAAAGAAACCAGCATTCACTGGCTGTTCCCAGCTCCAGGAACTCAGGTGGATTCATAATTTGTTCTGTTTCCTTGCTCTTAGGAAAAGTACTGACAGCTCATAATTGGTTGTATTTCTTAGGATATTTGCATTTAAACTAGAAGCAATGCTTTCTTTTCTTGGTATAATTTGTCTTACATTTTTGAAAGTAATAGCTATTCATTAAATTACATTTGAAAATGCAGGAAGAAAGAAAAAATTGTCTATAATTCTACTACTCATATAAAACCACTATTCACATATGTGTACTTTCCTCTATTAACCTTTCAAAGCATGCCTCAATTTTAATTGTATTCACACAAATACAATTTTATGCCATACATTTTACTTATTAATATGCTATTAGCATCACCAATGTCAATATAAACTCCTTGTAAACATCAATTTAATGGTTGCAAAGTATTACATCAACTGGATATGCCATGGCTTATTTAATCACTGTATTTATTGTTAAATATTTGCATTGTTTACATTGTTTAGTATTGAAAACCACGCTGCAATAAATATCTTTGGATAGATTCTTTTTTCTTTGTTTTGGGTTATTTCCTTGGAATATATTTCTGGATATGGAGTGACTGAGTAAATGAACATGAAAGATTTTAGGATACACACATACACATTTATGTGCATATACACACACTGTTTTGCAAAAAGCTAACATATGCCTATGTTCATGGCCTGTCACAATCATTGATACGTGAAATCTCACATTCTTTATTGATTGATTTCTTTTTATTTACGATCTTAATTTCCATCCTGCTCATCCTCATCATAGGACCCCAGTCTAATATGCTTAATATATATCTCTTTATTTGTACATGGTCATATTAGCATGAATTTTTATTTTGTGTTTACGTACTATAAATGCACACAAATGATGTTGTGCTATGGATCTCATATTGTTTCTTTTTTTTTCACCTAGCACTAGGTTTTTAAGATCTATTTACATCATAGATCCGTCTAAGACTACTGGGTGCTGCCTGATTTGCTTCTATGCATCCATTATGCTATACTTCTCTTAACTAGCAGACTTCTGTGGATTGCATCTAGCTCTGCACTACAACAAATAGTGCTGCTATAATTTTCCCCAGTCCTTGCCACCTCCTGGGTAAGAGAGAATGCTAGGTCATCAGACATACATACACCTTTCTGAACTAAGTACTGCCTTATTGCTTTCCAGAGTGATTCCTCCAGTCTGTGTTCTCAGCAGCTGTGCATATGAGTCTCTGTAACCACAATTCCCATCCATACTTGGCATTATCCATCTTCCTAATTTTCCCACTCTGGCAGTTGCAAAGTGATATCTCATGGTTGTTTTCATTTGTATTTCCCTAAATACCAGGGAGTTTGAGCATCTTTTCATATGTTGGTTAGTCATTTGCGTTTCTCTAATCTGATTTGCCTGTTTATATCTTTGTCCATTTATCTGATAGGGTTTTCATTTTTTCTCATTATTATCATAAATATTAATAATGTATTTTATATTTTTGATAGAATTTTATATTCTTGAGAAAATCTTGTGGTTTTGTTTAATAGATTGATTCATAGATTTCTTTGTTATATCTAAGGTAAATGTACATATTGTAAGTTGGTGATAAATTTATTTTTTGATAAATGCTATTAATTTTTATGTATTGATTTTATTCCAGTAGTCTTGGACCTTTCTTTTTGTTTCTCAACTTTGTCAGTTCAATCATATTTTTTAAAAAAATAAAGTCTGCACGTTGGAGGCTGAGGTGGGTGGATCACAAGGTCAAGACATTGAGACCATCCTGGCTAACACGGTGAAACCCCATCTCTACTAAAACTACAAAAAATTAGCCGGGCATGGTGGCATGTGCCTGTACTCCCAGCTATTCGGGAGGCTGAGGCAGGAGAATCACTTGAATCCAGGAGACGGAGGTTGCAGTGAGCCAAGATCACACCACTGCACTCCAGCCTGGGTGACAGAGCAAGACTCCATCTCAAAATAAATTAAATAAATAAATAAATAAAATCTGTTTTTTCCCCTAGAAATTGAGGGAAGCTCTTTAGAAACTGGGAAAATTAGCTCTTTGCCTTAATAAGGCAAATGGCTTATTAGCCCTTTGTTTGTGAATGTGTTACAATTACTTTTGCCTATATTTTGGTGATTTTGCCATACCATTATGAAATAGAATGTATCAGTTTTTTATTTTGTATCTCGCTACAAAGGCCCTTTTTAAAGAAATTATATTGTGTTTTATTCTAGTAGGTTTATATTTTCATTAATTCAGATTTAAATATTTAATTTATTTGCAGTTTATTCTGTTATAAGAAGTGAGGTATAGATCCAAATTTATTATTGTAATGGCTACACAGTTGAATAAGCCCTCTTTCCCTATTGATTTGAAATGTCCTATTTATCATATTCTACATTTTTTCATCTATATGTGGGTCTATTTCTTAATTTTATATTATTTGTCATTGGTCTATGTTTTAATGCTTTAGGTTTATGCCATAAAAAATACTGTAGCTTTAGTTATTATTTTAATAGCCAATAGGACTGATCATCCCTCAGGACCTCCTTTTCAGAATTTTCCTGCATATTTTTACTTATTTATTTTATTTCATTTTATTTGTTTTGCTACACTGACTAGAACATCCAGTATAAGATTAAATAGAAACCATGTTAACAAGTACTTTCATATTTTTCCTGATATTAAAGAAAGAGCTTCTAAAGTTTCAACATTATGTATAATGTTTACTGTAGATTTTTGGTAGGAACTCTTTATTAAGCTAAGGAAGTTCTTTTTATTTCTACTCTGCACTACACACCAACCACAAAGTAAAATTGAAAAGACTGACAATACCAAGTGCTGCTGAGGATGTGAAGTCCCCGGATCTCACATACACGATTAATGGGCATTTAAACTGATAACAGTATCTTTGGGAAGTTTCTGCTAAGCTTGGAAATACTCATACATTATGACCCAGCAATTTCACTGAGGTATGGATCCTAGAAATGTGTACATAGGTGTAACAAAAGATGCATACAAGAATCTTAAAAGTAGTGTTATTAGTCATAGCAAAAGACTGGGGAAGACTCAAATCTCCAACAGTACAGTAGACAAATAATTTGTGCTGTATTCATATAGTGGCATACTCTACAGCAATAAAAGTCATTGAATTGCTCTTGCATGCAATAATATGATGAATCTCATTAACATAATGCTGGACAAAAGAGTACATATTCGTCTGTTTACATCAAGTTTTTAAAATAACAAAACTAAGCTATGGTGTTATATATAAAGATAGTGGTTACTTTTGGATAGAACACAGTGAATAGGAGAAATATTAAGGGGCCCTCTGAGGTGCTGATCACATTCTATTTCTTAATCTGGGTGGTAATTATATGGCTGTGTTTTTATTTATTTAAATAAGTTTTTAAAATATTTAAGTTTGTTGAATGAATAATTCAATAAATGAAACAATCAATGAAATCCAGTGTAAATTAAATTGAAAAACACTCTTGTATTAGAAACGAGGAAATATGTTTGTTTTGTTTTGTTTTTATTTTGCCTCATTCTCCCTGTAATGAGCTATGAGACCTTTCATCAAGTCACTTTTCCACTTTGGACCTCTGTTCCTTTTTTCTCAAAGTTGGAGACTGAATTAAATGATCTTTAAATATCCTCCAAGTTCTAAAAGTCTGTAAGGCCTGTTCCAGATGTCACTTACATTTATAATTTTTATGAACTTTTATTGAAATAACTGGCTTCTTTTGTTATTCTTTATACTCATTCAGACACTTCCCATTATCCCTTGGCTTTCCTAATAGCTTCCCATATGGTCCTGTTAACACAAACTGCCTGTGCCAATCAATAGCTATTTTTCTCATTCTAAGTTAGCTTCTTTTTCTGGTTTATACATCCATTTTTAAAGAATATCTTAGTCCATTCAGGCTGCTATTAAAATACCAAACTACCCTGAACTGGGTAGCTTATAAACAACAGAAATTTATTTTTCATACTTTGGAGGCTGGGAAATCCAACATTAAGGCTTTGACAGATTGGGTGTCTGGAAAGGACCCTCTTCCTCATAGACATCTGTCTTCTCACTCTAACCACAAATGGCAGAAGGATTGAGAGGTCTCTCCAGGGCCTGTTCCATGTAGAAATGAATTCCATTCATCTCTCCAAAGGCCTAATCACCTCCCCAAAGTCCTACTTCTTAACATCCTCACTTTGGGGTTAAGGACTTCAACACACGAATTTTAGGAGGATAGAAACATTCAGAACATAGCAGAGAGTAGGCTTGGCACAAATCTTTGCCCGTATATTTTTTGTACCTACAAAACTGAAAAACAGCTCTAGTGACTCTATCTAAATAACCAGCTTGTATTTTTAGAAAACCACATTCTGGGCCATAAGGGAAATCAATGAGAAGAATTCCAAGTCTTCCACTGATGGTTCTTGATCAGATAGGATTGAAGACACCAAAAATATCCTACTATTCCTGTGACAAAAAAACTATTAGCTATATGCCTTTAAACACTCTCCCTGTCTACAATAAGGGCAAGTCTAATATTGAGTTCTCTACACAGCTTCCAAGAATAAACATTATTTATCTTGCACCTTGGTGTGACTAAGTTCTGAAAAAGGAAGTGCAAACAGGAGTGATGTTCGGTTTCCTGACTGGGCCCTGGAGGGATGAGGTGTGCCCCTCCCAACTCTATTTTCTCTTTCCTGCTGGCGGGCATGGAGATGAAGTAGTGCACAATTTACGGCTTTATAGACAAAGAAAACTCTGAGAATGTTCGAGAAACTGGATCAAAAGGAGCCTGGGCTCCTGAGAGATTCATAGCCCACAGCTGCCATCTCCATGGCATCTTCAGGCTTTTTGAAAGAAGCAAAGTAATTTCTGCCTTGTGTATACCACAGTTACTTTCAATTTTTGTCACAAGGTGCTGAAACTATATACTAACCAATATACTCCTTAAATGTGTTATTGGAACAAAGCACCATGTGTTATTGGAACCATTACTAGTGACTTTCTATAATATGCAGATGGAACTAGACCACTGCACTACCCTCTTTCCTAAAGTTTTTAAATTTAATGTTAACATTCAAGACAAGACTATTCTTCCTCTCTTCTTAACTTGGCTCTGTATCTTGCAAGAGGCCAAACACTGAAAACAAGAAAATTCAGCACTGGGACTGATACTCAAACTGACCTTAAGATACTAACAAATGAGCCAATTTATCACGGTCTAGGCTTTTTGGAGGACTATTTTCAGAAAATACCTGGGAAAGAGAATAATTTAAAGTGTAGGGGTCAATAATCTGAACTCATTAATATCATTCATTAAGGAAACAAAAAGCATGGTTCTTTGGACTGGATAGTTAAAGGTGTTTTGAAATTCTCTCTTCTTAGAGAAACAGCGAATGTCTCTTATGGTAAAGACCAGAAAGAGAGAGATGGAGAGGTGTAAAATTTAGAGAAGAATGAGAAATGCATAAATGGTTAGAGATGCAGAATATGTAAGGCATCAACACAATATATTTTGCAAAATTGATCCATCTTATGGATAATAGATTAGGAACATAGATATCCTTTCTCATACTTATTGTTTGCTACTACTGCCACCAAGGGAAAAGGACACAGAAGATACTGCACTCAATTGTTATTGATTCAACATTTCCTATATGCTGGGCATTCTTCAGGTGGCTGGTGAACAGAATAAAGTATCTGCCCTCATGCAGCTTACATAGGGGAGACAAACAATAAGTGAATACACAAAAATATACCAGATAATATGAAGTGTCCATAAGTGCAACAAATAATTTTAAAAGTCCAATAAATACATAGTGAATTATGTGATGGGGAAACGTGCTGTTTTAGAATGAATGGTGAGGTCTGCCTCTCTGATCAATCGATATTTAAACAGAATTTTGAATAAAGTGAGAGAGTGGCAGAGAGCCATATCTAGGAGAAGACTTTTCCAAATACAGGGAACAGTAACAGAAAAGGCCCTGAGGGTGGAGAGAACAGGATTCTTTCAAGCACAGATAGCAAACCATCACAAGAATGCTGCCACTCCCCCATCCCCCACCCAGCCATGTCCAGGGAAGATGACACAGGTATGAATCCCTGCACTTCTCACTGAACTAAGACAGGTACAGAGTATTTCTGAACACTAAGAGTAAGTGCTAAGATGAAAACCATTTCTTGTCACTGCCTTACAGGTTAGGCTTCTCAGTTCCCGACCATAATCCTATCTTCAGATTGTTTGACTTTCCAGTGTCACTGACACTATAATGGATATGGTTGGAAGAGGGGATAGGAAAGTCACCTTGTTGGGGATACCTCATAGATTAATTTCTTATACTTCATACTATGCGGTATTGCTATGTATCAGGCACTCTGCTAAGTCTTAAGAATACATAAATAAATTATTTCGTTGTGTCATAAATAAGAAAGATATGGAAGAAAAATCATTACAATACAGTGAAAGAGATACTGTGAGAGCTCTAAAAATCATACGCCTAAATTGACAGGTAATGGAGCATTGCCAGGAAAGGACTCATGGGAAGTGGGAAGGGCAAAGGCTTTAGGACCTAATAGTCTTGTGTTTTATCCCAATTGTGTCACTTTTTAGCTAGCTGTGTGACTTTTGTGCTATTAAATTTACCTCCCTGAGACTAAGATAATATTTGCTAATCATGTGGTCATAAAACTTAGAAAGAGGTACTGTAAGCACATTGCATGGAGGCCAGCACATAGTAGACACTCAAATAGTAGTTTTTATTTTTAAAAAGTTGACATAGATGCAGCATTTGTGAACACTGTTGAGTGTTTAGATTGCCAGATGCACACAAAAGAGGAAGCAAGATTCTATGTGTTTAATCAAAGACTCATGAAAAAAAGCATAACATTATTTTTAACTTGCACTAATACAAAATAATATGCAAATTGTTTATATGATACTATTGATCATAAAATACATCCCAATATTAGAGACATTGAAATATGAAAAATGTGCATCATTGAATCAATAAAAATGTACTTACATGTTTTGGTTTTATAGCTGGAATGCAAGATACAGGTGAAAGTGAAAATAAGAGAAGTTGGATAAGCAAAAAATAGTCATGAAGTATATTTTATATCAAATTAAGAAACCAGGACATTACCCTGTGGGCAAATGAGAGCGCCCTTAAAGATTTTAAGTTCTGAAGCGGTAGAAAAAGCTTGGAGGTATGACGGTATGGATTAGAGAAATGGCAAGACACAAGTGAATTAGGAAATATGTGGCATCCTTTAGACCAGAGATTATCACTTTGTGTACTACAGTCACCTGTGAAGAGTTTCAAGGAATGTGATAATTTTTGTTTTCAGTCTTTTTTTTTTACCATGATGAATCTAGTTAGAAATGTATAGGCTTTATAAATCTTTTTCTTTGACCTAAGCATTATCTAAAAATATGTCCCTTAATTTTCAAATGTTCTATAGATATTGTTTATGATTTCTAGTTTAATTCTAGTGTAAAAAGAGAGTATATACTGCATGAATTCAATGCTTTGAAATGTGTTAAGACTCTATTTATGGTCCATGTAGTTTATCTTGGTACATGAGTCATATACACTTCAAAATAATGTTTTTTTTCTGCAGTTGTTTAACATGATGTTTTATATATGCCTATAGGGTCAAGTTATTTGAGTGTTGCTCAAATCTTCCATGTCCTTAAAGATTTTTTATTTATTTCTGCTATTCCTGAGAGATATCCCTTTATCATTTTTGAAATATCCCTCTATCTCTGCTTACAGTCCTTGTCTGGAAGTCTACTTTGCCCGACATGATACAGCTACACTATCTTTCTTTTGCTTAGTATTTGCATCCTACTACTTCCAACCTATGTCTTTATAATTAAAGTTTGCCTCATAAACACTGCATAACTATGTCTTTTTAAAATCTATTCTGAAAATATTGTGTCCTAATTGGAGGGGTTAGTCCAATTATATTTAGTGTAATTATTGGTATGCTTGTGTTTTAAGTCTAACATCTTGCTATTTTTCTATTTATTCCTTCTGTTATTTGTTTCTTTCGTGTCTTTTTTGAGTTAATGAAATATCTTCAGAATTCTACCTATTTTATTTTTTGAATTTTTAGCTTTGTATAATTTTCTATAGTTTGATCTAGGAATTTTGGCATTGAATTAATATTATATTACCTGGTGTATAATTAAGAAACATACACCACCTTCCATTCTTTGTATTAGTGTTGTCATCGTTTACTTCTAAATTTGCTATAAAACCCATAGTACATTGTTGTTTTTGTATTTAAATAATTAAATAATTCCTTTTTTTAAGAGAATTTAAAAAAAAAAGAACTTTCATATTAATCACCTTTACCACAGTACTCCTCTCTATTGCTTCTTGTGGATCCCTATTTTTATTTGCTATCATTTTCCTTTAGTATGAAGAACTTAGCAGTTGCTGTAGTGCAAGACTGCTAATAACACATTTTACTGACTTTCACTTATGTGAGATGTCACTATTTCCCCTTCCTTTTTAAAACATATGTTTGCTGGATATAGACTATATTTTTAATTTTTAGGAATGTGATATCACTCCATTCTCTTCTTGTCACCATTATTTTGAATTCATAGTCGGTTGTCATTCTGATTATTTTTAGCCTATGTGTAATGTATCATTTACCACACAGTTCTAATTTTTTAATTAGTTGCTTTTCAGACATTTTTTTAAATTAGTGATTTACTACAGTTTGACTATGATATACTTAGGTGTAGTATTCTTTGCATTTATCCTTTGTGGGATTTGCAGACCTTATCTGCGGTTTGCCAATTTTGATAATTAGACACTTTCCAGTCAATCTTCCTCAAATATTAATTCCCCATTCTCTCTCTCTCTTTCTTTTTAGTAAATTACATACATATTAGCCCACTTGATTTTGTTTCACAGATCATTATAGCTCTGTTCATATTTTGCAACCTGTTTTTCTGTGTTTCAGCTAGTATTATTTTTACTACTCTATCTTCAATATCAGTTCTGTTATTAAAATTTGCTCTTAATCGTAATTTTTGAATTTTCATTGTCATATATTTTAATTCTTGAATTACAGTTAGCTGTTATTTGCAATTTTCATACCTCTCCTTACAGTCTTCATCTTTTCTCCTACTATAGCCACATTTCCCTATATATTATTTAGCATATTTATCATAGTTGTTATAAATCCTGGCTTGATAGTACCTAATTTCAAACTCTGTCCACCCTGTACTTGGAAGCTGCTAAAGTCTGTGCTCAGCTCTTTCAATATTTTATTGGTTGTTTTCCTCCGGGCCTTTTGAAGTCTTGACCGCATTATGCATTTTAGGATTCAGCCAAGAATTTAAGGGAAATTTGTATACAGATTTTGAGTCTCCCCCATGTTTCCTTCCTTTTTAAGATTTCCTCTTCAATTCTCAGACAATGTGATATCCTCTAATTCTAACATTTGACTTCCCAGCCTAGTAATATGGTTACTTTATGCTTGAACTCTATACCCATGCTGTGCAGACTGGGTCAATCATCAGCGAAAATGTTTTAAAAATACAGATTTTGCTCACTGTGATTTCCTTCTTTCACAGATTGAATTATCTCCCAGTGTCTGCCCGTTTTGGGATCATTATCTGTATTTACAAGCAGCTGGGTTCTTCCTTGCCCCACAATTTATAATTATTATCAGCTGAAAGGTTAGTCAAGTTCAAGACATTTCATTACAGGGTGCAGGAAGTCACCTTTAGTGAAGGTTCTAAAATGTACAGTTGCCAGAGTCGTCTCCCAAACCAGCTGAATCTCTGAGGGTGAGGCTCAGTTTTGTATGCTTTCAAAAGAGCTGCCAAAGTGATTTTGATGTCGTTCACCCGATGGTCCCAGAATTCCAGTTCAAACTCCGGAGATTTCAACACGGGATATCAGGCAACTCCTGAGCCAGTCTTAACTAAGTCCAGTTTAATGAAATAGACAAGGTCAAGATTACTCTGATCAAGTTCTCAGACGAGAATAGGGAGCCTCAAAGAGAGGCCAGTTAGTGCTGCAGCATGAACTATAGTCAAATTACAGCCAACAGCTCTTTTTCTTATCTGAGTAACCAGGGTGAGGGACTTAAACCAGTAGCTTACGGCAAGTCTGCAAATTTATCTTGAAAGACCCTGGGCCAGGCTAGCAGGACATAGCACTCTGTATCAGCCAGAAGTAATTATGACTCTTAGGATATATTTTGATTGAAAGTGCAAATTTTAATTTCTCAAATCCACCTTTTCTACAAGGTCATCTTGTACTTCATCACGGACTAAAAGGACTATTATGTTACATTGGAAATTTAGACTCAAGGTACAAGTCCAAGTGCAGAAGTTTGGAATTCACTAGGTTGGAGTTTTCTTTTTGTGGACATTAACAATTATTTTAAAAATATATTATTAAATCATCTTGAAACCTTATAAATGAAAAAAGTACTTATTTTGACTACCTGCTGTGGCAATTTTTATGATCCTTTTCTATTTTAAATCCCTCTGCTCTTAAGTTTTATACAACTGTAACCATAACTAACACATCATTTTAGAATAATTTGGGGCAATTTTTCTTTCTAATTTTCTAATGAAACTGCAGGGTTTTTAAATTTTATAATAATTGAATTAATTTAAAGTGTTCTGGATAGTTGGGCTTTGAGATTGTTTCTCATATTTTAATATTAAAAACACCTGCTATAAATAGTTTGTACTTTTTCTCTTCCCATATTTAGCATTATTTCTTTGAAATAGGCTTCCAGAAATGATATGAATGAATAAAACTCTTTGGGCACATTTGGCTGTGCATCTATTTTGCCCTTCAAGAGGTTGCACTTATTACTATCTATTATTCCAATACATCTCATTCTTCTTTGCCTTTCAGCCATATCTCCTGCCAGTTCTACTCTCCAGCTTCTCACCCTCTTTAGTAAACTCCTTCTTCTGCTATTTAGATGGATTTCTCCTGTTATTCATTCAACCCCAAACATCAGCTCTAGAGCCCTGCAGAATTCCCAGGAATGTTTGGCATCACTGCCCCCATTCTGATAAGGCTCTGTAACATTCTATGCATATCGCCATGGCAACACTTACTGCATTTAAAATTTCACCTGCTCTCCCCAACCCCTGTGTTCATCAATAGTGTTATTAAGACCCTCAGTGCCCCCAGTGAGTGTCACATGGAAGATATTTGACAAATACGTTTTGATGAAACTTTACGCCTCTAGAAATAATGAACCAACCCTGTTTCTGCACTCTGACTGCAAATTATTTCTAACATTTATTTATCTTGCTTGTGGATTATATTTAAGCATAATAAAAATTAAGACAAGCACAAATCTGGGCTAGCTATAGTGAAAGATGAGAAATGTAATAAATAAAATAATCTTAACAAGGGAGGGTGTGTGTGTGTGTGTGTGTGTGTCTGTGTGTGTGTGTGTTAAGCATTTAAGAAGGTAAGGTAAGTCACGCCTAAGGGACTCTTATCCTATTTGAACTACTAAAGTGGGCAATCTTAAGATAAATATACAACGGCTGCCTCTCCCCCAGGACAGTCAATACAATACTTCTGAAAGGCTATTAAGGTGCTGAAATGAGAAAGTAAAGATCCCTGTCCGTTTTTTTCTTGTAAATTTGTTTGAGTTCATTATGGATTCTGGATATTAGCTCTTTGTCAGATGAGTAGGTTGCGAAAATTTTCTCCCATTTTGTAGGTTGCCTGTTCACTCTGATGGTAGTTTCTTTTGCTGTGCAGAAGCTCTTTAGTTTAATTAGATCCCATTTGTCAATTTTGGCTTTTGTTGCCATTGCTTTTGGTGTTTTGGACATGAAGTCCTTGCCCATGCCTATGTCCTGAATGGTAATGCCTAGGTTTTCTTCTAGGGTTTTTATGGTTTTAGATCTAATGTTTAAATCTTTAATCCATCTTGAATTGATTTTTGTATAAGGTTTAAGGAAGGGAAAAAAACAAACAACCCCATCAAAAAGTGGGCGAAGGACATGAACAGACACTTCTCAAAAGAAGACATTTATGCAGCCAAAAAACACATGAAAAAATGCTCATCATCACTAGCCATCAGAGAAATGCAAATCAAAACCACTATGAGATACCATCTCACACCAGTTAGAATGGCAATCATTAAAAAGTCAGGAAACAACAGGTGCTGGAGAGGATGTGGAGAAATAGGAACACTTTTACACTGTTGGTGGGACTGTAAACTAGTTCAACCATTGTGGAAGTCAGTGTGGCGATTCCTCAGGGATCTAGAACTAGAAATACCATTTGACCCAGCCATCCCATTACTGGGTATATACCCAAAGGACTAGAAATCATGCTGCTATAAAGACACATGCACACGTATGTTTATTGCGGCATTATTCACAATAGCAAAGACTTGGAACCAACCCAAATGTCCAACAATGATAGACTGGATTAAGAAAATGTGGCACATATATACCATGGAATACTATGCAGCCATAAAAAATGATGAGTTCATGTCCTTTGTAGGGACATGGATGAAATTGGAAATCATCATTCTCAGTAAACTATCGCAAGAACAAAAAACCAAACACCGCATATTCTCACTCATAGGTGGGAATTGAACAATGAGATCACATGGACACAGGAAGGGGAATATCACACTCTGGGGACTGTGTTGGGGTGGGGAGGTGGGAGGGATAGCATTGGGAGATATACCTAATGCTAGATGACGAGTTAGTGGGTGCAGCGCACCAGCATGGCACATGTATACATATGTAACTAACTTGCACAATGTGCACATGTACCCTAAAACTTAAAGTATAATAAAAAAAAAAAAAGATCCCTGTCTGGCTGACTCTACTTGCCATTTAATCTAACCCATTCACTATCTCTTCAAAATTCATTTTGATTTCTACAGAGAATTAACTGTTACAAAATGGCACATATTAAGTGAAGATACAGTGAGAAATAGAGAAGGAATATAAAAGCGGCTTTTCCATTTTTTTTCTCCATTGAAAGACAATTCATATTTTGCTCAAAATTTGGAGAAAAAGAAGATGGGAAGTTTCAAAATTGCTAAAGCCGTGACTCACACAATCTATTGATTCTTAAATGAGAAGAGAAGAATTTTACTTCCCCGGAGCAGGAAGAATCCAAAAATATTTGAGAAGAATAGTAATCGCTAAAAGCTTAGAGCAAAGCTACAGAAAATATAGTCGAAGAAATTATATTGTTGAAAGTTGCCAACAAGAGATAGCATATGATTGTTTCAGTCACATACAATAATATCAAATAAAGAAAAAACACTATGTAGCGTGTAAGGAGCCTTTTCAATTATACTTATTCTAAAAGGTATATATTAACTTTGGCATTTGACAAAAATTTATCAACTGTGGATCTAGTTGGGGACTGTTTAAATATTCACTGAAGAAGGATGAGGAGAAATGTGGGTAAAGGAGCCGCTTGGGCAGGGCCAGCCAGTGGGGGCTGTGGCTGGGCTTGGTAGGGAGAACTGGAATGATCTCATTGTGAGACTGAAGGAGACACTGGGAAACTAGAGTGGGATCTCAGATTGGGTGAGCTGTAAAATCCAATCCGGAGACCCGAGAAGTCTGAACGGTTTGGCATTAAAGGAGGGTTCAAAAGCTCTCAAATCCGAAGTGGTCTTTGAAGCTGGAACTGGGTGGCAAGAGAGAGTTGCAGAGAGCAACAGTCAGGAATAGGCAGGAGTGGCTTTGAGCAATTGCCTGAAATAGATTTTGTTTTCAAGCTGTTTTCTATGTACCAGCCACAGCCTGAAGCATGGCTTTTAGAGCCAGGAGTAGGATGCATAAAGCCTCAGTAAATGTTACCAAATTGTCCTCCAGAATGATTTCACCAATCTATGTTCCCACCAACAGAGAATGCGTGTACTTCCTCACTACTTTCTTTGCCAGGATAAAAATTAAATCCTTTAATTCTTTTTCTTATTTTGCCAAATTGGTAAAGGAAAAAAAAAAAAGATATTTTGCATTTAATTTGCATTTTTAAATTACCAATAAACACATGTTTTATATATCTTTATTGGAATATATTTATTATATTTAAATATAAGTTGATTGTAAATTATAATTAAATATAAATATATATATATACACATATACATATATATGTATACTTTTTTTTTAAGATGGAGTCTCACTCTGTCACCCAGGCTGGAGCACAATGTCATGATCTTGGCTCACTGCAGCCTCCACCTCACGGGTTGAAGCCATTCTCCTGCCTCAGCCTCCCAAAGTACTGGGATTACAGGTGTGAGCCACCTCAACTGGCCTAAATATAAATGTGTTTAATATAAATTATTTGATGTCTTCTGGATTTATTTATATTGCTGCTTTAATATTTTTATAATGATCTATATAAACACTAATATGTTAAGAGTATGACTACTCTCATGTTGAAATTTTCTTCATGATCCTCTATATGTATTTTCATTCTGATCTTTAATATATAAACATATGTACATATATATAAAGATTTATATATATAAATATATATGTAAGTATGACCTTTAATATATAAACAGTGTGATCAAATCTCTCAAGATTTTTTCCAGTAACTTTATATTTACAATATTTTTTGTCCGAGCTGAAGTCATTTAAGAGCTCACATTTATTCTCTGATTGTTAAATGTTTTAATTTTACAATCAAGTATTTGAATTTCTGGGTTTTATTTTGGCATAAGGCAAGAATCTTTACTGGTCAAATAATGGATCTATTTTAGCTGGTTTAAGGTGAGAGGGATTTATTACATAGTTTAAGCTAATTCACTGAATTACCAGGAGGGTAAGGGCACAAAACTTGGATGCCACACAGCCAAGAGCAAGAAATCTTCGATCACCCCATGTGAGTATTTTAGGGGAAACCCACTACTGCTGTATGCTAGGGACTGGAGAGAAGAACTCCCACTTTAGCAGCCCCAGAACAGTTAAATAACTCTACCAAGAGGCCCAGTTTCCTGGGGCACTCTTATCACATCGTGGTGCCCATTTCTGCCTTCCAATGGGCAGAGAACGTGTAGTGAACTGGGATCTCTTAGATATGCATCTAGACATGTATCTCCTAAGCAAAACCCATGCCTTAAAAGTATAACAAAGCTAACACTATGCAATGCTTATTGCATGCCAAGCATTGCTCTAAGGGCTTTTACAGATATTAACTAATTTAAGTTTTACAGTCTCCTCTGAAAGGGTATTGTTATTATCCCCATTTTGCATACAAGGAAGCCGAGACACAGAGTTAAGTGATTACCCAATATCACAAAGCTATTGGATGGCAGACCTAGAATTTTTACCCAGGCTGTCCAGCTCCTGAATCTGTGCTTTCAACCATTGTGTTGTACAGCTTGTGGTTTTAAGCTTCCCAGCTTCTATGGTACAAGAAGCCAAGTTGGAAAGAGGTGGGAGTGGGTGCTGAAATCAGTCTATTTGCAGTCCTGCACAGGCACTAATCTAATTTTTCCAAAGAGCTGCTCAGTTTCCTAGTGCCATTTATTGAATAATCCTACTTTCTTTATTGATTTATAATATACTAATGTTCTTATGCACTGAATATTTGTTGAATGAATGAATATTTTAGAGTGTACATTTGGACTATCTAATCTAGTCCATTGTCAATTCTGGCATTTTGTGGGCTATTTTCTGTTGTTATTTGAGATGCCCTCTCTGGATCTAATCACTATGTCCACTCTTATCTGTCCCCTGTCTGCTAATGCCTAGGGACTGCATCCACGGACTCCTTTGCTCTCTGGCTTCTGGTTGGATTTGACCAGTGAAATATATCACAGGAGACAGAGGAAGGAGGTAAGGTATGTTGGAGCATTTGTTGCCTTAGCTTCCTTCTGGCCATGGGTCAGTTTGTCCCTCTAGAAGGGCTCAGCACCTGCCAGGTGTCTGTCTTCCACTGTTCTTCCATTAGTGGATTTATAACTGCCCCTGTCTCCTCACCACCTTTCATGTCTAAGGTTGGCCTGGAGTATTGCATATAATTCCTTAGTCGTTTCTCTAAAATCTGCCTACACTTTTATAAACAGTTCCTTTATTCAACTCTCCTCAAGTCACCCGGTTTGTGTGTGCCATCTGTTCAAGTAAGTCAATAACAGTACATTGTTTTAATCATTGTCATTTTAAACATGTTTTAACATCTGGTAGGAAACATACTCAAGATTTCCACAACCTCCAAACATGCTTTGCTATTTATTTATTCTTAGGTTAGAACTACATTGAAATCTAAAATATAATGCATTAAATTTTAAAAATTATAATATAATTAAACCTGAAATTAGTTAAAATGTTTTATTTTCCCAACTGAGGACATGAAATGCTTCCCATTTACTCATGTTTCCTTCACATTCTGCTGTGAAAGTTGACAATCTTCTTATACAGATCTGCATGTTTCCTGTTATTCCTGGGTCTTGTAGAGGTTCAACAGTGTTTCGTCTATTGTTATTTTATTTTTCTCTGCTATAATTTCTATCTAGCCATATCTGGTACCTACATAAACAGTTCATTTTCATATTTTAAAAGTCCAGCCATGTTACTAACTTGTGTGTTCATTCAAACAGGTTACTGATTCTCTTGGATATCCTGGATAATCAACTCTCTTTGATGTCTTAGATAGGCAAACATGTCATCTTTTACCAATGATAATTTTACTTCTCCTCTGTAATCGCTGAAACTTTTATGTCTCTTTCATGTATTACTGAATGGTCTAATTTCTTGAAAGGTTGTGATAATGGGCCTTTAGGACCTTGACTTGCACCTGATTTTAATTGGAATGTCTCTAATTATTCAACATTAGTATGCAGTTGGTTCTTGATTTTAGATATTCTTTATAATGTTTAAGAAGTGTCTTTATAATTTCCAGTTCACTACACGTTGCTGTTATATGTGTTTTCATTTCCCATTAATCTGGAATGGGTAATAATTTCATTAAATGACTTCTCATACTTTTTGAGATTATTAGAAATGTTCCTTCTCTAATACATGAAGATTTATTAAAATAATACAACTAATTTTATAACAGCCCTTTATTTCAGGAATAAAACCGACATAGTCGTAGTATACCAATCTTTAAATACAGTTCTGGATCTTAATTTCTTGGCATTTCATAAAGTTTTTCCCATTTATTTTCAAAACTACAGATGAGATCTTTGTTCCTTCTGTGCTATCGTTGTCACATTTTGGTGAAATAAATTTGTGAAATTTCTGTCTTTTCTCTGCTTTGAAACAACTTCAATAACATGAGAATTATTCCATAACACCATAAAATATTTAACATTGCCTGTTCCTGGAGTCATTCCATATTATAGGTTTTCTACTATGTTTTAAATTACGTGTTTTATTCAGGTTTTTCATTCTTCTTGAAACATGTTTGATTGTTTATGTTTTCATTAAAAAATTAATTTTGAGATAGTGAAATGTATTAATATAGAGCTTCCATGACTTATTCTCAATTCAAAAAAACTAAAAACTGTATTTTGAATTTGTCAGTGCTACTCTTTTTTGCGTAAATGCATTAGCTTATAATCCCTGTTTGCCCTTTCTTCCTACAATTTGATTTTATTGTTATTCCTACACATTAAAATTTCATAACGTTCATCCTTAATTAACTTAATTCATTTTGATGCTTTCAATAATGAAATTATTCATTATTATTCATTTCCCTGTGTGTATAGCTTTGGTCCCATTCTCTACCTTCTCTTACAGTTTCTTTATTTTTACTAGGTTTCTAATAAACATATTGCGGCTTTAATTTCCACTTAAACATAGAAATTGTTTAGATAGTGCTTTTAAATAATTTCTAATTAGTATATCTTTGCTTTCATTATTAAAAGTGTTTTTCAACTATTGTTATTAATATCTAGTGTTACACTATCGGTATAAGAGATAATAACCTATATGATTTCTTCTTTGTAAAGTTTAATAAGGATTTATTTATGACTTGCTAACACACCCTAAATTATTTTAACTGTTATTACCTACAAATATTAAAGGCAGGCCTTAACATCTTGTCATCTTGTGGGGGAGAGGGGTGCGGATTAAGACACATATCATTTTCAAGCCTATTTGTTCTCTATATGTGGAAGGGAGGCAAATACTCAATCCAAGAGTGATTCTTTTATAATGCTAATCCCATCCTTCTCCATCCCTCATACCCACTCTATAAGCACCCATGTGCTGTGGCTGACTAGAGATGAGTGGTGAAATTTTACCTTATCAGGCAATGACAGATGACTTTGTTTACAAACTTTGTCTCTTGTCCTCCCCATTCCTAGGAGATTTAGTAGGATAGGTTTTCTCCTGCCATTCTCTCCAGGTGGGTACACTAGGTGCTCTTTAGATGTCAATTAGATCAAATTGAATAATGGATGAGAAAATGTCAGTCATGTTAACAGTTCAGTACTGCACTAATATGGAAAGGCATTATTTAAAACTGAATTTGGTAACAATAGTATCTAACTTTGTAAAAATTCTAATATATTTTTCCAAATGCTTGGTAAGCCTTTTAATAAGAACAATTATTGCTTCTTACAATTGCATATATTTGGGGGGGGTTCCAAAGTACTTGTTAATCTATTATTTCATGCAGCCATTTTAAATTATGGTGGTCTGTAAGGATTTGCGTCACTTGACAAATGAATATTAAGCATCAGATAGATAAAATATTAAGAAGCAAGTAAATTCTGTGCTTAATATCACAAAGATAACAGAAACAGTAAAAGAAGATGAGCTCAATAATAATTTCAATAATTCAAATAATTTCAATAATGAAATTATTCACTATTATTCATTTCCCTGTTCGTATAGCTTTGGTCCCGTTCTCTACCTTCTCTTACAGTTTTCAGCTTTTGTAATCATCCATTTGAAAGAGCCCAGGTCCCACCCACATCCCCAGGACAGTCTGAGCTGGTTGGATTACGCATTCCATGCCCAGTGTAGCCCTAGTTGTTCCACATTTTACTTTCTACAGGTCTCCCATATTTCACTGTATGTAATGTTGCTTCCTATCTCCTCAGCTGGAATATGAGCTTCATTGATGATGTCTGTTCTCCCTAGGTATCTCGACTAGGGTTTCCTGAGAGAAGGAGCCCTGGGGATGGGTAGAATGATTCACAGAGACAGACATGGCAAGGAATGAGTGTGTTGATGGGCAGCCCGGTCACCTAGGTATAGACCCTTTGAAACCTTGCACAACCATTCCTTAGACAATGTAGGCCAAGGGTATATGGAGGGCATTTCAATCTTTTCTGTCCAAAAAGCAACCCCCAAATTAGTGGCATCTAAACAGAAGCCTTTATTTTTCACTTGTGAGTCAGATGTGAGTGGCCCTGCTGATCCAGCTAGGTTTGCTTCTCATCACCGGTCAGCTGGGGTGATAGCAATTCGGCTTGCCTAGACAGCTGGTCTTCAAGCTGTGGGTCCAGCCGGTGTAGATCTTCAGATCTGCTCTAAGTGTCTAATTCTTGGGTGCAGGATGAAGTGATTTAGCTACTTGGTGGAGAGCAGAGGAAGATCTCATGGCAGTGATGGAGGGGCAGGAAGGCCAGGCCCATTGCACATGCATATTTACGTCATATCTACCAACAGCCCATTTGTGAAAACAAATCACATGGCCAAGCCTATAGTCAGAGGGAAATACACTGTCTTTTTTAGAGCAAACTACAGATTTACACAGCAAAAGGCATGGATACAGGAAAGAGTGAAGGGTTCAATAATTCACTCTACCAACAGAAGGATTTCAAGGCTCAGACCAAAAAACAGATGCCAAGGACATGTACATCACACAGATATATAACATGTAAAATAATAAACTTAACTATAATGAAATGAAGCAAAGGGAAAACTTGCGAAGAGGTGCCTGAGGAGGTGAGGAGAATAGGTCATTATTCTTTATGTAAAAAGTGTCTGAGCTGAATTTGAATTGAATGAGGACATTCTAACCTCATATGCTATGTTCTAGCAATCTTGAAATACTTGCAACGTTGCTGATGCATGGTGCTCTCTGACTCTTTATGCCTTCAAACACACTGCTATCTCTTAAAGTATTCTGTCATCATTCAATCCCTATGTATCCAGTTAATTGGCTAATTAACTTTATCTTCCAGATGGCCTCCTACAGGAAGTCCTCCCTAGCTTTTTAAATCACTCTAGGTACCCCCATTCTCTATACACCTCTAGCATCCTGTAAATATCCTAGGACCCTATTCGCTAATTATCTGTGTACATAATCAAGACCGTGGTTTTATTAATGGCAGGGATCAGGTCTTAATTTTCTCTCTATTCCTAGGGCTTACAGCAGTAGTGCACAGTAGACAAACAATTATTGGCTGAATAAGTAAATATCTGAAAGGCTTTCAGCATGAACTTATGGAATCAAAAGAGGCTAAAGGAAAATGTAGAAGGAGAAGTTTACAAGTTATTTTTTGGTACAGGTTTTTTAAGTCTGTTTCTATTACTGAATAAAAATATTCTGACTGAATACAAAGTTGGAACTGTTTTATATTAAACAACAGGGCTCTAGTTCTAGTCTGGTGTAAACTAACTGACTGATTACTGGCATGTTTGGGAGTTAATTCATTGTTCTGGGTCCTACTTTTTTCATGTATTTTATGAGAGGGCTGTACCAGATCATCTCTAAATTCTAAAACTCCGTCTCTTAACATTTTTATTTCTAAACTTATTTACTTTGTTTATAGTTGAAGAGACTACAGCATGGGGCAAGTAGCTATAGAAGTAGCTGAGGAGGGTTTACAAGAGAAAATACAAGTTTGAATTAAAATGACTACATTCAAAGTGAGAAAAATATCTAATACTCTTGCATAGAATGAGAACAAACTTGGATTGCCTATTGGACTACTACTAAACTACTCAATCAACTGCAATATATTATAATTTTCCTAATTAGATAAGAAATTATTTACCTTAGTAGTCTTTTTTTGTGATTTTTACCTCTTCTAATATCTATTTTAATCCAAATGCCCACTGTATGCAGTTGCATATTAACTAAGATGTATAGAGAAATATATTATCTGATGAATGTAAACCCAGGTACACAGAAGGTCACTGAGGGAAAGGCACAACCAACCATGAGAAGAGAGAATGATTAATGCCATTGAGGAAGAGTGAACGAGGCACTGTGGTCTCAGAAGCGTGCTTATGTTGTTCAAGGAACCAGAGAAGGTTTTCTTGAGCTGAAACTTCAAAGGGAGTAGGAACTGGAAGGTGAATGTCTGAGCTACCTGTTGTTCATATCTAACTACCCTCCCAGTTATAAAATGTCACAGCTGCCTAAAATGGGTTATTGGACTATGTGGGAAATCACTAATATAGCAATCTCGATAGACTTGCAAAGCTTTCTCCCTTAAACCATATTTCAATGAAAACTAGGAGCTGATGAGATATTCTACTTGGGAATAGGCTCATCCCATCTGGTTCTGAATCCATTGAAAAACATATACAGTACAGGATTCAGGATGAAGATATCAGCTTGATCTCAGGTAAAAATGGACTAGAGAAGTTGGTTAGGCCTAGAAGCCAAGATGGGTTTTGTAGTGTATCCCCTCTGCCAACTCCTTCCCCACTCCACCCTTACAGTTGATTTTACTTGCTTAGTCACATACAGAGTTTCAGGAGAATCTAGGGCACCCCATCCCATGGCAGAGCTTTTCCTGGTCATTTATCACATGGAAGAGAAGTTGGAGACACACATACCCCGCAAGCAAGAGAGAGTGGAGGAGAAGGGGCCATGCATCTGTAAGGCACTGTCCCCAAATTCTGTTAATCAGGTAGGTCTCTTCTCCTCTCAGGCAGAGAGAGTCAGTTGGAGAAAATGGTAGGTATTGTCTCCTCTAGGATTCCAAAAATGGTGGATGCTTTCACATGAGCCAGGTGGGCATACGGGAGAGAAAGAGCATGAAAATGATTTCCTATCATCCATCTCCTCACTCCCATCCAAAGTAAGGACTGCCTTAGCAATTTCTGGATGGTCCCCCACAAAGGCATAGATTTCATAAAAGAGACTTTCAGAATGTAATGAGTTGAGTTGGGGAGCTGGTGATGTTGGGAAAAGAGAGCACAAAATCCTTTGTGAAGGCCCCTCACAAAAATTTTCCCAGTTGGGCATAACATCCTCTGTAATCCTAGCCCTAACCTATACCTGCCTACCTACCAAGTATCTAGGAGATGTTTCAAAATTTCAAAGGTAAAGACCAAACATGAAGGAACATTAAAAAATTACAAAATATTTATTCTGTGACAAAGTAATAAATGCACATTTCCATGAAGATTAAATCTAGAACCAAAGTAAACTATCAGCACAACCTCATGAGGAGTTCTAACTTTCTCATATTGGCTAATCCCTTTTAATCAACCTACTGGAGTGACATGCCAAAGGGACTTAAGCTAAGGCCTAGGTTTCCTGTGTCTGGGTTTTGTATGTGTTATGCCCTTTTGACCCTATTTTTTTGGAGTAAAGTATATTCACTGGAAGGGTAGTGACATAGAAAGATCACAAAAGCGTTGTCAGGAATCCTGGGTTGTAATCTCACTTGTGTAATTTAATACCTGTGTGACCTTGGGCAAGACATTCAATTTCCATTTGCATTTAAGTGCTATCATCTGTAAAATGAGGTACTTGAAAATGTCAAAAATTCCTTTCTAATTTTAATTTTATGTATTACATTTAAGTCTATGAAAAGTCAATAAAATATAAAAATTTCATCATTTGTTATGTGTAGTGAGCTCTGTTAAGATACTTACATAATGTCATTTAATCTTCCCAACAATGCTATGCGGTAAGAATAATTATCCCCATTTTACAGATGAGTAAACTTGAGCTCTGAAGCATTAAGTGATTTGCTCAGGGTAAGAGGGAAGGCTGGGATGAAAACCTATGGCTTATTCCAAAGCTCACTTCATTTACCATGTACTCCTCTAAAAATAGTATTTGCAAACTGTCAACTTTTCAAAACCTTTCCCTGTACCTGAGTTCCTGAGGTTCCCGTGACCATCTGTTTTTAGCCCCATTTTTCAGATGAGCAAACTGTGGTTTCCAGAAGCTGAGTTGCCCAAAGTCAGAAACATCATTCGAATCAGAGCTGAAACTTCTCCCAGATGGCCCTAGGGCTGAGCGCTGGAAGGCTGCTTATTTTCTCTGAGGCAGACCACACTTGGCCACTTCTCCCAGAGCCAGTTGTTCTTCAAAGAAACCCCAATCACTGGGGCAGGCACCCGGCAGCTACTCTGACTCAGGCAGACAATTCCATTCATTTCCTGGGTTGGAGCATTCTGAAATAACTCTTTTTCTTCAACACAGTCCTATCTTCATGAGGCAGTATTTGTTGCCTCTTTGATTAAATCCATTAGCTATTCAGCCACAGCTGCCCTTCGAAAAGCAGCACGCCTCTAAAAGCCGCACATTCAGCAGCTAAATGATTCTGAGCCAAACCAGGGAGATCTAACCCATCCAGCCAACAGTGAGGAATGTGAGCAAAACACACAACATCAGAGTTGGAACGGGACTTTGAAATCGTGAAAAGTACAAATCCCTCATTTTACAGATGGGGAACCTGAACCCAGAATCAAGAAGAGACAGCTCAAATCCAGGAAATGATGGAGCCAGGGTCAGAAATTAGTGCTTTTTTTTTTCCTTTTCTTTTCTTTTCTTTTTTTTTTTTTTTTTTTTTGAGATGGAGTCTCACTCTGTCACCAGGCTGGAGTGCAGTGGTGCGATCTCAGCTTATTGCAAACTCAGCCTCCTGGGTTCAAGCAATTCTCCTGCCTCAACCTCCCGAGTAGCTGGGATTACAGGTGCATGCCACCATGCCTGGCTAATTTTTTCTATTTTAGTAGAGACGTGGTTTCACCGTGTTGCCCAGGCTGGTCTCGAACTCCTGAGCTCAGGCAATCCACCTGCCTTGGCCTCCCTAAGTGCTAGGATTACAGGCATGAACCACCACACCTGGCTGGTTTTCTTTTCTATTCAATTAGGGGGATCTCAACAACACAAGACAGAATTCTATTATGATGTGGAATGAGAGCAATCTAGGACTCAGGCTGACAGAGCAGCTCTCTCTGCAACATCGCTGGTCATTATGGGTTGAATTGTGTCTCCCTAAAAAGATGATAAAGTACTGTCCCTCAGTACCTGTGAATGTGATCTTATTTGGAAATAGAATATTTAGTTGATCAGGTGAAGATGAGGTCATTAGGGTGAACCTCTAACTGAATTTGACCATTGCCCTAATAAGAAGGAGAAATTCAGACATAAAGACAGATATGGGCACAGGGAGGACATCTTGTGAAGATGAAGGCAGAGATTAGGATGATGCTTCTGCAAGCCAGGAAATGCCAAAGATTGTCAGCAAACCACCAGAAGTTATGGAAGAATCATGGAACATTCTCTCTCACAGCCTTAAGAAAAAAGAAAAAAACCTGCAAACACCTTGAATTTTGATTTGTAGCCCCCAGAAGTATGAAACAATAAATTTCTCTTGTTTAAGCCACCCAGTGTGTGGTGCTTTGTTAGGCAACCCCAACAAACTGATACACTGGCTTTGTTGCAGAGAGATGCAAGAGAGAAAGAGATGTTGCAGCAGCTGCAAAACAGAGATACAAAGCAGGTGCTGCCTTCCAAAGCTTCTGCTCATACTCCACTGGACAAAGCACATCACACAGCTAAGCCTGATGGCAGTGGTGGTGAAAAGGATTTTCTTCACACAAGGACTACCCCCCCGCCCCTGCTCCAGGGAAGAGCAGGGAATATTTTTAACAATAAAACAGTCTACCGTAGCAACACTATCATCACTATAGGCAGATGGGTATTGAGGGCCATTGAACTCAGGCCCAAAGACAACAACTGAGTGGTACAAGCTGAATAATTTGTGGAGCCAGTATATTATCCCTGCTTTTCTGCCCCAAATCCAAGGCTATTCCTACTGCATCCCCAAGGAATTCTAAAGGTAGCCAGTTTGCCAATACTGATCCCTGTCCTGGAAGTGCTAATGCAACTCCCCTTCACAATATCAGCCACTTGGTTAAGAATCATAAAATTAGCTTCAAAAATAAATAAATAATTAAACTTGTATAATAATCAAAGGTCAGTCTTTATGCTCTTTCTTAGCATAAAGCCTCTCATTAGAATACTGCCTGAGCTTTTTTCCTGGGTAAACACATGTGTGAAATCAGGGCATTGGTTTGATTGTTGTGGTATTATACAGCTTTGTATAGATTTGCCTCGGAAAATGAACCTTTGAGGGTATTAATTGTGAGCCTCTTAACCAGCTCAGCCCAGCCTTCTGCTCACAATGTTTTGAGAGGCAGTAGCTAATTAGGCCAGTTAGGTCAGGTCAAGCCTACTATAGTGCATCTGGCTGGGCCTGCATCATAAATTAGGCCAGCTCCACATCTGGGAGGGCAGAGCTGGAAGGCTCCTTGCCCTTAGGCTAGCCAAATGTCCCAGTATGCCCAGGACTGAGGGGTTTCCCAGAACATGAGACTTTCAGAGCTAAAACTGGAATCACTCCCAGGAAACCAGGATGGTTGGTCACCCCAGGCCTCCGTCCTCTTCAGTAAATCCAAGTCCAGAATTTTCAGATAGGAAACTCGAGACCAGAGAGGGAAGAGAACATCCACATCACATAACCTTAATGTTAGGGGGACCAATCATTCTGGTTTTCCCTGTGAGGGGGCTGCCACGCAGTGGGACTTTCAATTTTAGAGCTGGAACAGTCCTGGGGAAACTGGGAGGAGTGGTCATCTCATCCAATAATGTCTTATTTTACAAATAGAGAAACTGAGACCCAGAGAAAAGTGAGTTGTCCAAGGTCACATTGGAAATAAATGGCAAACTGGGAGCAGAAGGAGGTTTCTTAACTCCCACTCCAGTGCTATTTCTGCAGTATAATACAGATTTCTATCTATCAGTAAGTGCCTATTTATTCACATTATTCAAGCAGCTTTCAAATTTATTTTGAACACTTTGTAAAGACTAGAAAATGGACTTCAGAATGGGAGACCAAGATGGTCCTTTCCCTAAGAGCACCTTGCTGAGGCTGAGGAGTGCCACCTGGCTATAGATCTCAGGGGCTCTCTTCTCTAGGATTTTCAACCCAGGAGATCTCTTCTACACAGAGCTTTTGTGATATCTGTCACACACACACAAAGATAAGCTCCTCTCTTCTCTCCTAATTGATATCACCTGTGCTCTTCTCCTGCACAGCTTTTCCAAGCAGACAGCATGCAAACACCTCTAATTCTGCATAGTGGATTCAGCACCAGTGGACATGTCCTTCTTATCTTACCAGAATGCCACACAGTTGCCACATCTAGGTGTCTGCCTCAAATCCAAGACCCCAGTCCCAATCTCAGAGTTAGCAAGGGCTTAATTTGAATCATACCTCTCCCACATACTGTCCACTTAACTTTGATGAAATCACCTAATCTCTGTGGTCTACAGTTTTATTATCTACAATATTGCTCTCAGGATTCTTAAAAATCATTGTACAGTGTCTGATGCATTACTGGGCCTAGTAGTTATATAATAAATGACAGATTTATCAATGATATACTCTGATAACTTGTTAACAGATTACAGAGTCATGCACATCTGGGTTTGAATTTTACATCTATTACTTATTAACATTATGACCAGGAGTAATACACTTTTAATTTCTGGCACTCAGATTGTCTTTGCTGTAAAGATCATGAATCATAGTCCTCTATCTGCAAGGTCACTGTATTTGTTTTTCTACAAAATGTGTATTCAATAATGTAGCTATTGTTAAAAATTGTCTTTGACCAGCGCTCCTCCACAAGAAATTCCCATGGAAAAAGTGGACACAGAAAACACTAAGTGCCAAATAAACACCATTACTTTTAAGTTCCCACCACCCTAAATTCCCAAGGCAGGACCATGGAGAGCTCCTTTTGATTTTTATAAGCTTTTTCTGTTTTGTTTTGTTTTGTTTTTGTTCTTTCTCTCTAAGAACTGGAGCAGAGCATTCTTCTGAGATCTCCCATCTACCTTTTTATTTAAATATAAATTTAAATATTTACCTTGTTTTTTCTCTCACTCACTGTATTCATGGCTATGTGTCAGTTCAGATGGGTTCAGCTGCATTTAAAATAAGAAAACCTTACGAAACATTGACTGTAAAAGATAGAAATTTATAAAATAAGTTAAGATGCAGGTGTTTTATGGCTGGTAAGGCTGCCTGACATTCCCAGAGAGACTGAAACCTTTCCTTTTCTAGTCTGCCATCTTTAGCAAGGGGCTTTCATGTTCAAGGATGCCTCATGGTAAAAAGATAGCTGCTGGAGCTCCAGCTATTGTATTTAGATTTGAAGAAAGAAGGATGGAAAGAGGCTAAGGCCAAAATCCCCATTTCACTATCACCAGATATATAACATTACCATTCTGTAGCTACAAAAAAAAGCCAGGAAATGTGGCTTTTGTTTTCTAGGTCTCAGTTTCTCAACTTATAAAATTGAATATTTGGCTGTGTGATTTCGATGTCCTCTCCCACTTTATAATATGTGAACTTAAAAGACTGTATTTCCTGACTTTCTTTGCAACTGAGAGATATCCATATGTGAGTAGCAACCAAAGAGTGGGACTTTTGGAGAGCAGTTTAAAGGGATTTGGTTCAGTTGGAAGACGTTTTAGTTGGGTACATTGCTGCTCTGTGTATCAGGGTTCTATTGCTAAGAAAAGAGAGAGTAGGTTTTGGATAAGCAGCTCATGGTTTCTGCCATATAATATTACATTGTTTATTCATAAATCAGTTACATTCCATAGGTAAATCTGCAACCATTCCCTACCTTTGTTACCTCTAAAATACCACGGTAGCTTCCTGCTCGTACCATAGTTGATCACTGCACTCTGATTCGGTGGTACGAAACCCCCATAGGATTGGTTAAATTTTGATTGATTGAATTCTCCTTGTAATCTGACTCTGTCCAATCAGTTGGTGAAGTCTCATTCCCTAGGTTATCTACTCTTATACAGATAAGGAGCTATATGAGTTTATAGTTCACATAATAAATAAATGTTTTTATTTATTTATCAAACTTTCACATTCCCAGTGAAGGATAATTCCCCAACACAGTCTGAACTTGGTCTTGTCTGGCTGCTTTATTAAATTGTCTACTCTACTGAATATTGTCCTACTTATACTTAAAACATTCTAACTTCACCACTGTGTATATGATGTTCTTGTCTAAAAAATAATTCATTTAAAAAGTATAATGATTTAAATAACCTATAAAATAAAATAGACTCTACTAACAGCTACATATATTTTCAAAAACAGTAGAAGAATATTGCCACACCTGCAAATAATATTGCCTAATAACCATGAGATGGTTTTTGTGAGGCTGGCTATATAGCTATTATACTCCTATTATCCTACAAATTTTACACATTAAAAATCATGAGACCTACAGAGCCAAGAATCTTCTCCAAAGACAGTGATTCACCCCACCCCCTATTTTTGTAGAACATCTGAAAATTTGGAACTTATTCAGTTTGGGCCTTTTTCTGTATTTGTTGTTGTTATAATGTGAATCAAGTACTTATGACAATCCCTGTTTATGAAAAATGACTCATAGTTTTCAGCAAAAGTGCCAAGCTCAACTGTGTACAGCAGAGTATTGGGAAGAGAAAGTTAAATTTAGCCTCCAAGTGAGGAAATGAAGACAGGGAAAAAAAATTAAAACTGTTCTCCAACATCCTGCATCAATGTGTTGGGTGGCCTGTGCTTAGTCATAAAAGCAGCCAGAAAAAAAGAACAATAAATGCAAAAGACTTTTAAAGACGTAATGTGCAATATGCTCTAGAAGTGAATTAAAGATATTTAAGTTATTTACAAAGAAAATGAAATGACCACTTTGTTATAGGATACAGGACATAAAATCCAGCAGTGAGCCATTCAGTGGACTTACAACAGGGATCGTGTCCTGAATTTTACCAAGCTACTTTTCAATGACCCTGGAAACATGTTTCATTAGCTCAATCAACAGCAAAGGTGATTCTTTTATTGAGAGTTCTTTACAGATTATAAATAAAGATTTATTAAGAATGAATACAGTTTTTATTTATTGAGAATCTGCTGTGTACCCTTCCCATCCGTGCTGTGTGATGGAGACAGCACCATGGAAAGGCAGGATGAGTGATACAGTTTCAGGGATCCCAGAAGTCTCTTCACTCTCCCCCAACCCCTCCTCAAAATGTCTCTTTTGATGTTAATCCCTTATGAATTCAAGTCTACATTTAGAGGAGCAATAATTTAAATCAAGGCTGTATCCCACAGTGAAGCACAGATCCTCTATGGACAAATCCAGTCTTGAATTTCTATCAGTCTTTTACCTCTTTGTGTGAATGGAGTTATCAAATAGACAGGAGAGAAGAGAGAACATGGGGCATAGTGCCGTTTATTGCAGAAGCTGTAGTTAGGCTCCCTGGAGGCCAAATCTGCCCCTGCCGATTTGCATCTCTTAGCACTTGTCATCAGTGTTCAGGAGGAATCATTCTTCTCTGGATAGCCACCAACATAGTGTATCTGCAGGGGTCCCAAGGGGGGCTATGTGCTCTGAAAGCTCCTCCAGAACTTGCCCACCACATGTACCACATGTCGCTTCAAGCTCCCTGGGTATGACAGTCTGGAGGCTGCTTCTCTTAAAGTGCAGAACTATTAAGGTCCATTTTTTGATAAATCACTTTTCAATTTTAAAAGAATATTCTTGTCCATTATATTTGAGCCACACGACAACCCTACAGGGAATGTATTATTGATTTCATTTTATACAGAGAAAATGGAGGGTAAGAGAGTGTCTCCAAGTTACCCAGTTAGTTTGGTTTGGATTTTTCTAACCTCCGCTATCATGTCTATAAAAAGATCTACCTGGAACATCACACACTGGGGCCTGTCAGGGGGTGGAGGGCAAAGGGAGGGAGAGCATTAGGACAAATACCTAATGCATGCGGGGCTTAAAACCTGAATGATGGGTTGATGGGTGCAGCAAACCACCATGGCACATGTGTACCTATGTAAAAAACCTGCCCTTTCTGCACATGTATCCCAGAACTTAAAATAAAAATTAAAATAAAATAAAGTAAATCCACCTTACATTTTCATAATACATTTCAGCTCACAAAGCTTTTTCACACATAATCTCACCAACTCCATCTGATTGAGCACCATTGTTTTCTGCTACTTCTCTCCAAAGACTTCCAAGGGCTGAACTTGTTTCTTGGACTGATCAAGTTCCCCACAAATAAGCATAGAGAGAAGGCAAATGCATAAGGCAGGAGTCTATGTTTGTAAAACACACATAAATAGCCATATTCCCAGGGGCAAGAGAAGTGGCTGGGGAGTCAGGACCCTGCGACGGAATCCCAGGTTCATTACATGTCATCACTGTGGGCAAGTCAGACTCTGAACTCCTTTTCCAAAGCTGTAACATAGAGGTTAGATGAAGTGATATACATGAAGATGTTTTGTAAATGGTTACACACACATCAGGGGTTATAATAATCAAAAACAGGGTCCCCACCTTGAAGGGACTTGAAGATTTAAACTTTATTCATCTTCACACGACCCAGCTTAAAATAGGTTAAGTAAATCATTTGAATGATCAAATGCACAAATAACGTATACATCAAAAAAATGAGAGAGGCCTGAACTGTGACTAAGAACAGTGTTTGGGCAGGCAGGAGGAGAACTCCATTGATTAATTTCTCCCATTGATAGTGGGCCTCACAATGTGGGGTGCAGTTCCCTACACATTTTCTCATTTCACCTCCATCCATTTTGGCGGTCACAGAGCCTGTGCTCAGTGAGATTACTAAGTAACTTGTCCACCGTTAGTGACTAGAGGGGCTGGGGTTTGAGCCTGAGTTTGTGCAATTTCAAACTTTTGGCTTATTCTCTGCAGTTCACTGAGCACATTGAATGAGGAATTCTAGACCCTTGGTCCTAAGTAGCTACTGGTATTGTTTCTCCCCTACACCCTACTTATTACAGGATTTGGAGTTAAGATTAAACTTTCTCCAGGCTCCCCGTTAACGTTTCCTGATTTTGTTCCTTCAGCTTGCCTGAAATCCCCTGGCTCCTTTGTTGCAAATGGCCTCACTTACTGTACTTCCCTAGGAGGTCATCCATGGATGACCATGTTCACTACCATTTATCCATTGAAGACTTGTGGGTCACTCTCTGCCTCACCACCTCCATTTCTACCTTCATTCATGATGATTTCAAAATCCAAGTAAATGATAAAACCGACAAACTGGTCTCTCAATTTCTTACCCCTAAAACTGCACTTCTACTCCATTTATCACTCACTCCTATTGTCATTCCCTTAGCCATTTTCATTGTTGATAACATATTTCTTCAAAATTTTCTCTTTTAAGTGACCCAATCTGCATCCACTTATCTTTCACCCATATTTCTTTTAGTCACGTGACTCCAAAAGTTCTACGATCCCTGCAAAAGGTCAAAGCCCTATCACCTTTTCACTATGATAAGTGACCTCACTTCTGGTTTTGATTTCTGGTCCATCATTATAACCCTCAACTCTCCTGTACCTCTCTCTCTATCCTTGCAACATGCCAACCCTGGTTAAACCCAACTCTCACTCTACTTTATACCCACATTTAAGGAGCTAAATAAAACTAGATTTAAAACACAAAAATATGCCTTTTGTGCCTATGGATCTCAATTTTAATTTATGATCACAAATTTCAAGTGTGCTTTCAATGTTTCTCCCAAATGCAAATACATTTTCATTCACTCTCTCGTTCTCTAGGGTCACTATTGCGACTTTATCTTACTTCCTCAAATCTTAAAATATTCTAGTACTTCTTCCCTCTCAGCTGCTGACATTCACTGATTATTTCACTAACAAACAGAACTACCACAAGAAGTGCCTACCTTCTCCAACCCCCCAAACTATAAACTTACCCAATAGCTATAACTAACTATGATTTCACAGAGTTTTAATAACTGATAAGCATGAGTGTTGATCTGTTTGAATGGGTGGCAGCTTTAAACATACTAGAACTATCATAAACGTACATAGCCTTGAAATATCACCCCAGTCTATACCCACAGACACTCCTTTCACTTTTGTAATAGTGAACAACTATACTCCTATACTAGTCAGGGTTCTCTAGGGGGACAGGACTAATATGATAGATAGATAGATAGATAGATAGATAGATAGATAGATAGATAGATAGATAGATGAAAGGGGGTTTATTAAGGAGTATTGACTCACGTGATCACAAGGTGAAGTCCCACAATAGGCTATTTGCAAGCTGAGAAGCAAGGAAGCCAGTCCGAGTCCCAAAACCTCAAAAGTGAGGAAGCCAATGGTGCAGCCTTCAGTTTGTGGCTGAAAGCCCGAGAGCCCCTGGCAAATCACTGGTGTAAGTCCAAGAGTCCAAAAGCTGAAGAACTTGGAGTCTGATGTTAGAGAGCTGGAAGCATCCAGCATGGGACAAAGATGGAGGCTAGAAGATTTAGCCAGTCTAGTCTTTCCAAGTTCTTCTGCCTGTTTTATTCTAGCCATGCTGGCAGCTGATTAGATGGTGCTCATCCAGATTGAGGGTGGGTCTGCCTCTCCTAGTCCACTGACTCAAATGTTAATCACCTTTGCCAACACCCTCACAAACACGCCATGGAACAATACCTTGCATCCTTCAATCCAATCAAGTTGACACTCAATATTAACCATCACAACTCCTAACTTGGGCCAATCCTTCTTTTAGGCACTAGATCACATCCATTCCCATCCACTCAGGATATTACTCTGTAATTCTCATTTTTTCTTCTATATCATGTTTTCTCCTCTCTCTTGGTTTATCCTCATCTAGATATAAGCATACTGTAAGGTCTTCTACCATACAAAAAATATCTTTGATTTTGTCTACCTCCTGATCATTCTGTTCTCCTATGCAGCCGTTCTCTGTTATGACTATCTTCGACATTATTTTTCTCCATTCTTCCTTGAAAGCATCCCTGTCAGGCTTTCAAATCCATCACTCCACTGAAACAGCTTCCTTATTACCAAATTTGATGGTCAATTCTCAGTTTTTATCTCACTCAAAATCTTAGCAGCTTTTGACACAATTGATCGTCTCCTTTTTGAAACATTTCTTTATTGACTTTCTGGACAAAATATTTTTCTAGTGTCCTTTCTACTTAGTTGACCCACATGTTGCTGAATCCCCTTATCCTACTATCTAAGTGTTGGGGTGTTCCAGGCCCTATTCCCCCTACTCTTCTATTTCCAATCTGCTGACACTCTTAGGTGACCTCATCTAGAATCATGGCTTTAAATACCATGTCTTCAATATGATGGCAACTTACAATTTTATATCTTCAATCAGGTTTCTCCTCTGAACTTGAGATTCTTATGACAAACTGCCACCTCTATTTGCTTATCTAATTGCCATCCTAAAACCATTCTGTTCAGCAAAATGAAATCATTTAATAGCCCGTGCAAACCTGCTGTTGCCCAAATGTTCACGTGTTGCTCAGCCCAACTGTCCTTTATTCTCTCACTTTCTACATCTAAGCCATCAACAAACCGCAGGCGACTTCCATCAACAAACTCCAGGAGAACTACCTTTGAAATACAGCCCAATTCTATGACTTGTTGCTCTTATATAACTGTATAATAACCATATTTCTAGGCCAAGTCACTATCATCATTCTTCTGGAATGATGACACTATTATCTTTTACCTGGAATCCCACAATAGACTCATAATTGGTCCCACTGTTCCAGCATTGTCCCCAACAGTCTATTATCAACCTAGCAAGCAGGTTATTTTATATTATTGTTAAAGCATAAATCTTACATGGTTTCTTTTCTGCTCAGAACCCTCAAAGTTTTTCCATTACACTTGGTATAAAATCCAAAGTCCTTGCTTCTGTGTCTTTGTCCCTGTCTGTCTAGCTCAGCTTTAGGACCTAGGTCAGATCCTACCTTCAAGAAGCAGGCAATCTGCTGCTTAATTTGACCTTACAGTACTTTGGAAGCCTTCTCAGCTTCAAGCCATGGTCAATGTTAGTCATTTTTTCTCTCTGTACCTCAGTATATAACAGATGCAACCTTGCTTTCCCAGATTGGGGTGCAAACATAATTACATCTCTCGTATATTTCCCATTAGCCTCTGAATCCCTTCCTTGAGAAAAATCCATTGTCTTCCACTTGAGATATTTATATTCTTCTCACTGGCTTTTCTTACCCCATCCTACCTATTAACTGCCCAAGAACTCCAAAGTTTACTCAGTCTAAACAGTGAAGAGAGTGAAACAGCAATTTCTTCCGCATCACTGGACCCCATACTCCTTTACAAACTTGTTTTGCCTCTTCCCCAAGGACCAGCTTTTCCTACCAGCAGAGGGGGACAATTGTTTACTAAGCTTCTTAAAAATAAACAAAGGCCAGGCGCCGTGGCTGATGCCTGTAATTTCAGCTTTTTGGGAGGCCAAGGCAGGAGGATCACCTGAGGACAGGAGTTTGAAGCCAGCCTAGCCAACATGGTGAAACCCCATCTGTACTAAAACTGCACAAATTAGCTGGGCATGGCGGCCAACTCCTGTAATCCCAGCTACTTGGGAGGCTGAAGCAGGAGAAGTGCTTGAACCCAGGAGACGGAGGTTGCAGTGATCTGAGATCGCGCCACTGCACTCCAGCCTAGGTGACAGAGTAAGACTCCATCTCAAAATAAGCAAGTAAATAAATAAATAAATAAATAAATAAACAAACAAAAATCACAAGCTTTTCTTACTCCTTCTGCCAAAGCAAGGTTTGATTCTTTATCATAATGAAAACTATCACTTTGTGGTGCCAAAAAAATCTATTTCTCCAAATATCACTTTATTGTTGCACATATCGAAGATATTCTACATGTTTGTCTACAAGACTATCTCTTCAGTTAGACTGAAAGATCCTTGAGGGAAGGACTGTTTCTTATCACAGAACCCCATACAGGGAAAGGTTTACAATGCACATAGTAAGTGTTGAAATCAACAGAACTGAGTAGTCATTTTGTACAAATAGATTGATAAGTAGCTTTATTCAAATAAGTCCCAGCAAGTGCTGACAGACATAGCTCTGATTTATCACAAGAAGTGCAACTGATTTATTGACCACAGAGTTGTATGTTCTTTTGGCTGGTCTCTTGCTGCCCCTATAAAATGTATTCAATAGAGTTAATCTTCCCCTGATACAAAAATGAAATTGGGCAGATTCCATGCCTTTTCCTGGCATACAAATGACAGAGTTTCTTACTTTAAATAACAAACCCAGCTTTACTCAAAAGTTAGAATGGACCAAATTTAAGATATTGATCTAAGGTTGGATTTTTCTTCCTCTTCCTTCAGGCTAAGACCTGTAGCTACTGCTGCCTCCCTCTAAGGAAGGTGAGGTGTTGGGACCAGCTCTTTCTCCACTCATCTCCATCACTACTAGCTAACTACTCTTTCCACCTTGACAGTTTAATCTGGTAGAAGAAGAGATAGGTATTAAAAAATTCTTACCTGACAGGTGACTTCCCACCTTCTGGTCTGTCTGATAAAGGTAAGTTTTTCTCATCAAAAGAGGTCTTTTTGATGGCAAATCTCATGATAGTGAACTTTCTCCAAACAATTCTTTGGCCTTGGATAATGGATACATCTCTTGCCACTTGCAATTTCATTCTCAGCTCCTGACTCTGGCATTCACCTCTAATGGGAAACACTCTGGCATTCACCTCTAATGGGAAACACTCTGGCTGTCTAGGGTGGCTTAACAGGAACCAAAATGACAAACACTGGGTTTCTTTCTCATGTCATCATATTTGATCCATAGAAAAACATTCACACATCTATCACTCGGACACTCTGGAGAACAATTCAATTAGCAGTCAGCCTCCATCATCCTACTGCCAAGGGCTACTTTAGCTGTCTCAGGGATCTGTCCTCTGGTCTCGTTGAGTCCAAAGCTTGCATTGCTTGCCACAGAATAGCCAATAAGTCAAAAGACAAGATGTTGGGACAAGGAAAGTGACTTGTTTCAGAGAACTAGAAAGCTGGGAAGATGGTGGCCTAAGGTCCCAAAGAACCATCTTAAAAAGCATGAATCTCAAGCTTCTTTTTATTTTTGGGAAGGGGGAACATAAAGGAGGTTGAGGTCAGGAGGTGAGAGGTGATCAGACCTCTGGTGTCAGATGGTGTCTGAAGGGGTTGCAAAATTTCTTTGTCCTTGGTCAGGACACAATACTCCTGTCAATTTTTAACATAACATTGTTACTTGTGTGTATGCCCTCCTTATTTCCTCCAGGGTTAGTTTCCAGAAAGGACTATTATCATTCTTGAGTTAAAGGTAAACTATAAACTAAATTCCTCCCGTAGTTAGCTTGGCCTACATGCAAGAATGAGCAAAGGCAATTAGCTTATAGGGGGTAGAAACAAGATGGAGTCAGCTATGTTCAATTTTTTTGACTGTTAATCTCTAAAATATAGGGAATTCTTTCAAGCTTTCCACGTTGTCCCATTGGTACACATCCCCCTCCCCCCCAACAGACACACACACACACACACACACACACACACACACACACACACCGCTTGATGTGAAGCAGATCTCTTCCATTCCCTTTCCTACCTTTTTGGTGTGGAGAAGGTAGAGATTCACAGCATAGCAGCTTCTCTTTATCAAGAAAATGCCTCAGATTTTTACTCTTCCATCCCATAAGTTCAGGTTTTTTTCCTAGTTTTTTTAATTGGTATGCCAAGGAACGTATGACTAGATATCAAATATTGTCAAACACTGTGTAGTTTTGTTTGTTGGGTGCTGGATTTCGTGGCAGATACATTACTTGGGATCAGCTTGATCCTTTTAAAGCTTATTTGTGTGTCTCTTAGGGTGCATCTAGAGTAGCCTCTAGTTTAAAACTAAGTAAATGAGGCTGTACTAAATACTAAGATTATGCCTTTCTGAGCACTTTACCCACTTATGTATGGTTTATCAGGTTTCTTTATTTAGCTGGTGGAAATGCAAACTATTCCTAGTCCTCTACGAGCTCCTAGAATTGTTCAACTTCATGGTGTTTTACCCCACACATGTGCACCTCAATATTCAGACAGAGATTCTGGGGGATCCTCTATAGGCCTTTTCAGCTCCCTTCTCTCCAGTGCTTGTCTCCAAAATGCTAACTGCCTAGGATGCCAACCTCAATCTTCTCAATTCAGGGGAACTCTGGGCCCTGCTTGGGCTTTTCTTTCCCCTGCCAGGGCCTGGGAACTGCCTCCAGGCAGAGAGGTAGGGTGACTGCAAAGCTCACATGACTTATTTCCATTCTCTTAGAGATCGTACACACAGTCTTGCACAGCCTGGTTGTCCAACATCTTGAAACAAATGTTCCATAGATTTTGACCAGTCTTGTAGTTGTTTGCAGTGGCAAAGCAATTCCCAGGGTGTTTATTCCTTCATGGGCAGGAGTGGGAGCCATTCTAACTCCTATTTATACATCTGATTTAACCAATGAACCTGAATCCAAGAGGTATTTCTCAACCATTTATTTGGTCAACTCTGCCTATGGTGGTTTGGCTTTGGAACTTTTTTATTTCATCTTACTGTTTGTAGGGAAATTTTAATTTCGACCTCCTCTTATAAGAGCTTTGAAGCCAGTAATCTATAAAAAACTGACTTAATTCACCTAATAGACTTGGAATTAAATTTTGTGTTTACTATATGCTTGTTTGGCATATAGTTTGCTATATGCAAGGTTGGCATATAGTTTGCTATACGCATGTTTGGCATATAGTTTACTATATGCATGTTGTTTACTATGTAAGCATATTGTTTACTATATGCTTGTTAGGCACATCACAGCTCTGTTTCCAGATTCCTCACAGGGAAATATGGATAACAATTCCTGCTCCACTCATCTCTTAGATACACATCAAATGAAGGAACAAGTAACAGAGCACTTTGGAGTTGGAAGGGAATATAATCATCTCTATATCCCACCAGGTATTAGTAACTACCCAGTGAGTAATATTTATTATTTGATGTGCACCATATAACTACCTTAGAAATTAGTAATATTATCTTCACTTTTGTTTTATTAGTCCTGATACAGCAGTTGAGGATTTGAAAGGTGAAGTAGCTTGCTCCATTTTACAGAGCTACTAAGGAGTAGCCTGGGATATGAATCCTGTATCATGCTGCCTGGTTTAAAAATTTGTTCTTTCCTTTTCCTTCAAAAGATGTCGTTTTTAGTCTTTTATGGGTCAGCTGGCATGCCTGCCACTGGATGTGGACTATATATCTGTAAGAATGACTACAAATACATTGTAGTTTCTTGTGCATTTCACATTTAACATGGCTGTTATCAGAATTTTATCTTCATCTCCCAGAAATACTAGTTTACAAATCAGAGCTGTGCCAAACCACAATTCTTATTAAGTTGCCTAGTAGGGAATCTTGAAACATTTTTAGAAGAAATCAGATCACTGCTTATCTTAAGATGCAAGACCTCTGCAAATCTTTTCTCTCTATAAAAACGATCCACCATCTAGTCAACCGATGCCCTGTGTTTGCAAATTCTGTCTATGCTAGAGTAGTAAGGTTAGTGAGAAAAGTTGAAAATCAGGTAAAATAAGATTACATTTAAAACAAGACCCAGGGTTGGCTTTTAATTTTGTTGTCAAATATTAAAACAAAAGAGCCATTGTCAGGAAGAGAGATCAATTATTCTGTAGGATTCCAAGAACTAGAAAAGGACTTTTGGTTGAATTGAGGGGAGATACATTTCCACTCCATAAAAAGAAGAACTTAGAATGTTACAGTGAACAAAACCAGAATGAGATACCCAAGGAAGCCATAGGTTCTTTATGTGGCATTGCATGATCACTTTGTTGGAGACAAGGAAGAGACCTTCACCTGGGACCATGGAAACCCCAAGTGGCCCCTGAATGGGATTTCAGAGGCCTGTGAATTTCTTAAAATTCTGTGTTTGAATGCAAATGCCCATTTGTTAGGGATGGTTTAAAGCTTTCCTTAGATTGTCAAAAATCTCCAAGACTAAAACTAAATGCAAATCAAAACCACAATGAGATACCATCTCACACCAGTTAGAATGGCGATCATTAAAAATCAGGAAACAACAGGTGCTGGAGAGGATGTGGAGAAATAGGAACACTTTTACACTGTTGGTGGGACTGTAAACTAGTTCAACCATTGTGGAAGTCAGTGTGGCGATTCCTCAGGGATCTAGAACTAGAAATACCATTTGACCCAGCAATCCCATTACTGAGTATATACCCAAAGGATTATAAAACATGCTGCTATAAAGACACATGCACACATGTTTATTGCAGCACTATTCACAATAGCAAAGACTTGGAACCAACCCAAATGTCCAACAATGATAGACTGGATTCAGAAAATGTGGCACATATACACCATGGAATACTATGCAGCCATAAAAAATGATGAGTTCATGTCCTTTGTAGGGACATGGATGAAGCTGGAAACCATCATTCTCAACAAATTGTCACAAAGTCAAAAAAACAAACACCGCACGTTCTCACTCATAGGTGGGAATTGAACAATGAGAACATATGGACACAGGAAGGGAAACATCACACACCGGGGCCTGTTGTGGGGTGGGGGAAGAGGGGAGGGATAGCATTAGGAGATATACCTAAGGTTAAATGATGAGTTAATGGGTGCAGCACACCAACATGGCACATGTATACATATGTAACTAACCTGCACGTTGTGCACATGTACCCTAAAACTTAAAGTATAATAAAAAAAAATTGGACACACACAAAAAAGAAAAGTCTATTAAACACAGAGCTATCTCATTATATTTGAATTCTCAGAGGAGATTTCTATTTTGAAAGGGAAGTTAGATTGTTTTTATTTCTGAAGCCCCTCATACTTCTAATATACTCTTTTCTAATTAAATGCAAGAGTAACTAAGCAAATACATCTTTGAAAAATATAAGCTATAGCTCAGGATCAATGGCACATATGATAATAAAATAAAAAAATTTAACTATGCCCTGGCCACTTCCTAGATCCATTTACATTACATCAAGGTATTTTTTCCCAGACAGAAGAACAATTTAAAGACTGCTTCTTGTCATTGCCTAAGACATTCACCCTATCACTAAAGAATCCAATTTTGAGAAACCAAAGGAACAGTACCCTAGAATTGAAGGAATCTACTATAAAAGAGTCCAAATTAATATTTCCCTTGTGAAAGAGTAGAGAATTGGATATGCAACAATCAAAGTATGTAAGAAACGTAAGCATCAAATTAAAAAATATCTGAGAATGAAAAAATAGACTTCAATCAAAAATCCAAAGCCCAAAGCACACAAACTTCTTTCACTATTAGAGCACAGTGGAGCTCCTGTCAAACTGGATCTTTAAATATTTCCCCACTCCAACATCAAACATCTATCTCATCCTGAGGCAGTTTTCTCCTCTGACTTAATGTGACTGCAAGGGCACCCACTGGCCCTACCTGTGGAATAAAGACCTTTTAGTACATTCACAAAATTTACATGACAAAAATGAAAGTAGATTTCCAGAGCTTTCAGCTTGTGCAATAGAAGGTTTAAAAATATGCCCTGTACATTTCAACTTCTCACTTAATAAAAAAAGTCCATTTTTATTTAAAAAAAATACAAAAACCTTCACTTCTATTCACCCAGGAGGAGGATGACTCACTTTCTTAATCTCTTAAGTTTTTATTTAACTTTCTTGAGCCTCTGTCATAACAAGAATTCTCTGCCACAACCTGTCTTAAGTATCGGGGGAACCACCCCCAATATTTCAACTATTTTCTCTAAGTGTTGGCCGGTCTGAGAAATAAAGAGAAAGAGAACAAAGAGAGGAATTTTACAGCTGGGCCGCCGGGGGTGACATCACATATTGGTAGGTCCATGATGCCCCCTTTAGCCACAAAACCAGCAAGTTTTTATTAGGGATTTCAAAAGGAGAGGGGTTGTATGAACAGGGAGTAAGTCACAAAGATCACATGCTTCAAAGGACAAAAGCAGAGCAAAGATCACATGCTTCTGAGAAAACAGGGCCAGGACAAAATCAAAGATCACAAGGCAAAGGGCAAAATTAGTATTACTGATGTGGGTCTATGTTCAGCTGTGCACGTATTGTCTTGATAAACATCTTAAACAACAGAAAACAGGGTTCGAGAGCAGAGAACTGGTCTGACCTCAAATTTACCAGGGTGGGATTTTTTCCCCACCCTAATAAGCCTGAGGGTACTGCAGGAGACCAGGGTGTATTTCAATCCTTATCTCAACCCCATAGGACAGACACTCCCAGAGGGGCCATTTATAGACCACCCCCCAGGAATGCAATTCTTTTCCTAGGGTCTTAATATTTAATATTCCTTGCTAGGAGAAGAATTTGGTGATATCTCTCCTACTTGCACATCCGTTTATAGGCTCTCTGCAAGAAGAAAAATATGGTTCTATTCTGCCCGACTCTACAGGCAGTCAGACCTTATGGTTGTCTTCCCTTGTTCCCTAAAATCGCTGTTCCTCTGTTCATTTTCAAGGTGCACTGATTTCATATTGTTCAAACACACGTTTTACAATCAATTTGTACAATAGTGGTCCTGAGGTGATGTACATTCTCAGCTTACGAAGATAACAGGATTAAGAGATTAAAGTAAAGACAGGCATTAGAAATTATAAGAGTATTATTTGGGAACTGATAAATATCCATGAAATCTTCACAATTTATGTTCAGAGATTGTAGTAAAGACAGGTGTAAGAAATTATAAAAGTATTAATTTTGGGAACTGATACATGTCCATATTAAAATGAAATCTTCACAATTTATGTTCCTCTGCCACAGCTCCAGCTGGTCCCTCTGTTCGGGGTCCCTGACTTCCCGAAACACTTAAGTACCTTGATTTTGCCCAACTTATCCAGGAGTCTATGGCAATAGAGAATCAACATGTACAAGGGAAATATTGAATAACAAAAATATTGTTTAACTCAGTCACTGAACAAGGTACATAATTTTTTAACTAAATTCTATGTGAGATCTGGAATTTGAGATGTCAAGGTCAGGATTTGGAATTTGAGATCAAATGTTGCTGGATATTGCCTGGCTACAACTCAGAAAAGTTGGTGGAATCAGATAGAAGTAGAGAAAAATAAATTTGGAAGATAAAGTGAGTTTATTGCTTACATAACTGATTTAAATCATTTAATGACAGTAAGCAATCTTTTTATGAGATTCACATTGCTGTGGGAAATCACCCAACAATAGTTAACTTGGTACATTGGTCATGTAGGGGAAACTAAAATAAAGTAATGGATTTAGGCAGGCAGCAGTGTTATTTTATTGTATAAATTAGGACTGCATATGCCTTGCTTTGTTCAGATCTCATATCTTTAAATGATTTGCAAGAAGAGAGGCACAAGAATGTTGAGGAATCAAGACTCCAAAAAGGCAGGAATTAAAATAAAATACCCAGGAGAACATCAAGAACAAGGTTTTCCACCAGCTATTACTTCCAGGATGGAATGCTATATGTTAAAAAAAAAAAAAAAGAAGTTTTGGTCAGCACAAGCCAACTTGAGGATGTCTATGTAAGATTACTCCAGTTCCAGGAAAGAGAAGGAATCTCTTTCTTAAAATTGAACCAATCTGTTGACGACCCACTGGATTCCTAAGAGTTTGTCTAATATTCCAAATTATCCATTAATTGTATCCAGACCCTACAGTCTCAATTACCAAGGTAAAAGTTTTCAAAGGAAAAAAACTGGCTTAATTACACGTTTGTTTCTAATTTGGAAGATGTCCAAAGGAATTTTATAAACAAACAAGAATTGGCTTCCTTGAAGAAAATAACTAGTTTGACTCTTCTCATTAGTATCATCATTATCATTTATTACTCTTATGTTATTGCATTGCCTGTTTACTACCAGTATAATGAGACAAGTGATGATCCCAAGTTTAAATATCTGTGGCAGATTTCTTGTAATGTAAAACTGACTGGAAACTTCTAGAAATAAAAAAACAATACATTTCAACCATCAAGTGGAATATAAAAAATAAATTCACTGGTAAAAGAACACATTAAAACTTTCAAAAGAGTAGCAGCTTAAGAGATTTGAAGATTTATAATCCCATTCATAAAGTATGCATGAGTTTCTTCTTCATGTGGCCAAAGGAAAAAGTGTACTGGATCTATTTTATTAGTAGATGCATGAACAGGGATAGGGTAGCTTCTTCCAGGATGATCTGCAGATGCAGCTTTCTAAGGATCAAAGGAGTTGTTCAATTAGGTCAAGTTTGCTGAAGGCCAAGATTTTCTGGACTCCTCACCTTTTCTGCAGGATAAATCTCTATTCATCTTTTACAACATAACTCAGGTGTAACCTCCTCTGGAAGGTGACTTTGCTGTCACCTTCTCCACATCCTCCCAAAACTCTACCACTCTCTTCTGTGTTATATTTGTATTTTGTACATATACTTGGTCACTGGTCTAATCAAACAGCATTACAATCTGTTCCTCATAGGTCTTGCTCCTCGATTAAATTTCCTTCATTTATTTTATAAACATTTATTAGACACCTGCAGTTTCAGACTTGCACTGTGGAGTCCTTGAGAACAGACACAATGTTTTATTCATGTCATTCTCTTCAAAACTTGCCACAGTGCCTGGCTCCTGGTAGGTGTTTAGTAAATATTTGCTAAGCTGAATTCCTATGCCATCTCTGTTTGCTCTTATGTATGATGGCTTCTATTGGATCTGTAGTGAGATAATTTAAGAGTAGAAATATGTTTAGTGGCTAAACTTCCTCAAATATAAATCACTAACTAAGAAAGGGGGAATTCTGAATATAATATTTTTTATTAGCATAGATTCAGCCACTTTTCCGCAGATATGTTACTAAAAAATATTCAGTGTGTCATAGGTTAGCAACCTTCTAACATATTCAGGTTTTCACCTATATTTGTGAAGGAAAAAGTTTTAAATCTGAACAGTTAATTTCTCTTTATGCATTCAATTTGAGTTTCCAGAAAGAGAGGGAGGACACTGAAAAAGAGGAGAAAGATTTGGAAGTAGCATATCTACTGTGGTTTTTTATTGATACTTGGGTCCTAACAGGCTAAGGTAAGCCAATGCTTTGAGGAGCATTTCTACAAGCAATTTTTATCTCAGGGGTCATTTTCCTAACTTAGGCTACACAAACATAGAGTTTACGTCTATAGAAGTAATATAGAAGTTCTATAGAGGTAATAGCCTTTTTGCTCTCTTTACTGATCAGAGGCTCTGTGTGTGTGTGTGTGTGTGTGTGTGTGTGTATGTATGTACCCATCTACTTTGGATATGTTTAGAAATGGTCCACATTATTTTCCACCTCTTTAAATGAGAACATACATTTGATAATTATATTTATGATAGTAACTTGAAAGAATTTGTGTGTGTGTGTTTTAAAAAGGTATTTTTAATAATTCATATAGTTTATAATTTTTAACGGAAATTTAATTCTGTTCAAAATGTGAAACTTCTTTATCACTTTCAAGTTCAGAATCTGGAATTTGAGGCCTTATGCTGCTAGACATTTCCTGGCTACACTTAGAAAAAGAGTTGATGGAATCAGATAAAAGTAAAGAAAGAAAGAAAGTAAGAGTCAGTCATTATGTAACACCAGAAAGTCAACGAGAACTAATAACTAAGTCATGAACTAATCATCAATTTGTTGTGTGACCTTGGGTACATTCTCTTCAGTTTCTTCATTTTTGCTCTCTGAGCTGATTGGGCTATTTTGGAGCACTAATTCCATTAAATCTGATATCACAGACAGGCCGCGAGGTCCTCTGTCCTTGACTGACCTTATTATCTACCAAAAAAAATGTTCAGATTTAAAGATTCAGTCAAGATTCTATTTTTTCCTAATGTGATTACTTTTAATCTCAACACAAAATAGCGATTTTCATGTTGAAATCAACAGATGTTTTCCAGCTTCAGTGCACATATACCCTAAAACTTAAAGTATAATAACAATAAAAAAAGAAATCAACAGATGTGAGAGTTCACAAAGAGCTCCTGGTGCACAAAGGCATGAGGGTGGGGCAGGCAAGGACAGAGCCTGGAAGAAGACCAGCAACAGCCAGGTTGGCCTCACAGGGGCTGGGATGCATAGCTTATGTCCAGGTCTGGGCCCCTGAAGCCATAAACTCAATGACTCAAGCTCAGCCTCTGGGCTCTGGAAACTAGAGAATGCCCCAGGAGCTTGAGGTCACTGATGGGCTCCCATGCATCCACACAGGCTGGCAATAACAGAGATTGAATGTTGAAGCTACTCATGCTTTCGCTATTTGGTTATTTTCTATCAGTCAGCTTGGTCTGCACATAGCTAGGCCCTGAAGGACAGATCTCCGAGCCAAGAAAAAGGGCCAACGAGGTTTAGAAATGCTGTGAAGGCATTTGGACGTGGCCTTACAGGATAGAAAATAATTTTGGTATAGGGAGAAAAGAAAAACAACCTTCTAGGCAAAGCCAAATGCATATGTAGTTACAAAGGAATGGTAGGCTAGGAGGCAAGTCAGAAAAAGGATACAAATCTAGGTCACTGTACATCAGGGCTCATGAATGGGGGCAGTAGAAAATGTGGCCTAGAAGTCATATTAGGAGGAAACTCGAACTTTTGGCAATGTAGCACCTGCTCATATAGGGAGCAGTGAGGTGGCACAGCATGTTTGTGAACAGTCCAGTGTACTAGTTTCCCAGGGCCAGTGTAAGACCCCACCACAAAGGTAGTGGTTTAAACAATACAAATCTATGATCTCACAGTTCTGAAGCTCAGAAGTCTCATGAAATCAGTGTCAGCAGGATTGCATTCTCTCTGGAGGTTCTAGGGGAGAATCCATTTCCTTGCCTTTCCCTTCGTCTGGAAGCTTTATGTGTCCTCTGGCTCATGGGCCTCTTCCATTCTTCAAATCCAGCAGTCACATCAATCTGACCTCTGCCTCCTTCCTCACATCTTCTTCTCTGACTGACCCTCTTGCCTCCCTCTTTCTCTTATAAGGACTCTTGTAATTATATTGAATAATAAAATCCCAAGATAATCTCCCCATTTCAAAACCCTTAATTCTGTCTGCAAAGTCTTTTTTTTGCTATATGTATGGTAACATTCACAGGTTCCAGAAATTAGCATGTGAACATATTTTGTGGTGGTGGTGGGGTCACTATATTTCCAACCAAACCCAATTACAGACAATGAAACCAAGCTGAAATAACGTTAATAGCAAACATTTGTTGAATTCATATTCTATGCAAGGCATCAAGTACCTCACATATGTTAGCTCAGTTAATCCTCAGAACAACCTTTTGATGTATCTAACACACAGAGAAGTTAAATAATTTAGCCAAGATCTCATAGCTGGGAAGGACCAGGTCAGTGGTATAAACCCTGGCCATTTAGTGCCAGAAGCCACAATTGTAAACACTCCATGTGGTCACTTTTGAAGAAATGTAAGAGAACTGGTGAATTGTTTGAAGAAGAATCTTTGCTCCAATAATCTTTCTTTTCCTGTCATATGCTTAAACCTATGCCTTTATTAGTATTGAGAAATTTTTCCTACAGAATATAAAGAGTAATAATACCCTAGAGTTAGCAACCCTTCAGTAGTGTTTGCCCATATTAGTGTCCTCAGCAAAACATAATGCTGCTACAGAACAATAAGATAATGACTGTCTCACAGTCAGTTGGAGTCTGAAGCTCTGGTCTAATTACTATTTAGATACTCAAGTGTGATGCAGCATAAAGTATCTACTTGGAAGGGAAATGGTTCTTAATTGCCTTCTATTCTGCTCCCCCCAGTTTGAAGAATTGGAAGAAGGGTTTTGATAGGTTTTCTTCTGAAAACCTAATTGTCTTACATTTAGGGATGGTTTTGATATAAATTGACTTCCTTCAATTGATAATGTTTGTTAAATACAGTAGATTCTAGAAGAAAATGAAAAGGCAGAGAAAGTAGCCCAGAAGAAAATTCACAATGAGCTGCTGCTGCTGATAAGATACACAGGGTGTTTCTGAGAGAATCTTTAGAGTTGGAAGAATTAAGTTACTGCTCTGGGTACCTATTTTTTAAGGCAAATATGTATTTGCCTAATCCAATTTCAGCATAATTCATATCCCTGTAACACTCTGAGAACACTGGCATATGGTGACATGAGATATAAATTGGGAGTATGATTAAAAATCACTGGCATTTCGATTTCAATTATATTTCACAAAATAGACTCCAGGGAAAAATTTCACAAGAGAGACCACAACCCACTGCAGGATGAGAGTGAAGAAAATTCTTCTACAAATCTGCATGCATGTGTGTACACACACACACACACACACACACACACAAACACACACTGCAGATCTGAGCAGGCACCTTATTCCCCAGATGAAGTCCTACAACTGGCTTTTTCTCAGTAGCCAGTCAAGTCTACTTGGTTTGACTTGAAGCTGAAGACCAAAGGTTCTCAGAAGCCATCGTGATGATATATGTTGAACAAAATAACAGCTCATTTTTCTAAAATTTTGGAATCAGAAGTGGAATCTAATCCCAACTATTACTGTTCGACTTTGGGCAACTTAGTTAATCTTTCTTCAAAATGACCTTGAAGAATAATTTTGAAGAAAAAGTGAGAAAAAGTAAATTTGGTGACACATAGTAGGAGCAAAAACATAATGGATTTTAAGTCAGCAAAACTTTGCTTAGTACTTAGGTCAGGTATCTTGTTGTATTCATCTTTATGTTCCTAGAGCTTGGCAGGATTTCTGGCATATACCAAATGCTCAACATATTTTCAGAATTGAAAATAAAGATTTAGGCTTTTCATTTTTCTACTTCTAATGCATCTTTAACTCTTCATGGAGATATTGCTCCTGAGTGATATAAAAGGGGAAAGGTGAAAAGTAATCATTAAAGATTTTAAGAGCAAAAATAAATTCTTCCCTCCTTAATCTTGACAGATGGGAATTTCAAGTTCCTCATTTTGTTTTAAGGCACTAATAAGGAGTTCATAAATCTCAATTACCTCTGTGGAGTTAAAAGCAGCCGCAGGTCTTCTAAGCATGATTCCAGTCTCCGAACAGCTCTAGTACCTTTATTAAAACACTGGAGGAGGAGAAAGGCCAAGTAATATTTCAACCTTGAACTGACATTACAAAAGTGAAAATTTCCTTTTCATTCAGAGTGAAGGAGGAGCATGGATCAGGCCAGGGCACCTGCAGGATGCTGTGTTGCACATTAAATTGCACATTACCAGCATCTTGAGAATTGGCCTCAATGATTTTCTAGCATTGACCAATCTCCATGCATAATCAATGAAGAAATCAATTAATATTTATGTCCCTAACAAAACATACTGCCTTTTTTTCCTGCTACCTACACACACACATTTTTTTTCTCAGATTTACAAATTAAAATTTTAGGAAATTGTTTCTCTCCATTACTCCCTGCTGTGATTTGATTGTGTCCTCCAAAGTGTATGTTTCTAAAACTTCATCTCCAATACAACAGTGTTGAGTGGTAGGGCCTAACAGGAAGTGATAAGGACATGAGGGCTCTGCCCTCATGAATGGATTTATGCCATTAACTTGAGGGTGGATTATTTATTGCTGGAGTGGGCTTATTATAAAAGCAAGCTCAGCCCCTCTTACTCTCTTGTCCTTATGGTTTCCACCATGGGATGATGCAGCACTAAGGCCCTCACCAGATGTGGCCCCTCAACCTTGTACTTCCCAGCCTCCAGAATTGTAAGAAATAAATTTGTTTTCTCTATAAATTACCCAGTCTGTGGTATTCTGTCATAGCAACACAAAATGGACTAAGATATTCCCTAAAATTCAATCAGTCCTTAGTTCTGGTTGATTCTACCTCTCCAATGTCTATCAAGTTTGTCCATTCTCTAATTGGTCTGCCCTGAAACTACTTTGCCACACTTATTTCACATTTTACTAATCCCTCCTTCCTCCATGCACTCAGGCTATACCTCAGGCTGTTTTCTTTACCTGGGTATTTTCCCTCCCAAATTCAATCCCCAGTCCCTCTTATTTGATGTTATCCATGCATCAAGATTCAATTCAAACCTAAAGTTCTCTACTTCTAAATAGAATTAAACATTCTATTCTCTGCTGTCCTTCATCTCTTAGGCTTCATTGTCCTATAGTTATTTGCATCCAAGAGGCAATATGATGTAGTGGAAAGAGCAGGCACTCTGAAGTCAGAGAGTCATAGATTAATAAGCTCAGCTCTGTCACCCCTTAGCTGTGGAAGTTTGAGTAAGTCAGTAAACCTCTCTTGAATTCAGTTGTTTTCTTATCTATAAGAATTGCATGTCAATGCTCACCTCATAGGGTTATTGCGAGGATCAAAATAAATTAAATATGTTAAATGTACTAAAGTGGTACATAGCAGGTAATCATAAACCACTTGTTGTTGTTATTATTATTACTGGTATTACTACCATTGTGTTTTTATTGCCTCCCACAAGAATATTAGCTGAGAATAAGAATTATAACTTCATCACACTTCTATGATTTATAGCACCAGGCCCACTGATTTTCGAATCTTAGTGCTCAACAAATATTAATTAAATTAATTTTGAGTTCTTCTTCTGAGACCACTGCTATCTAACATACGTTGTGTGACATTTATAAGGAAGATATTAATCTCCATAGTTAAGATGATAATCATAGTAATTCACAAGATTGCTTTGGGGATTAAACAAAACAATATTTATAAATCATAAGGTGCTATACAAATGTTGGAAATTCTTTAGGAGAAAAAATGCTACATAAAGGAGATCTTAAGAAGTGGATCTGTTTAAAGGTAAGGTGAAAAGAAGTATTTGAGGAGCAAGTAAAATTGAGCACCTGAGCGGAGGTCTCTGTAAGTGCCATATACCAAGAGGCGGCAAGGAGACCAGTCTAATGCACATAGAGATGGTACAAAGACCAGCAAGTAGTTTGGTATTTTGCTGGGCAGGGAATAGTGGCGGTGGCTCCTCTTCCTGCAGGGTGACAGGTGAGAAAACTCTGGTGAATCCAACACGAAGAGTCAATGCACACGGAAGGTTGGGACATTCCGTTCTGGGTCTGGGAACCCATAGGAGTTCTGTTTGAATGTCAGACAGGATATGAAAGAGCATATTCAAACTATGAGGCAGAGGTAGTGGATACCTTGAAAACAATCTCATTAATTAAAACTGATTAATTACTAAAACGGTTTTTAACCATGATGCTAGGCCCTAGTGTTACAGAAATGAGTGAATTCACATTTCCTATCTTCACAATCTAGGGGAGGAAACAAATGTTTAAATTATCAAGTGCAATAAAATTTTCTGAATGTTATTATAAAATTCTGTTTGGGGTTGAGCAGGAGTATGGTGAAGCAAGTATTTGATGTTAAAAGAAAAACTTGAGACAAATTAAATTTAGTGGTGTTTATTTGAGCAAAGAATGACTCATGAATTGAGTACCACTAAGAACTAGGGGAGGTTCAGAGAGCATCGCCCAGCAATGTGGGCAGGCAGTATTTGTACAGAAAAAGGATGTGGGATAGAGAAATAGCTTAATAGGTTACAGCTTGTCATTTGCCTTTTATGGAAATGGTCTGATCAGTTGGCAGCTTTAATTGGCTGAAGCTCAACTCCTATGATTGGCTGAGATTCGGCTGTTTGTTGCAAGAATATACTCTGAGGTTGCATTTTATTTACATATTAAGTTAGGTTTCAGTTTTCTATGTAGGAATTCAAAGTATGAAGGGAGCTTTAGGTCAAATTTAAGTTAAATTAACATCAGTAATTCTTGGTAATAGCAACAGAGGTTTCATAAATATTATAATCCCTAATTTTGCGGTAAAGCATGGGGAAAGGGTGTAAAAGGAAAATAAGCAGCAGGAATGCAGGACGGTATGTTGTGTTAATTGCAACAGTTTGATTTAGCTAAGTGAGGTAGAAGCAGTGAGAGGTGCAGCTGAAATGACTGACAGGGATGAGACCATGGAGAACCTTTTATAACAAGAAATGTAGACAGGGTTTCCACCAGTAGGTGATGGGAAGCTACTGAAGGATTTTAATCAAAAGAATAATATGAGCCGATTTGTGTTTTAAAAAGATTGCAATGAAATGGAGGCAGTAAATGGTCAATGCTATTTTGTTAATTAATGGAAGAATGAATATGTAGTTTTTCTTTTTAAGCCCTTCAAACATCCCACACAGTGGTAGGTATTCTGCAAGTCAAAGGAGATGTGTTTATACAAAATATTTCCTCAGAGGCCAGTAAGGGCTGGATTAGTTGCGTAAAGCTCCATAAGGAAAGAAATATTTGAGTTGGGCTGTGAATATATATCAAGAGAGCGAATTGAGGAGGAAGTAAAATTGAGCACCTGAGTGGAAGTCTCTCTAAGTGTCACATATTACACTTATTATCTAATAAGAGAGAAGGGAAATATGGATACTAAACCTCTCCAAATCTGATTCCTCATCTGTAAAATGCAGACGATCATAAAGGCTACCTTATGTAACTGTTAGGAGTAAATGATTGAATGCATATTAAAAAGTAACCATAATTCCTAGCACACAATATGTTTTTAATCAGTGGTATTTATTCAAATGGAAGGAGATGAGTAGATTTGAGATGTACTGGAAAAATGCAAGAGTTTTAAGTCAAATTAATTAATATTTTGTAGGACTAACCATGAGCTAGTCTTGGTACAAAGTCTTTTCTGTGTATTACCCCTGTAACAGATTTATGGGTTTGGTACTATTATTGTTTCTTTTTTATGCCTGAGAAACCTGTGTTTTAGAGATAAGTACTTTGTTCAAGATCAGATAGCTATAAGAGGCAGAGCCAAGACTGAAACAATCTGTCTAATTCCAAAGTTTATTGTCTCAACCACTACCTTATACCAGCTCTGATATTTACTTGCTGTAGTACCATGAGCAAACTTTAGCCACTATGGGCCAGTTGCTTCACTCACTTCCTCTACCCCGTGAGCATACCACCGCACAATATTTCTCCATTACAACTGAGATTGGCCGTATGATGGAGTTATGGCCAAAGGCATATGAGCAGAATTAATGTATGCTGTAACTGCCAGAATTAGTTGAGTCAGAGTGAGTGGGTGTTAGCCACTGTTGACAACATTTTTAAAGACACTACAATAAATGAACTCAAGTAAGAATTGAGTAGTTTAGAAGCAGAAATAGAAGAGAATGGAGAAAATTCAAAGATACAAATTCACAGAGTTAGAATGCCAACTTTTTTGGTTCTAAGATACTATATTTAATTAATTATAAGACATACACTTTTCACATTTTAATATATTTGACTATGGAATGGTCCTTAAAATTTCCATCATCTCATAGTCGCTGTTGACTATGTGATGACTGTGACACAGTTGTCATTGCCTGCACATGTGTAAGCTTGCTACTTATTCCTATGCTTTATTGGATAACAACATCTCTTAAATATTTCAACCAATAAACCATTAATGGGAATTGGAGGAAGAAATATGAATAAAGGTTGTATGTGAATGCCTTCTCCTGACAGGTGGATAAAGCTTCTATAAAATTAAAAACAAAAATGAAAAATGTGTCAGCATTAAAACATATACAGCAATTATTACTAACTTGGAAGAAAATCTTGGGGACAATAATGGAATACTTTAAAAAAAAAGTACCGTCAATACTTTCCATGACATAGAAGATGATATTGCATGAAAAAAACACAGGTATCCAGAAATATTAGTCAGAAATTGATTTTTAAAATTTAACGGTGAATTCATAGAATTTTTGAAATGATGTAACCAATTTCCTTACTTTCATTTGCCTCATGATGTATTTATAAAATGATATATAATATAAAAATATATGTCTAAACTTCCTTTCTAATAAAGCTGAATAAAGTCCTATCAAACAATCTTCCAGGGAATAACAAGTATAAACTTCATAAAAAGCATAAAACACACTGTAGGATTAAGAAAAGACACTGAAAAACAATCAAAAGGAGGTATATTTTAGAGAGGGGTTGACAACTTGGAAGAATACAATAAGATGAATTTATTAGTCCTATAGTTTTAACCTGAGAGAAGACCTCAAACAGTTCACTTTATACAGAAAACCTGCATTTTTTTCTAGACTAGAGAGACTCAGACAACAGAATTTACATAAACCATAGCAGCTGTAAAGTGAAGAGAAACTTCCAGAAAAATGAGAGAAAGAGCTCTAACTTCTATGCATATACTCTGCTCCAAACCTCTGGCTGAACTCCAAGTTTTGCATACACAGGGAAAACTTCAGGCTCTCAAGCTAAGGACAAATGAACTGAACTAAGGTTGGAGCTACCAATGGAATGCCAACAGAAAGACAGTTTGAGCCCAATCAAGTAAATTGCCAGCTAAAAACCACCAGAAAAAGAAGATTTTTTAGGAATACTACAACAGAATCTAAAGTTTTCATCACATAAAAATTCCAACGTCCTAGATATCATAAAAAAATTCTTCACACAAAAAGAGACAGGAAAATATGATCTTTGAATCAGATAGATGAGAATTTAAGTCTTAGGACTAGCCATGGGATCTTGGACAAGTTTCTGAATTTTGCTAAGCTCATAATTTCTTATCTAAAGTATTTTTAATTTTTTTTAAAAAAATCTGAAGTCAACCTCATTTTATGAAGTTTTGTCAGAATCACAGGCAATAATGCATAGAGTACCTGCCACATAATAGCATTAATCTGATATTAATAAAGCACTTGGTCAACTCAGAGGAGTAGGTTGGAGCTCATCTTCCAAAGATATTAATTAGTGATATTTATTTAAACTAATTAAATTACCAGAGAGAAATTCAATGACGCACGTTGGACATTGGCTTGACATTATAAGATTTTGACACCATTGATTCCATCTTGAGTTGGATTACATAGAGGAATATGCCTTCTCCAGTTCTTAGGAAATCTAGACTAATATGGTTATCTCCCTCATTCTCAGTGAAATAGTCATTGGAAATTATTCTCTATTTATTAAACGATTTGTTTAGAAAAGAAGTTTGGAAAAAAAGGGAGACTTCCTTGGGAATTAAAATGTGTGTTTGTTGACATTCAAAACATAAAAGATTATAAAACTGATATATTTTAGTGAATATATAGTTTCCCCACCTAGCTTATCTTCTAGTGCTATATTATCATTCATGACCAGAGCATAGTTTCTATTCAGATTGATCAGACTTTCAGAACAGTTGAAGGAAGTAGCTTTCCAGTGATTCTTCAACAGGACAACATAATACATTAGAAATAGTTGGAATATGGAATTAGGTTAGTAGTTGAATCCCAGTTCATTTATTTACTAGCTGCGTAGCTTAGAAAAATGTTTTAAGCTCTTTGAGTCTTGGGTAAAATAAGGTTATAGATATTTCCCTACAGTTCTTTGTATGTATGTATGAGTGTGTGTGAGGGCAAAGTGAAATAATAAGTATAAAGGTGCTTTATAGGTGCTTACACTTTCCATTGATGAAACACCAAGAGGCAAGACTGTCAAGTTCAGATGTACTATGGCCGGAAAAAAAGTGAAAAAGTTTGGAGTCTTTTCTAAATCCTTCTCATCTTTGTTTCATATTCACTCCCCAGATAAGAACCAGGGTGATTTTAATAGCACATTACTCACCTCATCTCTTCCTTTATTCCTTATCTTTCCTCAGAGTTCACCTAGCTTCACAGGAAAGTCTAAAGGCAATGCTATGGGTTGAATGGTGTGAACCCTAGACTTTTCATCCCTTTGCCAATGCCAGCTCCAAAACTACCATGCTCTCCCTGGTTATCAACTTCCTAATAGACCACCCTTTTAAGCACTTGATAGTTGCACATGGTTTCCATTTGTCCTAAGTGTTGACTTTTAAATGCCTTTCCTTTTCTTTCTTTTTTTTTTTTTTTTTTGTCTCTTATAGAATCAAAAGGAAAAAGATTTGAAACCCAGCAGCAGGACAGTGTTTCTGATATGCACTGAATGGCTTTGTCATTTTCTTCACTGTTTTTAGGCTGGCTAAGATTTAAACATAAAGTGTCTCCTTTAAAGCATCTCCACTCCTTTAAAACATTATTCATCAATTAGAACACATTCAGCAAGACCACTGATACTTTTCACACCATGAATTGAATTCTCCTTGTAATAGAAAACTAAACCAATGTCTTATTGTCATATCAAATTCAGTTATTTTTGCTCAAGTTCAATTTAGAACAAAGGTCAACTGAAAAACAAAACAAAAGCCAAATAACAACCAGAAGAGAATTTTAAGTTGAGACGGCATGTTGTGTTAACTTGCTAGTAACTAACTGGCCATGCCATCCAGGACTTAATCTTTATTCAAAGTTTTCTGTGATATTGTTTTGTACTGAAGAGGTCCTAGCAGGTTAAAGAAAAGGGTACTCGCTCCATGCTGGGGGACAATGATGGTGAATTCTGGATGACCAATTGGGTCCATGTAGATTCAATCATTTCTTGTTCAAAAACACCTCAATAGGTTCTTTACTGAAATTTTATAAACAAGTCTTCTGTATTCATCTCCCAGGGCTGCCATACCAAATTATCACAAACTGAGTGGCCAACAGAAATGTATTTTTCACAGTTCTGGAGGCCAGAAGTCTGAAATCGTGGTGTGGGCAGGGCTTCTGCCTTCTTGGACCTCTGGGGGAGAATCTGTTTCATGGTTCTCTCCAGCTTCTGGTGGCCATGGGTCATCCTTCCTGTTCCTTGGCTTGTTGACACATCACTCTGATGTTGGCCTCCACCTTCATGTGGGGTTCTACCTGTGTTTCTTCTCTGTTCCCTGTGTCTTCTCTTAGTCTGATAGTGGATTCAGAGCCTGCCCTATTCTAGTTTGATGTCATCATAAATTACATCGGCAAAGACACTATTTCCAAATAAAGTCACATTCTGAGATTCTGGGTGAACCTAAATTATGTGGGACATGACTCAATCCAGTACAGCTTTTCTTGGGAAAAATGAAAACACATGACTGGAATATATGCACAAAGTAATTCTACCCACTTTGATTCTGCCATGTGGTGGAAAAAAAAAATGCCTTGCCTTGGTAACTGAAAAGTACTCACTGCAGTGGCTGTAGCTTTCTTTAACTCCTTGTGTTGACTGGAAGACCACACTTCTAAGTGACTAGGAAAGTTTCCCAGGCCTGTATCCTCTCTCTCCACCTGCTCTTACTTTTCCTGTGGCAACAAGAAGACAGAAAGACTGATGTCAGGTTCTTTCTCAAACAGGACATTAAACTGCTTGGACTCAATAAGAGTCCTCAACTGTGTAGTGCCACCGGCATTATCTCCAAGGGAACCCAAATAATGAATGACAGTACCTTACATATTACTAGTATAGAGAAAGAACTGGATTTATTCTTACCAAATCTAAATATGAGACATTTCTTTCAAGAAGGACCTTATATTGGGAAAAAAAAAAAAAGAGTTGAGTAAATTAGCAGATGATCTGGTAAGAAATGACTCAATTTACAAATACAGTTGAATGAGAATTTCCCACACCACTTTCATGGAACAAACTCTTTGTGCTGCAGAATCGATAACCCATGCTAAGTGTTTAAATGGAATTCATCTGGTCCCCATATAAAATATGCTGATTCTGAGCAACCTCTTGTGCCTAATTCCATATTCTTCTAATTTACTTGCCTCTTTACAGTTTTAAACATATTAGAGATCACAAGTGTACCAGTGAACAAATAGTAATAATGATATCTACCATTATTTATTGAGCACCTACTGTATTCCAGGCACTGTAATTTGCATTCATCATATATTACTAAATTCAATCTCACTGTGAGGCAAGAGTTATTATCACAATTTTGTAAATGAGGAAATTTAGGCCTTTAAACACCATGTTTTTTTTCCATCATGCTACACTGCCTTACTATTCCTGACATACATATGGGTGAGATGTCTTATAAGGCCTACTCAAAATACTGGCCCCTATCTCATCAGGATCACAAAGTTAATAGTTTCTAATGTAACATTCATATCATTTGTCAAATTTTTGTTATTCCCTTGAACAAAAAGTGAATTACTTAATCTCTCCAAAGCCTCAGTTTCCTCACCTGTCAAGTAGGAAAAATAATGCTCATCCTCCAGGGTGGTCATATAGAAGGTTGCCATAAGAAGAGTTCAATAAATTGAGGTTATTATGTTCACTGTGCTTTAGCAACTGGTCCACCCTTCAGAGAGGCTACTCTCACACCTCTTTCCCAAAATATCATGTCATAGTCATCACCTGTCCCTGAGAGCAGGGTGTGCAGGTGATAGGAGATGGAGCTGGGAGAGAAGGGGCTTAGGGCCACAGATAATCTTCAATAATTCCAACAAGTTCTTGAAATCACCTTGTGAGCATGTAAATTACTCTGTCCTTCTACTCAAATTTCCAGATGGTGCTGAGTTAGGATAACTTAGAACTCACAGCTTCTGCTGCTGGACAGGAGAGAGGCAGCTGGGGGCAGACAGCAGGACCCCAGCCATATATATTCAAGGCACCTCCAAGATCTAGCCTAGTGACTTCTTTATTAATTATACAAATAAAGTACTCATTGAGAATAAATATATTGCAACAGTAAGCTGCAGCAGGAAAATTTTGTTCACTGATTTCTCAGTTTAAATCTATAACATATGAATCCCTCTGCTCTCACAGACTCTTAGATTTGAAAAATACTTTAGAGATCATTTCATTTAAAAATAAATATTCACTTTATGGAGAGGGTAATTAGAGCTCATGATTAAATGGTTTGCCAAAGATCACATAATTAGACAGAGCTAGACCTAGAAACTCAGTTTTATTTATTTATTTTTAAATATGAAGATAACCTCAAGACAGGGTTTCTCAACCACAGTGCTATTGACATTTGGGGCTGGATGATAATTTGTTGTGGGGGGATGTCGTGTGCACTGTGGGATGTTTAGCAGCCTCTCCCTGCTCAAGAGATGCCAGGAACAACCTCCAGCCCCTCAGCATCACAATCCAAAATGTCTCTACACGTTGCCTGTGAGTAAAATTGCTCCAGTTGAGGATGACTACCTTAAGACTTATTCTGGAAATCAAATGAAATAATGAGCATGCTTCATAACGAATTGTTGCTTAACAATGAAGTGTTGGACATTTACCAGTGATTATTAGGTCCAGGGATTCTGTTCCTGAGTGTTGTTTTCACTCTCTCATGCAGGAAGTACTTGCACAAGGGTGAGATAAACCCCCAGTGTGCAAAAGGGAACAAGAGAGTTCATAGAGCTCATGTGGCCTTTGGAATTAAACCATGGGATCAACTCAGAATGGATGAGATCAGATGTCTACTTATGCCTATTATACCCTCGCCTATTCATCTTCAGTCCATTAATTCTCAAGCAGCCCCTCTTCAAGGAAGCTTTTCTGAAGTCTTCACCCTGGGTCTGGCGTTGGTTGCCTTCCTCTGTATTCCCAATCTCCCTATACATTTCTTAACTGCTGCACTCACCACATTGAGCTATAATGATTTGTTTACGTGCCTGTCTCTCCCTGTAGACATGGGTCTTAGAGGAAATGATTGTGTTTTATTTGTCTTTATATACTTACCAACTCATGCAATGCATGACTTATAAGATGATCAATTAATATTTGATGAATAGGTAATAGAGCAATGCAGCGATTTTTAAAAATAAAATGAGTAAGAGTTCTCCTTTCTCCATATCCATGCCAGCGTTTTTTATAATCGCCATTCTAACTGGGGTAAGATAATGTCTCATTGTGGTTTTGATTTGCATTTTCCTGATAATTAGTAATGTTGATAATTTTTTTCCATATACATGCTGGCCATCTGTATGTCTTCCTTTAAAAACCTTTATTCAGATCTTTTCCCCATTTTAAATCAGATGGTTTGTTTTGCTATTGAATTATCTGAGTTCTTTATATATTCCAGATATTAACCCCTTGTCAGATGAGCAGTTTGCAAATATTTTCTCCCATTCTGTAGATTGTCTTTTCTCTCTGTTGATTGTTTCCTTTCCTGTGCAGAAGCTTTTTAGTTTGATGTAATCCCACTTGTCTATTTTTGCTTTTATTGCCTGTGCTTTTGGAGACTTGTCCAAAAATTTCTTGTCCAGACCAATGTCATGAACATTTATTCTATGCTTTTTTTCTATTAGTTTTAAATCTTTGGGTCTTACACTTAAGTACCTAATCCATTTTGAGTTGATTTTTTTGTGTATGGTAAATTGTGTATATAGTATGTTGGTGGTAATGTAAATTAGTACAACTGTTATGAAAAATAATAGGGAGGTTTCTCAAAAAACTATGACCCAGCAATCCTACTACTAGGTATATATAACCAAAGAAAATACAATCAGTGGCCTGGCACGGTGGCTCACGCCTGTAATCCCAGCACTTTGGGAGGCCGAGGCAGGTGAATCACGAGGTCAGGAGATCAAGACCATCCTGGCTAACATGGTGAAACCCTGTCTCTACTAAAAATAAAAAATAAAATAGCCGGGCGTGGTGGTGGGCACCTATAGTCCCAGCTACTCAGGAGGCTGAGACAGGAGAATGGCGTGAACCTGGGAGGCAGAGCTTGTAGTGAGCCAAGATCGTGCCACTGCACTCCAGCCTGGGCAACAGAGTGAGACTCTGTCTCAAAAAAAAAAAAAAAGAAAGAAAGAAAGAAAGAAGAAAATACAATCAGTATGTCAAAGAGATATCTATAGTCTCATAATTATTGCAGCACTATTCAAAATAGCCAAGATATGCAATCAACCTAAGTGTCCATCAACAGATGAACGGATAAAGAAAATGTGATATATATGCACAAAGGAATACCATTTGTCCATAAAAAATACTGGAATCATGTTATTTGTCATAGCATAGATGATCCTGGAGGACATTGTTTTGCTGTTGTTGTTGTTGTTGTTGTTGTTGAGACAGAGTTTCTCACGTCGCCTGGGCTGGAGTGCAGTGGCACGATCTCTGAAGAATATTGTTAAGTGAAATAAGCCAGCCAAGAAAAACGAACACTGCATGATCTCATGCATACACTGAATCTAAAGAAGTTGATCTCATAGAAGTAGAGAATAGAATGGTGGTTACCAGAGGCTGGAAAGTGTAGGGAACTGGAGGGATAAGCAAAGATTGATCAATGGGCCCAAGGTAGAGTTAGATAGGAGGAATAAGTTCTGGTGTTCTATTGCACTGTTGGGTGACTATGGATATTGCATATTTTAAAATAGCTAGAAGTGAGGATTTTGAATGTTCTTACCACAAAGAAATGATAAATGTATTAGGTGATAGACATGATAGGTACCCTAATTTGATTTTTCCGCAAGGTATACATGTATCACAACATCACACTATATCCCATAAATATGTACAGTTATTATGTGTCAATTAAAAACAAAATAAAATGAATGGTAAAGCTTTAGAGATACAGAGTCCATTTACTTTAGATTATGAATAGAGCAAAGAGTTCCCAGGCCAGGCAAATAATTTTCTCTGAATTTAGCTGGACAAAGAAGAAAGTCAGCAGGCAGCTGCCGACAGCATCGATTCAAACAGTGTTCTGAAACATCTCTGAATAAAAAAAAAAAAAAGTGTGCACGTGTATATTATAAGATGAAATTAATCTATAATATTCTATTTTATGGAGGAGTATGTGGTTATAGGGAATACTAGTTAAGCAAGGCTCAAGTAATAATAGATGCTCTCTGAACTCCCTTCTTAGGAAGATAGATCCATTTCCCTGCTGTGTATTATTTAGCCAAGAGGGATAGGCAAGGTTGGACCAGAGAGGAACCCCCTGGAACAACAGAGGCTGAGCACAGCTATTGCCTTCTACTTTTATTGCCTCCCTAACCCACCTCACGCCCATGCAGAGCTCAATTTCTCCTCTCAAGAAGTGGTGAGCAACTATTTAAAGAATATCATTCTAGCTGGACTCAGTGTCTCACGCCTATAATCCCAGCACTTTGGGAGGTCAAGGCAGGTAGATCACTTGGCCAGGAGTTCGAGACCTGCCTGGCCAACATGGTGAAACCCTGTCTCTAATATATATATATATATATAAATTAGCTGGGCATGGTGGCACATGCCAATAGTCCCAGCTACTCAGGAGGCTGAGATCATGCCACTGTGCTCCAGCCTGGGTGACAGAGTGAGACTCTGTCTCAAAAAATAAATAAATAAATAAATATTTTGAAGCAAGACCAAATCATTGGCTTGGCCCCAGTTTTAATGTAATTGGCTGTATTATCACAACTGAATAAAGATCCTGGGATTGTACTGGGAAGAACATAAACAGTGGAAGGTCAGGAAAGGAAGAGCTAGTGAGGGAGACTTTAAAGTAGACATCCAAGGGTCCTGTGGGCCAAAGGTGGCCTGTTGGACCCTTAAAAGCATTTATCATCTTGACAGTGGGCATGGTGACTAAGGCTGATGCATGAAGCCATACTCAATTTACTCAATTTATGAAACTACCAGTCTTTACCCGATTCCAAGTTTACTAGCAACCTTGACTTCCTGTGTACTTTGTCTACAGGGAGTGTATTGTTTAGACCAAAAAGAAGAGTAGGCCTGGCTGACAGTTTTCTTTTTCTTGGTAAATGCACAACATTGTTCCTGGTTTACATAAGTGAATTTACTCAGTAGGAATTGACCTTCCCAAATATGATCAACTCTGGAACATTGGTAAGTTTGAGTTTCTTGACCTGTGGGACTAGAAGGGCTAGATCTGAGACTTCTGTGGTTTCAGCAAAGTAAATACCAAGCGGTGAGGCCTCACCACGGCAACTCTTATTCTAATGTCACATCTGTCCTTGCCAATGCCTTTATCTCCACTTTCTCCACGGAACACTAAAATATCCATCCTTAGGATTCAGTCCAACTGTTTCATAACAAACTGCAATTATAAACTCCTACATGATGTCACAATAGCATCAGTTCAATCATGATTTTCTTGCCAAGTAAGCTCCCCTGAATGTAACTATGATTGTTTTTCTACAGAAACCACTCCATCTGGGATGCATGGGCTCCGAGAGAGCAGTGCATCTCCAAATCTGACAGACATCCAAGACAATTCACTCGAAATTTTGTTGTCATTCTTTTTTCTTTCTTCTTTAAAGTGCCAGTCCTCCCCAAGATTCTGGGAAAGGTTCTGATTTTGTCATTTTAAATCTGTTCTTTCTCTACAAATAAGATCTATTCATTTGCAATTGACAAGTCTTGGAAAATACAAAAGAAAAACTTAGACTGGCTAATGCATTTTTAATATTTATGGGCACAAAGCACATGTGTGTGTTTGGTCTACTGCCTAGTGCTTGGTAGAACTCACAATGTGAAATAATAGTCACTTGAAAAACCTAAAACTTGTAAGGAACAGAATAAACACTTTCCCAGAATACTCTGCAAAATGGTTAGCTCTGTATTACCCTGTGCAGGGTAGATTTGGAAGTGCTGCATGAAGCTGAAATAAACACCTGAGTTATAAATAGTGAGATGATCAACGCAGTTGAGTAAATGTTGAGATCCAGAAACATCTGGTGAGTTTTTACTTTCTCACCTGCCATCTCTCTGCTGTCGTCTTCTTCCAAACAGTGCTCAAATTTGTTTCTTCTAAGCTGGGGGGAAAGAAAATCTCCTGAGCGGTTCAGCAAATATCCCAGTGTTGCTGACAAAACCAAATAACGATTAGTGCCATCTCTTCGTTGACAATTGCTGCCTCCGTTATCAGGGTCTGTCAGCTCACTCCTCTCAGGTGTGCATGCACTTCTGAAACCTGTGTCTCCACCCCTGCCATTCGCTGGGTGCCTCTAATGGGCAGCAGAACATCTTTGTTACTGTGCCTCAGCATGGAGTTGTCAAGGAATATGGCCGTCCCTAGGAAAAGGAAAGACAATAAAGCTTCAGTCATAGGATTTTCACAAAGGCGCAGCCACTTTCAAACCCAAACTACCCGAAGTAAAGGCAGAGCACAGCTGCACCTTCCCAGTGATGGGGCCCAGGAAGTGTCAGCCACATCTGTTAGCTCCTGTTTGGTTTCGATAGCAAACCTGCCAGAGTTCTCCATCAGCAGTTGTTCAGCCCCGCTGAAGCTGTCATCTCACCAGGTAATTGAGCTACCTATGATGCTCCACATCACACTTTATTGGGGGAATATAACACTGTGGTGGAGAGTGTTTAAATATTTTTCCCATGGAAGTCACATAGTAACTATTGTGGCTGAATTCTTAAACTTCTGTTTTGTAATGACTGCTATTTGTATTGCATTTCTTAATTTATAAATCACTCTCCTATACATTATCTTTTCATTTTAGTCACCAACCAGTAAAAGGTGACTATTATTATATAAGTGCAGAAATAAAGAGGATAAGTAAAATTTGCCTGTGATTACTCAAAAAAGAGAGAGCCAAGACTCAAATCCTGGACCTCCAATTACAAATCTTGCTCTCTTCCAATCTTGGAACTTATAAAGTCTAAGCAATAAGAAGGCACAGCTCAGCAGCTGGGGTTCCCAGGTTCTAACTTCATTTGTTAGGCCTTGTACTCTCCTGCAAAAATTATCCTGAAAATATCTAATTTGGACCTGAGATATTTTTGAGGATTACTGAATCTGCACATTATACAACGTATGCAGGCACACACATGCCCCCTTAACATATATATATGTGTGTGTGCGTATTAAACTATTGAGCTTTTAAAATTTTCTCAAGCAAAACCATAATAGACAAGTTGGAAATCTGTATAGTACTTGAGAATGAAGATGAGAGATGTGTGGCTCCAAGAACTAGGAGATATAGAAGATACCAGATCCAACGTAGCTGCTCCTGGACCAGATCTTACTCAATGATGTTGGCACATCCAAAGAAAGAATATTCCATTTTAAATGAATGGTGAACACAAAAAACAAACTGAGAAGGGAAAACTGCCATTACTCTGGTGGGGGAGAAACTAGAGGACCATTCCTTGCAGGGAGGTGGGTGCCAAAATGCTTCGCCCAGCAAATAATAGTTGCAGCAGGCTTGGTGCTGTGTCTGAGTCTGCAGAGATAAATGAGGCATGGAGGTGTTTTCCTGGAGCTCACAGAAAATAAAGCAAGCAGCTAACAGACCACTGTGGTGCAGTGTGATAAGTACAATGAGAGGGGCACTCAGAGAGCCATGGGAAGCCAGCAGACGGACATCAGTTCAATCGGAGCATTCCAAGGGTTTAAGAAAGAATCTAGGAACAGAAAATTCTGGGAAAGGAAAACAGTAAGTGTGTCATGAACACAGTATAATGAATAAAGAGCATTGATCAGATCTCTGTGTCTGGAGTGAAGGGTGCTTGGGAGGAAGTGATAAGAGATGGATTTAGAAAGATAATCTGATGTTGGTCATGAGGTTTTCCTACTGGACACCAGGCCACGGAGGAAGGGGTGGGGATGGACAAAAGTTAAGTCTTTTAAGCTTAAATTTAAGGGGTATCATCAAATTGCTTTTTAGGAATATTCTTAGCAGTGCACTTAGGATGACTAGAATTGGGTGAGATTGGGAGGCTATTTGCAGCAGGTCTGAAGAGATACGCTGCAGGTTTGAAGTCAGGAGGTTGCACTAGCAATGGAGGAAAGCGGCTGTGAGTGAGTGACAGTGTGGTGTAGCCACCCAGCCTGGAGGCTCTGCTGTGTCCTTTCTGCACTCAGACCACATCCACAGAAGCCAAACTGGGCCCACTGAACTGCCTCACTATCTTCCATCCTGGACCACAGTGAGCCATGCCAGGAATGGGCACCTGACTAAAGCTGAACCAGTCAGAAGGCTTCTGCAAGACTTTTCAGCCTTGAGCTGGGGGAAAGAAACTCCTTTACCTATTAAGACTTACAGCAGGCAGCAGACATTTCTCGAATGAGAAGTGACCTCTTTACAGTAGGTGAGAATAAAAGTGACACACTGAACACAACAAGAGTCCAGAGATGGAAAACAAACTTTTTGGATTCAGATTCTACAATCCCAGATACGATAAAACCACATCAGCCTTGGGCATGCCATCGAGGCTGATTATACCCTCCTTTTCTGCTCGTTTCTTTTATTTGGGATTTAGTCATTTGCAACTCTTTTAGGTTCTTAAGTTAAATACTGGGAACGAGACGAAGTGGGACAGAACTGGGAGACCTGAAAAAATGGAATTATGGGACACAGAAACAAGAAATGTGGCTGGTGCATCAAGCTTAATATAGAGTATATCAGGGTTTGGCAATTTCTTTCTGTAAAGGACAATAGTAAGTATTTTAGGCTTGGAAAGCCATACGATCTCTCTTCAACTACTCACCTCTGCTGCTGTAACATGAAAGCAGTCAGACATATGTAAATAAATGACAATGGCTATGTTTCAATAAAACTTTATTTACAAAGACAGATGGCTGGTCAGATTTAGCCTGTAGTCCATAACTTTCCAGCCCCTAACCTGCACAGTTTACTTTCTTTTGCATTAATTCCAAGCTTATCAATTACTCTCTTTTTGCCAAGTGTAGCTCTCATATTACCTTAATATTGAGATGAAGGGGTATTATGGATTAAAGGGACAGCCACCTTCTTACCTGGAAAAGGACATCTCTGATGATCTGTTTAAAATTTGGCATCTCCTTTGTATACCAGTCTTTCAGTACATGAGTGAATATTTGGCCCCAAGTGTTAGCTATCTGTGGATATACGAAGGAAGTATAGGCTCTGGCCCCAGAAGCCTAGGTACCAGAACCCAGGTGATGTCAACTTCATTGAGGCAATGCCCCCAGAGAGGTGGCCTGCCTTCTCCTCCTCATGTCCCCTCTGCCACACAAAGGGCCACCTCCTCTCTTGCAAACTTTATCAGAGATTGCATTGTAATAGAAACAATGTTCCTAGTGACTTTGTAAGAAGCAGCAGCATTAAGAAGCATCCTGATATCCTATTTCCTATTTCCAAGAAGTTGAATTTACCCCCTGCCTACTCTTTCTTACACTTTCTGTTCCATCTTAATGGTTTTGACCTTCTGTTCACCCTGTTTCAAACTGTTAAAAAGTGCCAGATGCTAGATTGTTGACTTTGGGCATATCTCTTAGCTTCTCTGAATGCCATGTGCCCATCTGCAAATAGAGGAACTAATCTCTATCTCACAGGGTCACTTGGAGAGTTAAATTAGATAACAAATATGAGAATGTCCATCACTGCAGTGTCTGGCCTGTAGTGCTCTGTGCACACACCATGGTCCTGGAGGGCAGCAGGTGAATTATGCAGCGTCCATGGTCCTTGAACAGAAGCCCCCATAGAGAGATGCTCAAGGATTATTCATTCAATAGGTTGTTTATTCTGCACATGTGGTCTGGGACCCACTGGAACAGGATTGAACTGACACCCTGCATGACTGTGAAGAAGAAAATCTAGGGAAACCCAGGCATGAGTGCTTTTGTAAATAAATGTAGCAACAGATGGGTGGAGTTAGATATTTTGTCAACATAGAAATCACTTTCCCAAAGTGAGTTTCCCCATCTAAGGATAGCACTCTTAATTTCTACAATTAAAAATACCTGCCATATGTTAAAGTCTCTTTTGTAGCAGCTTTTAAGTGAAACTATACATTCTCCAGAATTGTTTGGTATGTTAAGGCAATTGGAATTCAACAAGTCAGGAGAACTGGATTGTGGTTCACCCTGCCCTGGCTCTCAGCAAGGTGCTCTGACAGAGCACTCTCCACTCCAGACCTTATTTTCTTGTGTACAAGTGCACAACTAGATGATTTTTAACACCCTCTGTGTAGTCAATGTCTGACTAAAATATACTGCATTGCATAAAGATGAGACTGAAGAAGAGAGTAACTTTCAGAGAAAGATCCTGTGCATGTCACTGTTGCAGTGGAGTATGAGGGTGTGTATGTGGGAGTTAGGCAGTATGTGTGTGTTCGGGGGAGGCAGGGTTCAGAAGGGTACGCAGTTTGGGTGCAGCCTTCCTAGAATCACCCAGACAGTGACTTAGCACCATGTTCTCCAACTTTGGAGTTAGAGAGGGCAGTGAACTCCCAATGAATATAGCTCAGATGCCTTGTCAGTGACCATGCGATGCCATGACCTTCAGAGCCAGGCAGACCTGGATTCAGATCACAGCTTAGCCGTTTATTTCCTTTGTGAACTTTAGAAATTTATCTAATCTCTCTGAGTCTCCGTGAACTCATCTTAAACATGGGCATCATATACTGCATACTTTCCAAGGTTTGTATGATGATAATGAGTTTTGAATGATGGCTCATGTCACATGACAGGCCCTCAACAAATGCTAATGATGACAAATTCAGTGCTGTGTCCACCCCTTCTCCCCCTCTGCTGCCTGCTCTGTAGTCTGGGTGCTCACTGCCTCTTACCTGGATCATAGCATTAACCTCCTAGTTCCCCCCCAATGCCAAGCTCCCTCCTACCCCAACTGCTTCTCTATAGCAGTCTCCCAAAGTGTGTTTTTATCCTTAAAACTTTTCACTAGTTTTCCACTGCTTAAAAAATAAAGCCAAAACCTAATAATATGGCAAAATCCTTTTAAAATCTTTTAGCCCTCATGCCGCCTTCATACTAACCCTATTTTAGCCTTCCTAGGCTGCCCATATTTCCCCACGGAAGCCAAGCTCTCTCACTTCCCAGCCTTTGTTCAAAGTTCTCACCCCTGCAATGTCATCACTGTCCTTTATCACTCACAGAAATCCCATTTTTTCAATAAATAGCTTCAAGTAATTTCTTCAAGAAATATTTTCTCAAGCTAAATTGTCACTTCATTCATCCGTTCACCATTCAGTGCCACTACACATTTGTTGACTATCTGCTATGTCAGAAACCATGCTTGTTAATAGGAATATAGAAATTAATCACCCATCTCAGCTTTTGAGAGTGCCAAGTCTGATGCCAGACAGGAGAATGTGGTCAGCCCATCAAATGCCACATGGTAAATACCACCATGGAAACATATACAGGTTACCTTCGTGGGGTCCAGAGGAGGGAGAAAAATCTCTGCCTGGGCTGGCAATGAACGTTGTCACTCTTTTTCCCGTAACTTGGCTCTGTGTCCCCACCCAAATCTCACCTTGAATTGTAATCCCCATAATCCCCACATGTCAAGGGTGGGGCCAGGTGGGGGTGATTGAATTATGGGGGCTGTTTCCCCTATGTTGTTCTCGTGATAATGAGTGTGTCTCATGAGATCTGATGGCTTTATAAGCATCTGGCATTTCCCCTGCTTGCACTCATTTTCTCCGCTGCCACTCTGTGAAAAGGTGCCTTCTGCCATGATTGTAAGTTTCCTGAGGCCTCCATAACCATGCAGAACAGTGAGTCAATTAGACCTCTTTTCCTTATAAATTACCCAATCTCAGGTATTTCTTCATAGCAGTGTGAGAATGGACTAATACAGAATTGTGTAAACTGCCTTTTAGCACTGACTTGATTACTGTGATTGTTTATATGGCTGATTCCCTCATAGATATTGGAACTTCCGGAGTGTGTCCCTCTGAACCCTGGCCCCCCCAACATAAGGTCTGAGTGTGCTTGAGTGTGAGATGGTGCAGGATATTCTATCCTCGGTAGTCAGGGAGTCCCTTGGGGACTAAAATGGTAACAGAACTGGCACTTGGCTTTAGCTAACCTCCAGGTCAAGATAAAAGCTGTCACATTAGCAACAATATTTAGCAAAATGGACCAATGCCAATGACAGAAACACCCTTTTCTGTTTCAAATGGCAAATCTGTTTGTTTCATCATTAAGGAAGGAGATCGACCTAAATTCCAGCTTAGTTGATTTCACGCCACACTTGGCAAGGGCGTTGATAAAGCCATCTATCTGTGCAGGTCTGGTTGGGTACCCACAGGTTTCTGACAAGTACCCAGAATGACATCTTATACAAATATCTTAGCCAGGGCCAAAGTTTCAGGAGACTCACTCCTCAAACTAACAACGCTTCCATGAAATTTCTCTGAGACTGATTAAAAACAATGACAAACAAAGTATGAAACATTTTCAGCCATTGTCATTATATACACTATAATGTGTACAATGGTTCACAATTTACAAAGCATTTCCACACACCTCTTTTTATTTGAACCTCACAAATTTTAAAAATACTATACCCATTTTACAGGAAGTGACACATAGGTCAAGTGATGGGTGCAAGGCTACACAGCTGCATAGTCCAGGCACTTTCTGCAAGCTGAACACACTCCTTGTGCAAAAGTGAATATCAGAATACAGAGATCCCCGATTTCTTGCAACACCCAATGTCACCCAAAGCTACAGCTTCCTAACTTTTCACTATATCTCCAAGTACAAGTTCACTTCCAGCGCTATCCCTACAAGCCATCAAGGAGAACTGGAGGTGCTGATATCCCAAGGAAATGACAGATGCCTTTAAGATCTAGAAGGCCTCACATGAAGGGGAAAACAGACTGACTTATTGTGCCCTCAGAGGCTAAAACTAGAACCTAGGAACCAGTAACAGGCAGACAAGGCTGAGCTCCACCTAGAGAAGTCTCTTCTATGTTTACAGCCAATGACTTTGAGAAGTAGCCAGCTCAAACTTCTGAGATGCCCAGGCATCCTGTACCTGGGATTCAAGCATCAGCTGGGCCTGGACTATGCACTCTTTTTAAATCCATTTGTCTACTGGGCTTCTGGGGTCCTTTTGTTACAACCTATTGCCTGTGGAATATAACTGCCTCTGCCTTCCTGGGCCTATCAGTCAGAGGAGGAGTCATCAAAAAAGCCTTTTCCTTATATTGCCATCTTGGTGACTCCAGGGGCAGGTGGACAGCAAGGCCATCCTTCCATGTTCATGTTCTTTTTTTTCTCTCTCTCTCTCCCTCCCTCCCTCCCTCTCCCTCTCTCACACGTACACACACACACACGTGCACACACACACACAAACACACACACACACCCCTCCTGTATCTCCCCCAGGTGATCAAGTGTTGGATTATATAGGTACCAACAAGCCTCATCACCCACATGTTATAAAACAGCTCACAAACTCAGTGTCATTCCTAAAAGAATATCAGCCTCTGGTCCACAAATAATTCTCCTGCTTTTTAAAACTCATATGTGGCCAGGTGCAGTGACTCACGCCTCTAATCCCAGCACTTTGGGAGGCCAAGTTTGGGTGAATCACCCGAGGTCAGAAGTTCAAGACCAGCCTGGCCAACGTGGTGAAACCCCATCTCTACTAAAAACAATTCAAAAATTAGCCTGGCATGGTAGCCGGTACCTGTAATCCCAGCCACTCTGGAGGCTGAGGCAGGAGAATTGCTTGAACCCGGGAGGCAGAGGCTGCAGTGAGCCAAGATTGTGCCACTGCACTCCAGCATAGGTGACAGAGCGAGACTCTGTTTCAAAAACAAACAAATGAAAACATATATATATATCTGCTATTGATTCACCTTGGCTCCAAAGAGTTAAAGAAACTAATGGCTAATGGAAATTACTGAGTTTGCAGGATGGCAGATAAGAAAAGACAACTTGCTGAAACACTGAAACTCCATCTGCTTATGAGATAAAAGAGCTGGGGGCAATCCGATAGAACCAAGATGGCTGACTGAAGTTTGTGCAGAACAGTTTTTTGATGTCACTGCAAGAGAAAGAAAAATAATCTACATAATAGAAAGAGGAAAAAAATGTAAATTCCACATGTGATGAATTTACACATGTGACCCATGAGTTAACATGAAGAGATAACTGTATATGCCAAAAGACATTTCAGACCTCCCCTTTCCTTCCACCAGTCACCTGCTAATCCCAGTAACCACCCCCTAAACCTTTTCTAATAAAATTACAGCCTTAAAGCTAGCACCGGGAGACAGATTTGAGGTTGACACTCCTGTCTCCTTGTAAGTCAATTTTTAATATAAAGCTTTTCTTCTCTCAAAAACTCCATGTCACGGTATTGGCTGCTAGTTCATTGGGCAGCAAGCCTGCTTTGCTTGATAACGTCAATTGAACTTGTGTTTTATCAATTCTGTACCTTTTATCACAAAAATTAAATGATAATCTATTGCATGTTTATGTCAAACAAAGAAATTTATATTAACGATGGAACATTATTTGTCCCTTTACTAATTGCCTGCTGTAAATCAGGCCCTATGCCAGGAACTTTACATACATTATACCAATTCTCATCCCACAAGTTATAGGGTGCCCCACCCATTTTCCAGAGGTTCACAGAGATTATGTTCCCTGATAACAACAGAGCTGGAATTCAACCTTAAGTCTGTCTGACTCTAAAGATGGTCTTATTCTCAATGCAATATGCTGCTGCAAACATTCCTAAGTGTATAGCCAAAAGTTAAGTTTGGATTCCAAGTTTTATATATAAAGGCCACTTTTATTTTCAGAATTGCTATTAAGAAAAAAAATAGGGTGGGGGAGGAAATATGACTAGAGAATGAGGTCCCATCACCAGGTTGTATGGTTATTTATTACAAATGCTGATTTTTTTTCTCTCTTTCCATTATTTACTTGTTCAGGGAGCTAGAAACAGGAAAGCAGCCCTAGCGATTCAGCAGTTATTTAAATAGAACAGTGTAGGGATTGTGTACTCAGTCCACCATAATTGGAAACTGTTCCTACCGTGCACCAATATTTCAAAAGCAATACAACCCAATTCTCTGACCCATGAATCAGTTTTCCCTTCTACCAGCATGAAAGATTGGGGCCAGGGAGAACTGGGAGGAAGATTTCTTTTGGGCACAGATTTTGCAGAAGAAAGCTGACAAAGAAGAATCTCGTTAACTGAATTTTAATTAAATATTAGATTAAATTAAATGCATGGCACTAGCTGTGCTCACATGCTAGAAAACATACTCTCTATTCTGAAAACTGAGTCACATACCTCTCCGGCCAGTTGTAACGGTCCCTGTAATTCAGTGTCTGGAAATAAACTCACTTTGCTACAATTATTTATATCCAAGCAAGATTTGTTGCTGGCAAAGTCATTGCCTTTCAAATTCATGTTAATTCTCCCCTGCTTCAAACATAATAATTTCAATTCAGGTATCCCTGGCTGCCAATCTCATCTTTGGGGAAAATGAAATTATGGGTTTTGAAACTGAGCAAACCTGACCTTACTATATTGCACTGGATGGAATACTTTATTTTTCTAACCTCAGTTATCATGTCTGAAAACTGGTCATACATTGAATGGGCGTTGAGAGATTAAAGGAGGTGATGTATTTAAAAGGGCCAGCAGCATCTGATACCCAGTGGCTACTCAGTAAATACTATCTCTGCTCTTTCTTTATTCTGTAATTAAAGATGCAGTGAACATTTTTGTGTCATAATCTTGTTTCTCTCAACCATATATAAATGCAAACAAATTTTCATGATATGCGTACCTATATTCCAAGTGCTTTACATTTATTATCCTGTTTACGCTACATTGTGAGGTTGTCAGCATTATCTCCATTTTACAGATGAAGAAACTAAGGCTTACCAAGGACAGGTATCTTGCCTGAAGTCAAACAGCAGGTAAACAGCAGAGCCAAGAATCAAACCCAAGTCTGTCTGTCTCTAAAGCCTATGCTTACTTATTCTTTTAAAAAATCTTCACTCCAGCACAGCAGTTCTCAAATAGTGGCAATTTCATACCCCAGGAGATATTCAACAGTCTGGAGACGTGTTTTATTTCTGCAACTGAGAGGAGAGGGGCATGTGATGTTACTGGCACCTAGTGCTTGGCCAGGGATGTTGCTGAACATGCTACAAGGCACACAGCAGCCCCCCACAACAAAAAATTATTTAGTCCAAAATGTCAATAGTGCTGCTATTGAAAATCTCTCCTCTGGCATTTATCAAAATTGGTCTTGTTTTAATATAAGTGAACGTAATATCCTCATACTTCTGAATTTAGATGTTCATTCTTTATTGATGAGCAGGCACCAGAAGACTGTATTTTTCTAATCCTCTGCAAGGCAGAGATTTTCCCACAGTGTGCTACATGTTCATACTGTCAGTTTCACTCATTTCCGCAGCACAGTGTCTACTGTCTCATGGTTTCCATGGTAAAAGGTCTATCTGCTGTTTGCTTAGATCATTTTTTGCTTGTTCATGCCATTTTGAAAACACTTTTAAAAATGAAACTGGCAAGGTCAAATTTAATATATTCTTCCCTCTTTTTCTCTTACTCATTTTTTCTTGAATAAAAACATACAGCATGCCTCAGAATTTAAATGGTTCACAATATCTATAAAGAGTGCACCAGTTCTAAGGAATGCTGGAAATGATTACTTATTTTAAAAAAGTTATATCTTACTAGATATAAGGTTCTTGGGGCTCTAGTTCCCTTCCCAGCTTCATTTGACAGACAAGGACATGGAGACAAAATAAATTGTGATCTACCCAGAAATAAACAGCTAATTAACACAGGGCTAGACCAAGAGCACAGGTATGCTGACTCTTGCGCTGGTGTTTTCTTCATCACGCACTTGGGATTTTATGTTGCGAAATCCAATCAATATACACACACTGGGGTGTGCAGACTTGCGGGCATGCTCACATGCACACACGCACAGACATACATTTAACTGCATTTTGCCTTTTTGTCTTTTCAGAAGACTTCAAATAGTGATGGTTACCAATCTGTTAACTGAAAACCTAAAGTTATGATATAACTGATCTCTGCCCTACAGAGGGGCTAAGAGGGAATAGAGGCTTTAAGCCACTTAGAGTCCAAGATAAGAGATTGAGATACGCAGACTAATTACTCCAGACATCTGAAGCCCCCAGTTGGGTTTCTGGCATTGAATAAGCCTGATATAGTATGCAAAGAGTGGCATGAAGCTACTTTCTATCTCTCATCCCTAAGTACATCCCCACATTTCCTCCAAGGTTTCTTCCATGAAACATAAATAGGACAGACATATCGCCACAGGTTCAAAAGACATCAATGGCCTCCCATTTCCTAGATCAAAGCTAACATTTTCAGCGTGGGTATAAGCTGGTCTTACATCTCTAGCCTACCCTAGATATACACCTGCCCCTCATCTTTATGTCTAAGAGTTTCCCAGAAGGTTGACTCTCGTAGACACTGGGACAAGTTCCTCTTGACCTTCCATTCTGGCCCCTGGGTGAGTCTCACTGCTTCTTCCTCGGCAGCCAATAATGTCTACTAACATCACTGGCCTCTCTGGCACCCTCACCTGGAACAGAGGGAGGGATCATTCTCCTTAATTTCCTCCAGCAGAACTTAGACCCCCATTTTCTTAAGAAGATATCACTGAAGATCAAGGATCTAAATAAACAAAGAAGATAATTTAGAAGCTTTTAGAAGTGGTCACTCTTAGGTCCCGAAACAAAAACAGAGCCTCAGAATTAGGCTCAACTCTCACCTAACTTCTTGTCAGGAGCCAATTATCCCTTTACTCAACACACTTTCTCAGCATCTCCACATCTGTCAGTTTAGGCCTAACTCTTTCTCCACAGGTAGATAAGGAAATCTTCCCTCCCTACTTCTAAGAACCATTTCATTTCCTGCTCCAGGATGATCAAAAATGAAATGATCCATTCCTACTACGTATGTCTCAGCCAGAGAGATGTAATCTGACCACTGCCCCTAACTTAAATAGGAAAATGGCACTTGCATATGTTAAAGTTTCAAAAGTTTGGATTGTCCATTCACAGCACCATGTGGCATCAGCCATAATCAATCCAGTTCCTTGTAGCTGCCTTTCCTTCAGCCTGAGAGATATGTGGCCTGACTTTCACCATACTCTAAGGGGAAAACAGGCTGTCTATTCCAAAGCCTTTATTTCACATGAGGAAAATGAAGCTCAGAAAGGGCTTGTCTAAGGCACCCAGCAAGTCAACAGCAAAGCCCAGACTAGAACTCTGGTTGTCTAAATCCCAATCAAGCATTCTCCTTCTTTTCATATGTTCCTGAAATCTCAATAATGGAAAACTTTAATTTTATATGACTATAAATACACATATTAGTAGTCAGCAACGGAACAGATATGAAAACCCCAGGAAAGCACTGAACATATGGAAACTAAATCTGGGTCACAATATTCCTTGGGGACCCATCATTTCTTGGTCTCAAACATAATAACTTAAATGGGAAGGTAAATTTCAATGGCAAGGGTACAATACACACTGTAATTGATCTAGAAGATGTATTTAGAAGTTGTTAATAATGCATGTAAGATGCTGAATATTATTTTTCTCATTATACATATTTAAGAACATATCTTTTTTTTTATACTTTAAGTTTTAGGGTACATGTGCACAACATGCAGGTTAGCTGGAACATATCGTTTTTAATAGCACAATATATTACACTGTTATCAGCTCATATAAATGACACTACTCACCAGTTACATGAAGCCCAAAGGAAGACATATTTTCTGTGTCTGAAATGACCATAAAAGCAACATTCTAAAATGAAAAAATAAAGTCCATTCTGAAAGACTCAAGAATTAGTCTTAATTCAAGGTGAATCTATCATCTCTTGTCACAAGAACCTGTACATAGTCCATTTATGTTACACAAAGTTAATTTTTCCATGTGACTTCCAGGGTTAGTTTCCTGCCTTGCCTTTTTAGTAGAGTTTTACTAGCAATAATCAAATTGGAAATGTCTATCCTTTATTCTTTTCAGGTAAAGGAAGCCTTTGAACAGTTTTAGATACCATTCAGCTGCAGGTTTAAAAAAGAAACAAAAAAGAAGAATTAGCAGCTATAGTAGTGTTAATTAGCTTAATTATAAAACTTTGATTGAATGGTGTTTGGTCAATAAATTTGGAGCAAATACTACTCTGTCCTGGAAGAAACCACCCCCAATACTATTTAGGTAGGCTCTTCAGACAAGGATGTTCACTGCTTCGAATCTAGTGATCAGAAAATAGTTGTCTTAGTTCGCTTTGTGGCTGCTAAAACAGAATGCCACAGAGTGAATCATTTATAAAGAAAAGAAATTTATTTCTCTCAGTTCTGGAGGCTAGAAAGCCCAAGAGCTTGGTGCTGGTATCTAGTGAGGGCCTTCTTGCTGTGTTATCCCATGGTGGAAGGGCAACTGAGCACAAGAGACAGAGAGAACACCATGGGAGTCCCTTTAATAATGACTCACTGTCATGAAAACTAACCAACTCCCATAATATCAATATTAATACATTCATGAAAGCTTCACCTTCATGATCCAATCACCTCTTATTAAGTAAGCCCTACCTCCCAATACTGCCACATTGGAGATTAAGTTTCTAGTACATGAAAATTTGAGAAACACATTCAAACCATAGCAATGGTTGTACATAAATTTATATATAGAAAAACTTTTCCTGAAAAATAAGTCCCTCATTGTCAATCAGTTGAGGGAAATACAGAGGAGAGCAAAGAGCCAAACTCAGAAGTCAAACCCTTGGCTTGAAATTCTCAAACCACCATTTACCAGCTGAATGACCTGAGACAAATTACAAATCTTTCCTGAACCTCAGTTTTTATATTCATGAATGAGAGGCAATAGGACTGTATTCTACCACTTTTGGAAAGACTAGAACCAATATATTCCCTGTTCCCCATTGTTTGACATATAGTATCCACTGACACATCTCAGCTCAATTCTGAGGAGAAAAACAACTACCCTATGAGCAAATGGAGTTTTTGGAGTTTTCAGTAAGGCTGTTTATAACACCTCATGTCCTTTGGTATCATGCTCCCCCAAAAAGGTTTATTTTTTTAAATCTAGAAATTAGGATCGTGTTTATAAGAGAAACTCTAAATTATTTCTTTGATTCTTTATTTTTAAGAACCTTCATTTCACTTTTTTTAATTCCTCTTCCCAGATGAAAAATTTCTGGTAGTCCTGAGGACCAAAATAACTTGTCATGTCCAGGATATCTGAAAATGTGAAAGGTCAATCATCGCCTGCCCACAGATTATGATATACAAAACCAAGGGAGTGATCTGAAAAGAAATGCCATGTAAAGAAGTCAAGTTTAAGTAACTAAGCAGACTATCCACACAGCTTGTCAATCTGAGTATGTTAGATATCAAGCTTATGAAAAGTGGAGAGACCAGACTGGATATATAAGTGTTTGAACTGAGGGCTAAATAGGAGGCAGAAGCTGAGAAGAGAAGCTTCAGGACTTTATTTCAGATACCTACAAATTGAGTGGCCAGGGAGCAGCATGCCAATACTGACATAAAATAGGCCAAATAATTTGCTGTAGGATTCTTTCAATATTTAGTTTCTCAAATGGAATTAAAGTATTTTTTTAATTGTTCCAAGTTCAAACAATGGAAGAATATGTATTAACACCTGTTAGAAATATGTACATCTTTTCTTCCTTGTCTTGATGCATGCTCAGCTATGAACAAATCATTCAGCAACATGGCATATCACTTGGAAACAGGGCATCTTCACTTGGTTCAAGTCTATTTTATAGTTCTAATCGAAAGATTGCTTAACTCCAGCAAATTGCTCAATCAACATAGGGACATCCATAGTCTGAGCACATCAGGTTGACTAAGAAGCAGGGTTCTAAACTTCAAGATGGGATGGAATATGGCATCTCATTCTGTAAGTTTAGGGAGGGAAGAGTTGACTTGACTTCACTACAGTTACTGCTAGAGTTTGATTGATCTGACCCCTCCAAATCTTGTGTTGAAATTCGATCTCCATTGTGGGAGGTAGAGCTTAATGGGAGAATTTGGGACATGGGGCCAGATCCCTCATTAATAGATTAATCTCTTCCTTGAGACTGGGGTTAGGTGAGTTCTCACTCTATTAGTTCCCAAGATAATAGTTGTTAAAAAGAGCCAGACACCTCCCCTTTCTCTCTTGCCATGTGATCCCTGTATATGCCAGCTCCCCTTTACCTTCTGCCATGAGTGGAAGTAGCAAGGTCTTAGGCTACTTCCCAATCTTGAACTTTTCCATACATCAGAATCATGAGCCAAATAAGCTTCCTTTTAAAAAAATTTTTACCCAGCCTCAAGTATTCCCTTATAGCAACACGAATGAACTAAGACAGCCACCTAGGACTCTTGTCTTGCCTGTGACAAGACAGACTGTCAACACTGAAGGGATACCACTAAGAATGAATCTGGCAGAAATCTACCAAGCTCCCCTCATTCCCATTCTCTGCAAGACAAAGTTCAAAATTCTCAACCTGGGCATTCTAGCTCCTTCACAATCTGGCCTAGGCTTCCTTTTTAGCACCACTTTCCTCCACTTACTTTTCTTTTTGCTTCTGCTTTTAACTAGTCACTATTTTCCACATGGGTAGATGTTCCTGCACTTCAATGCTTTTACTCATAATGCTGCCTCTGTGTGGCGTTTCATCCCAGAATCTTTACCCATTTAAAATTCATTTCAAATGTCCACATAGTCATATATTCATTCAGTAAATGAGTATTTATTGTCTAGTGATTGCCACTCTATTGTTCTGGGCACTGGTGACACAGATATCAATCAGAAACAAGAAAAATAAATCCATACACATGAGTAGCTGTCGAAAGTAGATGATGTTTCCCTGAAGGAAGTGTTTTCTCTTACCCTGATTCCCAGGAAGAAGTCATTGCTCGCTTTTCTGAAGAAGAACCACACACATTGATTTTGCTGCACTCCCAAAATGCTTTTTACTCCAAACTTCAAATTAGAGCTATTTAGCCCATCCTAGAATTTCAGAGTAAAAAATCTTCAGCATCATCCTACTGCCTATAAAGAAAAGTCAACTGGCCCATTCTCAGCAGAGCATATCACCCTACAAAGAAGGGTTAACCCTTGAATATGGATTCTATTTACCTAGGCACCTTATTTTAATTATAGATAACTTCCTAAAAATCCAAAAGTGAAATCTATACTAGTATTATACGTATCTAATTTATTTTATTCCCCTTTGGAAACCTCTTAAAGGTATTTCAAAATACCACCTCCCCGCCCCTCTTCACTGTCTCTTCCTGTGTTTCTGCCCTGCCTCATCCAAAGGGAAGTGTCACTAACCGTTTTTGATTTTTAAGGAAGTGATGGTTACTGCCACTAATGTTCTTCCAGGTGGGTGATTTTCCAGTCCTCTCAATTTTTCCTCCAAAAGAGAAGATACGGTGGCCACAAGAATGCATCTTACAGGCCTCCAGCTATAGGGAGAGTTATTGACCCAGAGACTCAGTCACTGAGCCTTGAAATGCAACACAGTGTTTTCATTGAGACCAAAACTCCTCAGGGCTGCTATGCACCAATTTTGGACTGCACCAGGGCTATAAAATTAAGGAGGTGCAAAAAAACTCAATAATTAGTATAGATGGTATTTAATCAAAATTAATGCAAAAAAAATCTATAATGAAAAAATATTAAATTTAAAATAAATGTTGGTATTACTAATTTTCCTTTTGTTTAAGCTAACACTTGGCTCTGCAAGGATGCAGAGTGCAGCAGGGCTGCTATGGCAAACAGTTCCTGGGAGACACAGGACACTGTGTCAGCTGACTTTGGCCCAAGGACTGTCAGCTTTGCTGAAACTCCCTTAGATAGCATAGCATTCTTGTACATTTCCACCCCACCTTCTCTTCTCTATTTCATTCCAAGTCAGACTTGCATAGGGATCTATTATCTTGGCCTTCCCTGGCTCTACCCATTTCTGCACAGGCATTTCTCCTAATAAAATGCTTTCACATTTAATCCTCTCTTTGTGTCTCCTTCTTAAAAAACCCAGACTAACACAAAAATAGAAAAAGTATTTCTTACCTTAAGGGTAGGATTGAAATTAACATTTACTACCCAAGCAGGGCCTGGCAACCTGCCTGCCTGAAGGGGCCAATATTCTCTGTCTTTACTTATCCACATAGAGGGAGACTTTTCTGAGTCAGGGTCCAAGCTCTGAGATAAACATGTGCATGTGTGTGTGTTGGGGGTGGGGGGTGGGTGGTGCATAGACATACAAAACACACATGTATGTATGTATGTATATATGTATAGTACATACAAGTTTCAAATGGTAATGTCTTCTTGGAAATTTAAGCCTTTTTTAAAGCAGAGTTTTGGTGTTTTGTTTTCTGATGAATGGACTGCATTTCTCAGCTAGGACTATATACCACAAATATCTAGATTAATCACTAGTTTATCACTAGCATAAAGATTTTACTTTTAAAATTCTAGTGCTACAAAGAAGAGACTAGGTGAGCAACATCAAACAGATTCTTTTGCATCATATTTTAAACCACTTCCAATGCTAAGAAGTGTATCTTGGGACCCCTTGGATATATATGGTTTGTCCACGACCTCTTAGAAGCTGCTGGCCACTATTTGGTGTCAAGGTTGGCCCTGGACATAACTGCTCGTCGTTGATACAGACTTCAGTGGCCTTGACTGTGTGTTGAGCCACTGAGGTAAAGGGAATTTTATCAATAAATGCTTCTAAAGGAATGAGGCTGAGGCAGAGATTTTTAGTTGCCTACCTATATTCAGTTCCTATTTCCAGCCTTCCAAGCAGAATCCCTCTCCAGCTCTTCACTCTTCCCACTAGCCTCATGTGCCCTAGGAGAAGGAAAGCCCATTCTCAAGTCCAGGAGTGGTTTTGCCAAAATGTTCAGAAATAGATGTAAGACTCAATACAGGGCAATTTTATCTAAAGAAAAGTTTAAAGTTCTAGAACTTTCCAGAAAAGTTCTTCCTTCTTCTTCTGGAAAAATGTCTGGAAGTGACTCTATTCTTTCTCTAGACATTGCCAAACATGGATATGAGAGCCCAACCTGAAAACAGACTGAGACAGAAACCAATCCGAAGAGAAAGGTAGTGTCAAGAGAGGCAGAATGGAGCCGGAGCCACACCTTATGCAAATTTCGAAGCCTATCTTTCCTCTATACTTCCAGATATGTGAGCCAATAAATGTATTCAATGCAAATTAAGTGGAGTTTTGCGTTGCTTTCACTCAAGAGCTTTCCAAATATTATAGAGAACCTTATCATATAAAAGAATAAAACACTTTCTTGAACTAAGACAGAGAGAAATTCAACGGAAGTAAACATTGGAATTTTTCAGTCTCTAAAAACAAGATTTAATCAGATTCAAAGAAGAATGATATTGATTCATAAAGGAGGGGAAAAGGTTTTCTGTCTCTGCTTCAGAACAATTTTTGTGGGAGAGTAAATGAAAAATGAAGAGTGACATTTTGATTGAGCTGGAGGGAGAGAGCAGTTTCCTTTTGAGAAAGGTTGTAAGCTTTCAGGCCAGGCTCAACAGAAATGAAAAGGGAGAAGAGATAGTCTTCGGACGGCACTTCTTTTAAAAATAGAAAAGGAGGCATTGCGGCCATTACTCTAGCAGCATGGGAGACTCAGATCCAAAGAGACCTAGCAAATAAAAGACTTCTTATGGTTGAAATGGTAAAAATATCATACCTCTATCCTCTTCTGAGTTCGAAGCCAACTGAGAAAATGAAACAGAAATTAGTTATAAATACAAAAATATTAGTGTTATTGCTAAATTATCTGGATTGGACAATACAGCTTTGAGCTTGGCCACACATTCTTTTTATTATATTCCTGCTCCACACGCTAAGTAATTGAACTTACATACTCAAGCACAGGAAGTGCATCTGGATAAATTAACGTGTCCTGCTGTCCCCTTCCCTCTCTTGCAGGGACAGAACCTGCCTCTTGCAAGGTTTGTTACAAGGAAGAACAGAACAAAAACTAACACTCATTACTGTCAAGACAGCTCCTCAAGAGATAATGAGACTTAGGTATTGGAAAGAGTGTTACTATTAATCACCTTAACCTTGCCTACATGAGAAGGGGGAACCAAAGGATGTCAGACTCCCAACATCCCATCAATGAGCTCAATCATTTTTCCCCAATGTAGGAAGGCCTAGAGGAATGGCCAGGGAGCCTATAACTGCTATTCTAACCATGCCTCTGAGGTCAACATTTCCTCATGGACAACAAAGGACAGGATGATACTGTCCCCCTAACAGGAGACAAGAACTCAAGGAGCCCACATCCAGTGTACTATTAAGAGATGCTTCTTAAAGCTGTAAAAGAGTGCACATGGTAAAGTCCATTAGGAAATCAGCCCTTGAATATCAAGATAGCCATGTCAGGTAGATGTAGATAGAGTGAGCCAAACTCAACCAAGAAGACTGGGAAGCTCAGTGTAGAAAATGTCAAACACCACTAGGTATATTTCAAGATGACAAGACTTAATGCCCCCCTACTCTCCATCTCTTCCTTTTGAGGTAAAATTACAATCACTTACAGGCTTTCAACTAGTATTTCCAGGGCATTTCTACTGTTTCAATTATTTCATTAGAAAAGACTAGATTTTCTTAAATATCTGTTGAGTTTTGTCCTATGTTATATTTTTGACTGAAGCAAGGATAGGAGTTGGGTGGAGACTTCTGACTAAGGAAGGTGAGAGTAATTGAGATTTGTATGAAGGGTAGAACTTTCATAGACCCAGAACTCATTAACTTCACATATCTCAGAGTAGAAGCATCCTCATGTAGAATCTAGAGGAATATGATAGGAAACAAGATATTGGGTCCATAAAGGAAGGCTAATTCTATATGTGGCAGAGAAAGAATGTGGCCAGTTTATGAAACAGGCTCACATTTCTGGAGCTCGGCAAGACCTGCTTGAAAGCAACAGGAGAAAAAGAAAAATGAAACCCAGCAGTGCAAGTGATGATGGGGAAGACTGTTTCTGCTGCTATTGAAGGAACAGATGATACTCAACGTGTGGACAGTTCATAAGCTGAATAAAGACAAAGTGCAAAGGAGTAGGGGATACAGGGCCTCACTGGACCCTGAGGTCATACGTTTTATTGTCATCAGCAACCACGTGAGTCCAGGATCTGCTAAGTGTGCCTGCTCAGCCAAGACAAATGTGGGGACAAGGTGGGATCTACCTAGGGAAACTAAAGTCTTTTGGAGCGGGAAGCAGTAGCAGCAACCACTATGGCACAGGGTTACAAGTGGGTTATTTTCAAGGTAGCCTCTCCTCCCAATAATTAAGACTGGTCTCTATGAGATGACTTTCCCTGGACTCCTCTACCTCACTGAACCTGCAGTGATATATTCTAACTTTCTGAGCCATAACCAGCTGCAGACTGGCCCATTGTGTCAGCAGCAGCTTCACAAATATTTATTGGGCACCTACTGTGTGCTAGGCCCTATGAAAGTGCTTTCATGTGATCTGATTTACTTCATCATCATCATTACTCCAAGACATGGTTATCTTGCAAAGGACGCAACTGAGACCTGGAGAGAATAATGATGCATTCAGGGTCACATTGCCTCAAATGGCAAACCTGGGCCTTGAACCCTGGTTTCTGGACTTCAAATCCAGCACTCTTTCCCTTCAGCACTTTGTTCTGTTCCCACACTCTTCCAGCAGTAGTCTCAAGTGCCCTTACCACACCCCAACAACTCACTTCAATTCAGAAACACAGTATGAAACTAGAATTATTTGCTTGGTGTATTAGTTTGCTAGGGCTGCCATAACAAAATACCACAGACTGGGTGGCTTAAAAAACAGAAATCTGCTTCCTCACAGTTCTGGTGCTGGAAGTCTGAGGTCAAGGTGCCAGGAAGGTAGGCTTCTCCTGATGCCTCTCTCCCTGGCCTTGGATGGACACCTTCTCTCAGTATCTCCATCCCTCTGTGCATATCTTTGTCCAAATCTCCTCTTCTTATAGAACACCAGTCAAATTAGATTAGAGCTTACCCTAATAACCCCTTTTTATCTTAGTCACCTCTTTAAAGAGCCTATCTCCTAACACAGTCACATGTCGAGGTACTGGGAGTTAGGTAAGTCTTCAACGCGTGAAATAAGGGAGACTACAACTGAGACCACAACACTTAGGTAAAATATGATTTCAACTGTATGATGGTGTTTTCAGTTTGCAAAGCACTTTCCAACTCATTACTCCATCTGATCCTTCAAAACATCCCCATTGGATGAGGGGAAAACCAAGAATCGGAAAGAATGTTAGTTGTGCAGTATCGCAAAGCCAGCAAGAGGCCCATGTAGAATTCTTGCCCAGGTTTGTGGGTTTGCTTCTTACCCCAGTCTAGTGGGCACCCCATAGCTCCATATTGTCTCCACAGAATTATTTATATAAATTGGAACTTGACTAAGACAATAGATGACATCATGCCCAATGCAGACATTCAGAATGAGAACATCCAACAGATGCCAGAGTTAACCTCAGAAGAGGTTATGGAGACAGACGAGAATGACCATTTTGGTGTCCTCTATGCAACAAGCAACAGAGTTTTGCCCAGAGCCTGCAGAAGTTTTCTAAGGACCCTGTTGAGGGGCAGAGTTGGGAACCAGCAGGGTGATGTGAGGGCTGATGCCAGAGCCTTGTGGCACACCTCGTCAGAGTCTGCGCAGAATCTATTCTCTGTCCTCTCATTTTTCTAATGGCGCCATGATTTGTTCAGATTGCTGGAAAGATCTATTGACCTTCAGGAGAGTAGCCTGTACTCCATCCCCAGTTGGGGATGGATCATGATTACTTGGTTATGACTGAGTTGGAGGTGGCCACGTGACAAATTCTGGCAGTGGGATGTCCCCAGACATTTACTGGATAGATGTTCTGGAAAAGTTTTGCTTTCCTGCTATGGGGCAGATTTGTCTGATGTGGGCCTTCTGCTTATTTGACCTTCCCTCTTCCTCCTGCCTGGAATGTAGACGTGATGCCACCAGGAGCAGTAGCCAGTGTATAATCACAAGGTGGCATGAGTGAGGAGAAAAGCCACCCATCTCAGGATGACAGAGAAGAAAGGTGAAGGAGCTGCATCTCTGAGGACTTCACTGGGCAACATCCTTCCCAGGCTATTCACCTTTGGGGATCATGCTATGCAAGAAACATGAATGTTTTTCTCCCACTGTGGTTTGATTTTTTGTTTGGCTTTTTCTATTGTTTTCTGGTGCTATCTAAAAGGAAGCCCAAACTCTGATGGGTGATTCTGAGTGCTCACATCTCCATCTACAAAGCCAGGACTGAGGGAGAGAGCTGGCTCTGGGTCCTGGCCATTCTGGCTCTGCTGATGCTTTCTTAATATAGGAACATTCTGGCCAGGTGCCGTGGCTCACACCTGTAATACCAGCACTTTGGGAGGATGAGGAGGGCATAGCACGAGGTCAAGAGATTGAAACCATCCTGGCCAACAAGGTGAAACCCCGTCTTTACTAAAAATACAAAAATTAGCTGGGCATGGTGGCACGTGCCTGTAGTCCCAGCTACTTGGGAGGAGAATCCGTTGAACTGAGGAGGCAGAGGTTGCAGTGAGCCAAGACTGCACTACTGCACTCCAGCCTGGCGACTGAGCAAGACTCTGTCAAAAAAAAAAAAAAAAAAAAAAAAAAAGGACATTCTAATGTGGATGCTGTTGGATGCTGTGTTTTGTATTGACTGACTCGGCAATGGTGAGGCTCCACCTTCCCAGCGTCAGCACAGGGCTCGCTGAACTGGTTTCAGACTGAAAGGTGGAGAGGTCAGCACTGACCAGGGGACTCATGGGAAGAACCAGATAACCAAGAACTAAACACAAGGCATTACCCAATCATCTCAGCAAAGGTATGACAAAGGGCAGGGAGATCACAATTATTAAACACCTACTACAAGCTGTGTTCAGTATTTTCATGCATTCCACAAATATTAGTGAGTGCCAAGTGTGTGCCAAGCATTATTGTAGCCATGGAGGTCACAGGCAACACATACCACCTACAAAAATCCTTATCCTTGTGGAGCTTACATGCAGGTCAGAAGAGGTAAACCATAAACATCCAAACAAGTTTTATATTCAAATACATATATGCACACACACATATACACATGTATATATTAGATATTGATAATGTTTACAGGTTGGCAGAACACTATAAGGAAGGGAGATGAGGTGTTGGGTGACACTTCCCCTGCTGTGTCCTCATTGGCCTCAGCCCGCTCATCTGTGAAATGAAGGGCTTCCACCACGTTTCCTTCATCTCTGGAATTCTTTGAGACTATAACACACTTCATCTGCTTATGGACTGGCTCATTCTTAAATGCTTTCTAAAGCATTTGAATGAACTCTCATGAAAGAATCATGTTCACTTTAGGCTTTAATTCAAACTCACTTTGTAAATCGCTTTTCTTCTTAGTGATTCCTGTTGATATCATTTTCTTCTTTCTAGGACTATTTACAGTTGTAGTTGTATATGTATGCAATTATTTAATCATATTTTATTAATTAGTCAAGATCTGTCATCCTCATTAAGTGTCTATTTATGCTCCCTATTAAATTCCAATGCTTAATGCAGCACTTGGTGCTTACTGCTTGCTCAATAAAATTATGGTTTAATGAATGAATGAATGAATGAATGAATGAATACATTCTAGGTTATCTATACTGTTTTAATTTTAAAGACCTTTGATGTTTTTCTCTTCTTCAACATTCCCTTTTTCAGCTTCTCATTGATATTTTCCAAATAGCTCTTTACAAAATGCACGCTTTCAAACCCAGAGGACCTAGAACATATTTTGTTCATTTTCTAGACAGAGTAAATTTTGTTATATACTATGCAATGTGTGAGCTACAGTGGATGTAATGAACTTGTATATGGTAAACTCTGAAGATGTTTCATTACCAGGGAGAAAATGGCCTGTGAGTGGACACACAGAAATGTACACACACAAGCATACACAAATACAAACTTCCTTTCTAAATTATAAACAGGAGGGTGAGTGTAGATGCCTGATTTAGGTCCTGCCTCAGGCATGGGGCTGTCTTTATGCAGCCAACCTATGGGCATCTCTTTGAGGGCACCTCAAGAGTGTGTACTCATAAGGGACTGTCCTGAAGTGTGGATGCCCTGAGATTTAGTAGAGACAATGTTGCCTACAAGAACAGTTAGAGGCATTAAATGGCAGGGGATTTTTGGACAGCACGAAGTCATTACATCTGGGAAGAATAAACAAGAGATCAGTCATTTGGTAATTGGTGTCACAAGGACATTTGGCCAAAATCCTGCTGGCCTAGTCAGTCTTATATTCATTATTTATACATTTTTTTAAAAGTCATTTATAACTCATATAATTATGTGCCAAAAGGGTACACTGTTCCACAATTTGGGTTAGGCCATTTTCAACAAATGCTCTAGTCATATTAGAATACTAGAGAACCACTCTGGGTGTTGTTCCATGGAGGTTTCTGGACCTGGTAGCTCCTATCTGTCAGAATCAAGCTCTGGTGGCTTGAGAGGCTGATGCCATTGGCCTTTATCCATCCAATCCCCTTATAAGATGATGCTTTTATTCTGACAGTTGGGTTGCAAGACCAAAGCAACTAGCATAACATCTGGTAGAAAGCAAGAAACTAAGATCCTTGTGTTTTTCTGACAACAAAGGCAAAAATCAAACAACAACCATAAAACACCAAAATTGTCAGTGCTATCATTCCCTGCTAACAAGAAAAATAGGGGGACAGGAAAGGCAAACTTTTTCCTAGCAGCAACTTTTAAGAGGCAATCATCACAGATATCTTTATGTAAGGGATGTGGAACAATGGAAGGAATACTCTCTTCGTAGCATTTTTATAGAAAGCATAGAAACATGTTTTATTTGGTCATTTTTTATATGGCCCCTCAATAAAAGAAAATGACATCCTCTTAAATAGCCATTCCCTGGTGGCAGTTTTACAGGTATGAGAGTAATGGTATTTAGACCTTAAGCTTTTGGTGATCTGACCTGATACGGGACTAGGTTGCTGATATTGACGTAGAAGAGATGAGGCTGCACTGCTGTCTCGAATACTGTTTGTTTCCTCGGCAGGGCTGGGGACAAGACTTGGTTCATGAATTCCAGACAGAGGGCTCAGGGAGGGATCTGGACTACACGAACTGAGCCCTCTCTTGGGCAATCCTCACTCCATGGACTTCTTTTCTCTCTTTTTTCTTCTCTTAGCCTTTTAACTCTCCAGCATCTTTTCTTTTAACCTTCTCCTTTGCCTAGGCACATCATCACCCCTGAAGGCATTGCCGTGAAACGTCACTGCCACATGTGCTGGAATCTTGCTGCAAAGCTGGCACCTTCTGAGGCCTGAACTGGCTCTGTGAATGGAGTCTGGAGTGTTAACTTGAGTTACTGGGCAAAATAATTCAAGTTTACCGTGTTTATTACAATCACTGTCTCTCTCAAATTATCATAAAAGAGAAACTGGAAATGAGTGAATCTCAGTAAGTCAGATAGTCCTTAAAGTGGCGAACTGTGTTCCCTAAAAAGATACATTGAAGTTCTAACCCCTAGTACTTGTGAAAGTGACTTTTGTGGAAATGTAACAAAGTCAAGATAAGGTCATAGTTGATTAAGGTAGACCCAATTAAGGTGTCCTTACAAGAGAGGAATTTGGACACAGACACACAGGGAGGATGCTATTTGAAGACGGGGGCAAAGAATGGAGTGACGCAGCTACAAGTCAAGGAAGGCCGAGGATTGCTGGTGACCAGCAGAAACTGGAGGAGGCCAAAAAGGACCCTCCCCTAGAGCCTTCAGAGGGAACATGGCTTGGCAGACTTATTTCAGACTTCTAGCTTCCTGCACCAAGAGAATTTAAATTTCAATTGTGTCAAGCCGCCGAGTTTGTGGTACTTTGTTACTGCAGTGCTAGCAAGCTCCTACAATCCCCTTATAGCACTTTAAGTATAAGAGATGTCCAAGTGGAGAAGCTGAAAGTGTCTGAGATTGGGCAGAATTTACTTTTTGCAAGCCCATGACTGTTTGGAGATCAGCATGAACTATTAAATATAATGCTATTAATAACAGTAATGATATAACCTCATCAAATGCACAACGAGCCCATGCTCTGCCATTGGAAGATTTTCACTGTTCCATGTCCTGCCACGAGGACATGGCAGATTTGCCTTAGAAAGGGCGGCCTCCTTATGCTTCCCTGCACCAGGAAGGAATCAGGAGAGCGTTACCTAACGCTTACCTTTCAAGGACATCCTGAAGATTCGTATCTCCGTAATAGGTGTCCAAGAAATTGGAGCTTTCTGGAGAGCTGTCACTAGCTAAATATAAAGTCTGTTATTATCCTCGCCAAACCTTGGCAATCCTTTGTCACTTTTCTTTTGAAAAGAAAATTATACTTACCCAAAGCATTTCATTACCACCTGAACCGTCTGTTCCATATAAATTTAGACACCTAAACTTATATAACCCCACGGCCAAATGTGTTGGAGTTAGGAGCTCAGGGCACCTGTAATATTGCTATTACAGAAAATAAATTTTGGCATGTGGTCTTGCATTGACTGTTCAGTCTCAGCTCCAAATCATCTCTATTTAGAGAGATCCCTTCAAACTGTTTTTTGGGGTGGTTTGCCTACATTTGTCTATGTTGCCCACAGTAGTTTATGCCAGGTAGATCTTATAGACTTACTAAATGAGAATTATACCACCATCTACCTGAATATTTGGGATTCCTTCTTTACATATGAAAAGGAAAGTCTCGTTTAAGGAGGCATGGTTGCCAGTCCTTTTTGATTAGCTAAGCATGTCCACGGGTATGTGGCTGAAGAGCAGGAAAGCCCCCTGGACCCTGCAAGTCCCCCTCTTGTAGCACTTTCAAAGAGTCAGTTGAACAGCATCAGCAAGGTTCTGTCTTTCTTTTAAGGTCATGTGTCAGTTTCTCCCAGTCCCTAATCTCTTTGTGCAAGAGTGTGGATCTAGATGACAACATCAACCCTATCCTTGGCACATGCATTGTTGCCTCAATTTCCTTGTATACAAAATGGGCAAGTAATACCTAGCTCAGGATTACTGTGTGAATTAAGTGAGCTAATTCTGTTAAAGAAGTTAACCTGATTCCTTTTACACAGTACGTGTTTGATAAATGTTAGGTATTAGAAGAAAGAGGAAGTGATGGAGGAGGAAAAGGAAAAAGGAGGACGAGGAAGAAGAGAAGCAGGAGGAGGGTATTATTATTAGTGGAGGTAGCAGTAATGCTTTTTGCAGGTTACCTTGGTGAGACTTGGCTAGCAGCAGAGAATGCAGTACAGGTAACAAACTGGACACAGATTAAAGTCTTTTTGTTGAATTTTTGGGATGTATCAAGAATGTCAGTCAACTGACAACAAGCTTACCAGTCACTTTCAACTGTGCCAGTTATCCCAAGTAAAAGACTGAATGGTATCAGGACCATGTGAGGCCAGAAGTCATGCTGCAACTGCCATACCTGTCACTCACTTTAATAGGCAGAATAATGGCCTCCTAAAGATGTCCATGTCCTAATTCCAGCAACCTGGAATATGTCATGTTATATGGCAAAGGGGAATTATGGTAGAAGATGGGATTAAGGTTGACAATCATCCGATCTTAAAATAGGGAAAGTAGTGTACACTATGCAGGTGGGCCATGTATAATCACGAGGATCCTTAAATGTGGAAGAAAGAGACACAAAAGTCAACCCAGAGTGATGCAATGTGAAAAAGACTTGACTGATGACTGCTGGCTTTGAAGATGGGAGGGAGCCATGAGCTAAGGAACGTGGACAGCCTCTAGGAGCTGGAAAAGGCGAGGAAATAGTTAACCCCTATTACCTCCTTAAAGGAACTCAGTTCTACTGACACCTTTGTTTGAGCCCTGGGAAACTCATTTTGTACTTCCAACTTCCAGACATGTAAGATAATAAATTTGTGTTGTTGTAAGCCACTACATTTGTGGTAATTTGTTACAGCAGCCACAGGAAACTTATCTATCAATAATCAGACTGAACTACATCCCAGCCAACCCCAAGTCCAGGGCTATGATCCCTCAGTAAGCTCAAGAGTAGTTCATCAAAAAATTATCCTCGTCAGTTAAGGAAATAGCAGGGCTTCTAAAAGGAGCAATGTTCTTGATGGGGTGGGCAGATGAGGAACAAAGCTTGAAGACAGAAGAATGAGCATGTGACCCTTTCTCTCCCCTTGGACTCTCTAGATCCCCTTTCTTCCTGCCAATACCCCAGGAGCTCTCCTGTTCCCCTCCTTTGGAGGCTACTTCAATTTGTTTGAGTGAAAAATCCTAAAAATTCTGGGAAAGTGAGCACTGGGAATGTCCCTGGAGCTAGTCTGAGCCCTGCATCTGTGGACTCTCATTTCATGGAAAGGTTTAGAGAAAGGTTCATCTTACTGATTTCAGGGGACATTGGAGTATATCCCCATTAATGCCAAAACCTCATTTCAGATATTAGATAGGAGAGTATTTTACAAATTCTCATGCAAATGTAGGTGCTGTTGGCATTGTTGAAGGCTTAAGTATTATTAAGTGGTATTATTATTGTAATATTAGCATAGAATGTGGGAGAATTAAGGGGATTATGTATTATATTAATTAGCAACAATTTATGCTTTCAGAAATACTCTTAATTATTAAAATCTCTGTCTTGGGGGAAATCAGCTAACACCAGGTTATAAAATAAGTACATGGTATGACCCCTTTTCTGCATTTAGTAGTTCTGTTTTAGAAGCATGTTTATCTTATTTTATACTGGGATTCTATACAATTAATTGTGAGTTTGACCTCAATGGAACATTTTTAAAGTAAGTTTATTCTTATGGGAAATTCAGCAGGAGGTGTATACATAAAAACAAACTGAACACAAACTCCTTTGCAATGAACACTCTTTCAGAATCTCTTCCTTCATTCCCATCCCCTCTTTCCCTTATACCTACCTACACCTCATCCCACTGCTATTGCAAACTTTATAGTGACTATGATAAGATTTTTGAAAGGTTCCTATACAACATAATAGCATACTGTTTGGATAAATCAACAAGTAGTTGCAGAGCATTTATCTTAATTTTGCCATTCCATGGACAATACTTACCAAACTATTGCACATCAGGTAGTACACGTAAAATGTCTGTGGCCCACTGGAGTAAAGGGTAAAGGCAGCTCCCAGGGACAGGGGACAAATCTAGAAGCTATAACTACCTCAAGCCCCACCTAGCTGTCCCTGGGACAAAGATGATTAATACCTGGGAACACCTTTAACCACCTGGGACATATCACATACCCTGGTTGGAAAGATCCAGGACAAACAGTAAAAAGTAAGACCATGGAAAGGTTGCATGGCATAGTAGTTAACCAGTGGGTTCTATAGTCAAGTCTAACTTCTTCCATTGTTAGCTCTGTGGCCATGGGCAATACACTTACTGATCTCTAACTCGGTTTTATTATTTGTAAAATGTGGATGTGAGGCACGGCACCTACTTTCTAGAGTTGCTATGAGGGTTATAGTTGTAAAGTGCTTAGAACAGTGCCTGGTATACAGTGAGCTCTACATGAATGATTAGAGTCCAGAGGTCTGGTTTCAAGTCCTAATCCATGCCTTATGACCTTGAACAAGTTGTTTTGCCTCTCCCAGCCACATTTTTATAACCCGTAAATGAACAAACATTTGTAAACTTACTTCACTGTTAGAGCACCCCTTATCCCAGTTCTCCTCGGAGAGTCATGTTATACATGTTACAGAGCCCGCCCTCATTTGCTCTGAGAAAGGTTTTGAAAGGTGTCCCAGTTTGATAATGATTGTATTGTCATCCACATATTTTTTGCAATGTTAATACACAGTAAGCCCGGCAACCCAGAGGTTATGGTTGTCCCAGGTAAGAGCTGTTTTGGGGAGTGGTTGGAATAAAAGCTCAAGGGCAGATAGTCTTTGAAGGTACAGGAATGAGACAATGCACCTGGAGTCTAGGTCCAGGCTAGATCCATGAATGTAGATGATGATATACAGGAGGAAAAGGAGGCATAAACGAGAGGGAAATGTGGTTGAAGAAATATTGGAGTTTGTGCTGTGCTAAGATAGAGATGCAAGTGTATCCATGCACTGAAAGCAAGGCACTAGTACAGAGCACAGGGCTCAGAAACAGAAGAGAAAATAGATGACTGATGGAGTTAGATGCCAAAGGTGATGGAAGGGAAGTGTAAGATCTCAAATCCTCTCTCCAGGAATCAGTGAATTTTATATTGGCAACTGGATGTCTTAATTGAGCTCTCCAATTTCAATGATGCCCACAAAAGAGGTAAGCACATGTTAAATTCTAGGCTATCCCCAGTTGGTTTCTGCACTTGCAGTTGGTAAAGATAGAAAAGCAAAATGATAGAGATTGATTTCATTCTTCTCAGGAGGCTTGGCTGACACTGATAATGCAGTTGATACTATAATTACTCTGGGAGTCCTTGGGCCAGAACTCTCCTGGAGCCACCTTCTGGGCAATCTCATGGGACTGTCACTCCTCACAGGGCTTGAGCCATCCCCCCACCCCAGGAAAACATACCCACCAGGCAGATCTGCAATTCTTTCAAGCCTGCAAGTTTCTTAATCAAACATGTCTAAAACAGGTTTAACAGGCATTACTTCTACGAATATTTATTCCACGCTGCTCTTCTGCTCTTCTGACTGTAGGTCCCATCATGTTCCAGTTTCTTCAGGGTCTCTCCAGATCAGTCTCTGTCATCAGAGAGGACTATGAATTACCTCATTCTGGCCTCTACTGTCCTGAAATTGGCAACTGATTGCTCTGATGTACTCACTGCTGCCTTTTCTCAACTTTTCATGTAACTGCTGATCTGCAAGGCCTGGGGCAACAGAAGAGGCATACATGCATTGATTGATTGATTCTTTGATTTATTCATTCACAAAGTATGTCAGGCCCTGTGCTGTGCACTAGAGATTCATGGATGATGACACAGAGCCTTCAAGGAGCACAATGTTCAGTGTACAAATCGGTCCTTCTGGAATGACTGGAATTACTCCTACCTGTAGAACCACCTCCAATTTCCCAAAACACACTATGCCTACATCTCTCCTTGGAAATCTTCTTTATTTCACTCTTCTTTCTCCCCACAAAGTTTATAATCCCCCCATATCAGTTAATTTGTTTTATGTTGCATATAATAGAAAAACAATATATCTAATTTAAATAATGAAAAAATGTTTTGGTTCGCATAATGGGAAGCCCAGAAGCAGAGCAGGCTTCCTGGTTGTCTGAGCCTAGCATCATGGGCTATTTTTCTGCGAGTCACTCAGCTCTTTTCCTCTATGCACTGAGTTCACTTTCAGGCTCACAGAGGCAAAATCACTGTGGTATTTCCCAGAGGCTAAAAGAGAGAAGGAAGCAACTCCCCAAGTTCTCCAACACATTTCTCTCTCACTTCTCAATGATCTGAAATGGATCATGAGGTCATTAGAAAATTAATCCCCATGGCCAGAAGACAGCCATGGATGGATGGATGGATGGATGGATGGATGGATGGATGGATGGATGGATGGACTGATTGATTGATTTAGGCCTGGGTAGCACATATCAATTACTATTCTAAGGCAGTAATATTGCCTGTATTGGAATTAGGCAACTTAGGGCCCATTCCTCAAGCTGAGGATAAAGGCAGTTCTCAGGACCTCATGGCCATCCTATGGAGGAAGGGATGCAGAATGGATTCCAACTGATCATAGGTTAATGGCAGGAGTACAATGTGGGAACTGGAACACTCTCTATTGCTCTAAATCTGACTTGAGTGGGAGAAAATACCTATCACTTCTGAAAGCAAAATCTCCACAGGATCCAGGCTCCAGTTGCTGGACAGAAGGGCCTTAGGACACTAGATCTCCTTTCAGGATAGTCCCTCCCACTGCACTTTCCTGTTCTCAAAGATATCCAGGATATTTGTTCCAGGCAATGCTAAGAGGCAGTTCAAAAACATGACTGAATTATTCCTAAGATGTTTTATTTTTCTGCTGGTAGAGGGGCCTCTGAAGCCAGAATGAAATACTTTCTATGTTGCCTCAGTTAGAGAGCTTTGTTTTCAATCCGTGCCACACACTTTTTCTCATAGGGCAAAGAGACAATTTCAGAATCATCCCACATCTGTTGTCTTATTTTCATGTAAAGGTTAAAGGAAAGACTCTGTCTTGGAAAGCATTTTCTCATTATAAGTGTGGGAGCCAGGATTATGAGATTTCCTAACGAGAACCTGTGAGCAATCAGGTAGTGAAGAAGACCGTGGGTGTGCATCATAGCCTTGCCAGAGGACTGCGAGACTGCAAGAAACTCTCCAGCATGAAGCCAAGAGGCTTCCCAGGGGATGATGTGGTGGCCTGGGTCATTCTGCAGAGGGAAGTCATCTGCTCCGCTCTGAAAAGGAGCTCTGTGTGGGAAAAAGTCTTCCAGTGGTGGAGATCATGATGTAGCCAAAGATTATCAGAACAGGAGGAAACTTTGGAGGTCATCCCACCGTCTTTCAAAAACTAAAGTCAAGAGAGGTTAAGCAGCTCCTCCAAGACCACTTTCCTAAGGGAGTAACAGTTTGGAGGAGTCAAAGATGAAAAGAAAATAGGAAGTGTCACACTGTGATTGGGCAGAACCAGAACAGCGCTGGGCCAGGCCTGTAACAGACCTCTGAAAACTAGGGTTGGCACCAAAAATGGATAATGACATTCAGAGAACAGGTCACTGGAGGCCATTCCAGAGTGAGTCAGATCTTAGTTTCGGACAGGAGGCTAGTTCTGGAACCAATGTGGGTAGCAAGAATCCAAGGACTTCCGCCAAGTGGCTTCCCTGCTGCCCAGCCACGTTTTATCAGCTGAATTTCTCTTGTATCAGCAGCTCTCCTGCTGAGGTATTTTCAGGGCATTTTGTTTTCAGTCCTAAAGATTCCACCCAGAGAGGGAGGAAGAAGGAGAATGTGCAAGTATTTGAGGGCCACTTTTGTGCTCAGCTCTGTGCTGTTGATCACGTGCTCCCTGTGGTACCCTCTTGTCCCTCCTCCTCCACACACGCCACACACATACATTCACACACACTCGCACTCAACATGAACCTGTGCACACTCATAAAAAGCTACACTACACCCACACACTTATACACTCATGCACACTCACACTCGCAAACATGCACATGTGCTCACTCATACACATCTACACCCACACGCTCATATACTCACACTCTCACACGTGCACATGCACACACTGATACACAGCTATGCCCACACACTCATACACACACTAGCACTCTCACACATGCACATGTGCACACTCATTCATACATAGCTACACCCACACACTCATACACATACTCGCACTCACACATGTGCACACTCACTTATAAACAGTTACACCCACACATTCATATATTCCCACACTTGCATACATCCACACATGCATGTGCTCACATTCATACACAGCTACTCTTATACACTTGAACTCTCACACATGCACATGTGCACCCTCATAAACAGCTACACCCACTCATACACACTTGCATACACTCACACATGCATGTACACACACACTCATGTACAGCTACACACACAACTCTCATACACTCACGCACACTCATACTCACACATATACACCTACACTCTCATACACACACACACAAACATGTGCACACTCATAAACAGCCACATCCACACACATACACACACTTACATACTCACACATGCATATGTACACACACACTCATGCACAGCTACACTTACACATTCTCATACGTTCATGCACTTTCACTCCCACACATGCACTCACACACTTGCACACTTGCACTCACACATGCATGTGCACACACTCATACACAGCTACTCACATTCATATACATACGTGCATGTGTGCATACTCACACTCATATACACAGCCACCCACACACTCACATACTCATACACACACACACATGCATGTTCACACACTCATACCCAGCTACACCCACACTCTCATACACTCCTGCACACTTACACTCTCACATGTGTGTGCATACACTCATACACAGCTACACACACTCATACACATGTGCACGTGTGCACACTCCCACTCATATACACAGTCACCCACATACATACTCTCATACAGTTGCACACACGCATGTGTACACACTCATACCCAGCTACACCCACACTCTCATACACTCATGCACACTTACACTCACATGCATGTGCACACATACACAGCTACACACATACGTGCACATGTGCACACTCACGATCATATACACAGCTACCCATGCACACTCACATGCTCTCATACACACACACGGATGTGTGCACAAATACACAGCTGCACCCACATTCACTCACACTTGCACACTCACACTCACACATGCCCATGCACACACTCTCAGCCACACGCTCAGCCACACACTCACGTCTCTCATGCACTCACACACCCACTTGCACTCACACACATGCACACATCCACACTCATGCACAGCCACACTCTCATACGCTCACATGCACCCACAATCTCACACATGCACATGTGCACACTCACACTTATATACAGCCACACTCACATCTCTCACACACGTTCACCTCACTCCCACTCTTTAATTTGTTTTGTTAGTTCTCTTGTCCCTGAGTATATCTGGGTTTATGTGTCACATTTTCAAATCCCCGTAGCTCTTCTTAGCAAAAAGGAGTTAAAACAATGATCTTCCCTCATTCCTACAGAGAGGCTGGGCTTGAGATTTTTATGTCACTCATTTCAAGAGTAATTCCAGATATCTACTAGAAAAAAAGTGTTCTGTCAGGTTGGGGCTCTAGAGAGTGGGGTGCAAAAATAATTATCAAAGAGGAAGAAATAGCTTAAAGCACATGCCTATACAACTCCAATGTATGGAAGAACTAACACCTGCTTAAAATTAGCTTTGAGGATACCAAAGAAAGAAATAAAACACGTCTTTTTTTAATATCCGATATTTATAAAGTAGATAACTTATTCAATGCCCATTATAAGCAGGCAGAGTGCTAAATGCTCCATATTTTTCCATTTAATCCTGACAACCCATGAAGTAGCAGTTCTTGATTATTTTTATTTTACAAATGAAGAAATTGAGGCTGAAGGAACTTGCTGAGATCACAGGGCAGGTGAAAATGTCAACATTCTATATATGCAACTTTTCACTATGAGAGGGAGTACTTCTTTTTTTTAATTAATTTATTTATTATTATTATACTTTAAGTTTTAGGGTACATGTGCACAATGTGCAGGTTAGTTACATATGTATACATGTGCCATGCTGGTGCGCTGCACCCACTAACTCGTCATCTAGCATTATTAAAAAGTCAGGAAACAACAGGTGCTGGAGAGGATGTGGAGAAATAGGAACACTTTTACACTGTTGGTGGGACTGTAAACTAGTTCAACCATTGTGGAAGTCAGTGTGGCGATTCCTCAGGGATCTAGAACTAGAAATACCATTTGACCCAGCCGTCCCATTACTGGGTATATACCCAAAGGACTAGAAATCATGCTGCTATAAAGACACATGCACATGTATGTTTATTGCGGCATTATTTACAATAGCAAAGACTTGGAACCAACCCAAATGCCCAACAATGATAGACTGGATTAAGAAAATGTGGCACATATACAGCATGGAATACTATGCAGCCATAAAAAATGATGAGTTCATGTCCTTTGTAGGGACATGGATGAAATTGGAAATCATCATTCTCAGTAAACTATCGCAAGAACAAAAAACCAGACACCGCATATTCTCACTCATAGGTGGGAATTGAACAATGAGAACACATGGACACAGGAAGGGGAGAGGGAGTACTTCTAATTTTATAGAAGAGGAGACATTTGGGCTGAGCCTTTAAGAACAAGCAAGAACTTGATCATAGATCCCTAGAGGCCATGGGAAGTGTGGGAGCAGAGGCTTTTGGATGGAACGTGTTGTCCACCCACATCTCTTGGGAAGGGAATGGTAGTGTATCTGGCTTGGACAAGCAGGAGAAGGTTGGGAGAGTAAAGGAGATCGGCAGCCTTAGAGCAAAGGTACTCACTATGCCAGGGCTTTATGCTCGGCTAGAGAAACTCCTCAGCAAAAATCAGATAAAGTGTTTTCGTTTTGTTTGTTGAGAACTTTTGCAGCCACATTGCCTGTCAGTAGAAAACCCCCTAAGTCCCTAGGTCCCTTCCATTCTGTTCTCTGTAGCACATCCAGCAGGCTTCCTAAAAACATTCCGTCATGTAGGAGGTGTTTAGGTTCTTCCTTCATCCTGCACCATTCTCCAAACAAACACTGCTGTTCATTTTATATCCTCATGGCAAACTTTCGCTCTTCCCCTTGAACTACTCCAATAGCTTCCCATCTCTTCTCCCTGCCCTGGGTCTTCACCCTAGCAGCAATACTTCCTGCAAAAGCCAGCAGAATGACCTTTCTGAAAAATCAACTTTGTTCACATCATTCCCCAGCTCTTTCAGAACTCACTATGGGAAACAAATAGCCAATTAATAAATTTAATGTGTTCTGATAGACAGAGGTGCAAAGATGGAACACCCTGACAGGCTGGAAGTCCAAGAGAATTTCCAGTCAGGCTGATATCTTATCTAAATAATAAAGAATTTCTAAGAGCTCTCCAGGCAAAGGACCACCAGAAAGGGTGTTCAAACCAGGCTGTAGCAGGAGGAAAGGACTCATGACAGGAGCACCCAGACTCAGGGAGTTCTGTGCACTTAGAAACACTGGAACAGGGGCTCATAGATAGGGGGAATGGTGAGGAATGGGATTGGCAGAGAAGAAAGGGACCCCTACAATCCCATGATTCTAGGACTGCAGTGGGTGCATCTCAGGCACTGGCTAAAACCTGCTGCTGCATGGCTGTGCTTTCCAGCTACTCAAGTCCTGTCCACAGTTGCCTCCTGATCTCGCATGCCTTGAATCTGTGATTCATAGAATCAGATTCTTGCACTACTACAATTACATCAGTCCCCACAGTGTCTCTAACTCAGGTCTATGGCCTTTTCTGTATTTGATTAAAAACTCCTCCTCTAAGAAGGAGGCTTTTGAGGAAAGCCCCTTTCTTGAAGATGAGGGCATTCAGAGTGCACAAAGGGGAATAAAGTTCTATTGCTTGGTGGAGCCAGGCAGGTGAAAAACATTTCTTAGAGCCTCAAGCAGGAGTGTCTATGATTCATGGAGTAATGTTGGCACCCATCATATGAGCCTCCCATGAAAAGAATTGTAAGGGAACTTGAGCTCCAAGGACAATTGCTCTGTAATGGGTTTCAGCACTCAATGCCATGGGCTTGCAAGATTCAAAAGAAAAGATTAAACCCCAAGGGTATAGGAAAACAGTCTCCATCTATTTGTCAGAGAGAATAAGCCTCCCTCCACTTCCCACCCCCCACATGCACCAGCTTTCAAGAATGCCCTCCACCCAGGCTTGGCAGGGCTTTTTTTTACTGCCTGGTCCAGCAGCTGTCTTGGTGTTTCAGTGATTTCATTCAACTTAATTCCTTTCCGTGCATTTTCATAAAGTGCTTACTCTGTGCAGGGTCCTACGCTAGGTGCCGAGGATACAGGAATGGATGACATGTCATCTCTGCCTCCAGGAATTCACATCCTAATTGAAAGAGACAGACATATTGCTGTGGTCGTGGATGGATGGCTTTTTAAGAATTTTCAGCTTCGGTGTGTGGGAAACAGCATTCTCCTCTGCTCCAGGCCACTACCAGCTGCCTTGGAATCCCAGTTCAAGAATCATCTCCTCCAGGGATCCCAACTCCCACCTCTAGCACGAGGGAGGTGAGATCGGCACTTAAAGCGTGATTTCTCCCCGGAGAGGAAAGAAAAGGATGAGGGCCTCTGGAAAGGAGACTTCAGACTATAACGAGCAAAGGGTGCATTTTAAGGAACAAAGACCCTTTCTCCAGGCCACCAAAGTCTGCTCATGTCACAAGAATTATTTTAAAACCTCAAGACCTTTCAGAAGCACTGTCTCAGTTTTGCTAACCTGGAAGTCTTAAAAACTAAGCAAAGATTATCATCACCACTTTATAAATGGGAAAACTGGGGCCCAGAGAGAGAGAGAGAGAGAGAGAGAGAGATTCACCCAGGGTCACATAGAAGATGGAACACAGAGCCAGGGGCTGGCCAGGGCCTCATCCCAGCCCCCCACAGTGGCTTCTTCAGCTGATCCCCGGGGATGTCCTGAATGACAAGTTTTATGAAAGTTTGCTTTTCTTCTGATGCACAAAATGGATATATCTTGTCATTAATAAATAGCTGAGTATGTGAATCAGAGAGAAGGAACAGGTCATTGTGTAGGAAGCACCCCCTCGTAGTCAGAAGAGCCGTCATCTCAGAAGGCCACTGCAGGTGTGGGAAGCTGAGCAGGGAAGTAGGAGGCAGGTTCTCCTCCAAGAGCTCTGTCCTGAGTCCAGAGGCCTCACCTTCTACATGGGGGCCCCAACTTTGTGAGGTGGGTCTAAGAATAACTTAGACATAACACAGGCAAATCCCCTAGGACAGGGCCGGGGACATAGCAGGCCCACAATATGTGGTAGCTGGTCATAGCACCGGAAGATCAGGATTTATGAGGTGAGGCATTTGAAGTCCTGCAAAGTGTGTCTTGCCTCAGGTCACAGAGCTAGGTGATGACGTGCAGGTTTTCTGAATGTGTGTTGGCGTTCTGCCCACTGGCCTTTCCAAGCACCACAGGTGCAGCCTGGAAGGCTTTCATGAAATCAGATGTCACCAGCCTGGGTGGGTTTTCTCTGTTCACTGACAGGGATTCTTCCAGCACGCAAAGGAAACTTCCTCTCCATTGTTCCTGAAGCATCTGCTAGAGGAAATTGCCAACACCCAGTGCAGTAAGTAGCACCTCAGAGCAGCCGGCAAGGAGAGAGGAGACTTGGTTGTTCCCATAAAGAGAAGTCCCAAAGCCCAGAAACCCAAACGCTTAGTCATTTAGCCCACTTTCCATCTTGCATCTCCAGTTTGCAGCCCTCTTGAGCACCTGACACCCTATCTTGCAGGACTCTATCTGTTCAACACTTATGAAGCATCCGCTATATACTGGGCACTTGACCAGGTGCTGGAGATACAAGGATGAACAACTACTGGTCCTGCCTAACCATCCTCAAATGCAGTCTGAGCCTTGCCACCCACAGCTGGTTGACAAGTTCCTTGAGAACAGGGATCATGCCTCCTCCTTCCCTGGCATATCCTCAATGCAAGGCATCATCCTGGGCACAGAGCCAGGGGACTCAGAGCCTCAGTGACCAAATGCAAGGCCACTCTGTTTGCAAGCCCAGCGTTCTCACTTTAGAAGTGAGTGCTATCCTCCTCCCTTCCTCTGGAGGACAGAAAGCAGAACAGGGATGAGAGCTATGACTGTGAAGCATCAGCAATCAAATAGAAACTGCGAGACCACGCCTGAAATATGATCTCTCTTCATCTTGCTAGGCTGCAAGCTTCTCTTGAGAGTTTCTTCAAGTTTTAATCTTAAAAATATATATTTGCCAATCTCCTATGTATATTAGACAATCTGCTAGGTACATTTGCATACATTATTTTATTTAACTCTCACAACCCTCTGGAGAGATAGGTAGAAATATTCCTGTCTCGTAGACATGAAATAAAGGCTCAAAGAGATCAAGTGACCTGCCTAATGTCACACCTTGGGAAGGGCTGATGGGGATTCAAGCTAGGTTTTTATGCCTTGCTGTGACATTCAATGCATTTCATTTGTGAAAATTTCCTGCCTGCACTTAATACATACGCATGCATGTACACAGATTAGCATGGTATCTAGCAAATCTTGATGCATCAGTCCTACTCAAGGATAGATTAATGATACTGAGCTTCCTGCATATTCCCACCATTTATTGCAAACGTACAACATGCACCAGGAGGGTAGAGTTGAGTGGTTAAGAGCACAGGATGTGGAGCTATGCTGTTTCCATCCACCCTTGGCCAAATTACCAACCTCCCTATGCATCAGTTTCCTTATTAATAAAATGGGACAATAACAATGATACATACCTCATAAGGTTGTGGTAAAAAAAATAAATTAATAATTCAGGTAAACCAAGAGAAACAGTGCCTGGGACATGGTTTGACTCATTAAATATAAAATGTTGTTATCATGTGCCAGGCACAGTGCCAAGCACTTTGTACTTCATTAGCTCTACTTCTTCCAATAAACCTGCAGAGCAAGTAACATCCTCCTCATTTTTAGATGAGGAAGTTAACACTCTGAAAGTTTAAATCACTTGTCAAAGGCTACGACTGGAAAAAAAGAGGTGAGAACCACTTTGGCCTGTTTTGTGCTAGAGAACCACAATTCCAAAGAAGCAAGCCAATATGCAACACAAGTTTTAGTCACCAGCAGAACAGGACCCTGTGTTTGGATGACAGCACTTGAGCAAAAGCTCTGACACATCTCCGCCTGAAACCTCCACCAGGGGCCTTTGCTGATCTCCACTTCCTACGTTTCTGCACTTCAGACATGTCACATTCTCAAGACTTTTTTTTTTCAAATCTGAGTTTTTAAAAGCTCCATTCTTCTGGTCCCAGCAGAAAAGGGACCTAGGAAACATTGCCCAAGAGTCTCTACCTCTCTGTGATTGTTTTCTTGGAAGCCTCAGGGAGTTCAGATAACTCGGCTCAAATACATCCCCAGTGTTCATCTTCAAGTTAACACTCCTTCCAGTCATCTGATATTTATTCTTCATTAGCAGTGAAAGAGTCAGCAAGCCCCATTTGACATGCTTACCTGAACATCTGGAACTAAAAGCATGTCAAATAGCATTCATTTTAATGTGCACATTTCAAATTATGGATTTATAGCTATCTATCTTGTAATGCCTCAGGAGTTTCAACCTGGTCCTCATCAAAATTACCACCTTTGGAAATTGTTTTCAAACACCTGCTACCTTCTTCCTGCTACATCATCATCATCGTTATCAAAACAATGGCTACGGAGAACCTATCCTACTAGCTCATTTTTTAATTGAGACACAATTTGCATACAATAAAATTTACCTTTTTGAGATATATAGGTAAATGAGTATTAACAAATCAATTTATAAACATTTTTACCCCAAAACATTTCCCCATGTATATTTACATTAATCTCTTTCCCCAACTCTGGCCCCAACAACCACTGATGTGATTTCTGTCACTAGTTTTTCATTTCTAGAATATTACATGTATGGAATCATACTGAATGTGGTCTTTTTTATATGGCTTCTCTTGTTTAGCATAACGCTTCTGAAGTTCATCTTTATTACACCCACTAGTCCTTAACCTTCACAGAGCTTGAGTCTCGGGGCATTTAAAAATTATTCAGATGTGTAGCCTCACTACCCAGAAAATGAAATTCATCTTGTCTAGGGCAGTTTTGTTTTAAAAGCTCCCCTAGTGAGATAACCTAACAGAAAATCTAGGTGACCTTGGGTATGGTGATGACTTTTTAGATACAACACCAAAGGCCTGATCCATGAGAGAAAGAAATGATAAGCTAAACTTTATTAAAATTAAACATTTCAGTTTCACAAAAGACACTGTCAAAAGAATGAAAAGACAAGCCACAGACTGAGAGAAAATATTTGCAAGACATATCTGATAAAAGACTGTTGACCAAAAATACAAAGAAATTTTAAAACTTAACAATAAGAAAACAACCAACCAAGACCTTAACAGACACTTCACCAGAGAAGACAGACAGATGGCAAATAAGCATGTGAAAAGATGCTCCACATCATATGTCATCGGGGAAATGCAAATTAAAACAACAGCGACATACCATTACATGCCTATTAGAATGACCAGAATCCAGAGCATAACACCAAATGCTAGTGAGGATACAGAACAACAGGAATTCAGGTTCATTGCAGGTGGGAATGCAAAATGGTACAGTCACTTTGGAAGACACTTTGGTAGTTTCTCACAAAACTAAGCATACTCTTACCATATAATCCAGCATTAATGCTCCTTAGTATTTACCCAAAGGAACTGAAAGTTTATATCCACACAAAAACCTGCATGTGGATATATATATCAGTGTTATGAATAATGGCCAAACTTCAAAAGCAACCAAGATGTCCTACAGTAGGTGAATGGATAAATAAGCTATGGTATATCAAGACAATGGAATGTTAGTCAGGGCTACAAAGAAATGAATTTTCCAGCCATGAGAAGACATGGAGGAAACAAAAATACACGTTACTAAGTGAAAGAAGTCAATCTGAAAAGGCTGCGTACTATATAATTCCAACTGCAACATTCTGGAAGAGGCAAAACTATGGAGACAGTAAAAAGATCAGTGGTTGCCAGATTTGTGGGGAGAGATAAACAGGTGAAGCATAGGAAATTTGTAGAGCAGTGAAAATACTCTGTATGATACTATACTGTAGATACATGTCATTATATGTTTGTCTAAACCCACAGAACATTAACATTAACATGAACCCTGATGTAAACTATGAACTGTAGGTAATAATGGTGTGACAGTGTAGGTCCATCCATTGCAACAAAAGTGCACACTGGTGGGGGTTGTTGATAGCTGGGGAGGCTGTACATGTGTAGAGGCAGAGAGTGTGTGGGAAATCTCTGCACCTTCCACCTAATTTTGCTGTGAGCCTAAAACTGCTCTGAAAAATAAAGTCCATTAAAACAAAAACAGAAACATAAAACAGCTCTCCAGGCATACAGGTTTGAGAACCACATCCTGAGTCGTTTTACATATATAAACTCGAATACTCAAGATCAGTCTGAAAAGTGTTTATTATTCAATTTTATAAGTAAGGAAAGCCAAGCTTTAAAAGGTTAAATAACTTGCCCAAGATCACACAACTAGTGATTGGAAAAGTGAGACTCAAACTCAAGCCTACCTTTTACCAAGCCCATGCGCCTTCTCCTGGGCTGCTTCAGGCAAGGGAAAAAAATCTCCCAGTGTCACAGTGAGGCAGTTCTTGTACTCAGAAGAGGCCATGGAAAATTTTTGCTTAAGAAAAGGGAAAACAGCTCCTGTTATGTGGCTGGAGGTGGGTGGAAAGCATCTAAACAATTTTCAGAACATGATAACTCTGTTTCATGCTTCAGCAGGATAAAAATGGCTGGGCAGAAATTTACCAAACTTTTAGCAGAAAAAAAAAAATCACCTTTGGGCTCAGAACTAGTCTGATAAATTCCAGCCTAAAGGGTGAGTCAAAGAATGCTGAAATGTGCTGAGACAGACTTACGAAAAAAGACTCTGCAATGATAACTATGGCAAAGCCAGTGCTGTCGGACAAGTAGCCTGGTCTCAGAGGTCAGATTGGCCAGAAGAAAAATTAAAAGCTCCCTCCAGCTTTCGGTTTCTATGTATACACTGTTAACTGGCCTTGTCTGGGAAGAAGTTTGTCTCCTTTGCTTACTGAGTCCTACAGGAAACAAAAGTGGGCCTGGTGGGACTTGTTTGTCAGAAAGAATACTAAATGCCTTAGTAGACATTTTAAAATGAAGAGCAGTTTCTTTTTGCCTTTGTGTCCTCATAGCTGAGCTCCCACATATCAGTAAGAACACACAATGTTTGGTTTTCCATTCCTGAGTTACCTCACTTAGAATAATAGTCTCCAATCTCATCTAGGTCATTGCAAATTCTGTTAATCTATTCCTTTTTATGGCTGAGTGGTATTCCATCATATATACATACCACAGTTTCTTTATCCACTCAGTCATTGATTGATGGGCATTTGTTGTTAACTAGCAACCCAGGAAGCCATAAGTTTTCAAAGTACATTCAAATTCTTTGAAATTAGAAATACTACTGTCTTTACCAAACTTTGGAAACTGGGTGCTGAGAACAAAGTGGTACGTTTGCTTTTTCGTACATGACATTATGTAGTAGGATGGTACACAAGCATTTTTTTTTTCTTGGTAACCAGAGGAATGTCAACGAAGTCTATTTTAATGAGTGAACAATCTCATCTTGACTGACTGACTCATCTGCTGGTTGCAACATGTCCACACATCCCACAAGACCTCTGAAAACACTGAGTGAGTCAGGGAGGATGCAGAAGCTCCAATGTGAGGGTGTCTGCAGCTGCCTGGGAACAGCAGCCAGGGCAGAAGGAATGGACACCACCCCCGACCCCATCCTCATATGCCACTGAAGGGCTCCTGAAGAGTTCAGATGGTTGGCCTCAGAGATTGTGCTCAGGGTGTATGGATTTGCTGGGGCTGCTGAAACAAAGCACCATACCCTGGGAGGCTTTCAAAGCAGAAACCTGTCTCGCAGTTCTGGAGGCGGGAAGCCTGAGATCAAGATGTCTGCAGCTCATTTCCTCCTGAGGCTGTGAGAAAGCCTCTGCCACAGGCCTCTCCCCTCATCCCGCAGGCCTCTCCCCTCACCGTGGTCACGGCGGTCTTTGGCATCACTGGCTTCTGCTCTAACACCATGATGACTGCCTTGGTCTTTACAAAGCATTGTCCCTGAGTGCATGCCTGTCTCCAAATTTCCTATTTCTGGGGACACCAGTCATGCTGAGTTAAATCTAGTGTGACCGTAAACTAACTTTCCTAATTATATCTGCAAAGACCCTATTTCCAAACAAGGTCACATCTGACGTTCTGGGGGTTAGAAGAACTTCAACATAAGAATTTGGAGGGTACACAATTCAATCCCATAACCAACTGGGACTGTCCTTTCAACCAATTCCCCAGGTGATCATGTCAACCTGGTTAGATAACCACTATCTTAGAGTAGAAGCCTCACCCTTTGGTAAACTCATCTCCATCACAGAAAGAAATTAAAACACATGCACACACAAAACATATGCCTTTTGTTCCCCTTACTCCTCTCTTACCACCCAAATAACTCAGTTTTGCTTTGCTCAACTTACTTTCTTAGACCAAAAGAGAAAGAAAAGAAGATTGGGGGTTGAGGTGTTTACAGAAGGCGATTATGAAGGGGGAACATATTCAGGAGGGCATCCAAACCCATCTCTGCTGGCTCCCCACTGTGGCTGCAGTAAGATCCAGAGATCACAGTCCCCAAGAGGGGATTTTATATTGGATAATGTTCAAGGTCTGTGAAAGTTTGTTCTTGTCCCTAAAGATGTTTGCTATTCCAAACATCAAATAAAATTGAACACCCATATATAACATGTTTTCCTCTGTGAGAAATCCAAAGAAATGGCACCTGCTCCTACAGCCACTTGACGTACATTTAATTTTCTTGGGAAAGGGCACAGCCAAAACCAAAATACTTAACGTGTGCATGTAAAACAGCATGGAAGTGCTATGAACTTGATGACCAATGAGGAGGAAAAGGAGACAATTTACAACTCTTATTAAGAGCATCATAAATGTTTGCTCCAAACAAAAATCAGAACCTTTTTTACAAGTTAAAGGTAAGTTTCTAGCCAAGAAAAAAAATACATGAATATCTACAAACTGAGGAGTTCTCTACACACTCTGTATGTTACAAACATTTGTGTTTTGTCTAAAAGAGGTAGTTACATATGTGGGGGGTGGATAGTGCTACGCAGAATTCTGGGTCGTGAACAATCCAGGCTACACATAAGCCAGAGTGATCTTTGAAAATGCAAATCAAATCATGTTGCCTTCCTGGTCAGCAACTGTGAAGTGTTTCAATTCCACTAGGAATGAAGTCCAAAGCCCTTGCCAAACCTGGACCTGACTAATTGACTACCTTCCACCCCATGGGATTAGGATAAGGAGGGAAGCTGCAGAAGTACACCTATAAGAGAACAACAGCAGAGGCAAGGGGGCTCTTCTCAATTGATTATAAGAATCCTCACAATAGAAGAGTACACCATCATTGCAAAAGGAGTCCAGCAAATGCCTCTTCAAGGGAGACTGCCATGCTTTTCCCACTTCACTCACCAAAGCCAGGATTGGGGTAAGGCAAGAGAGATGCCTAGGGTGTAAAATTTAAGGAGATGCTCTCAGAGTCCTGCAAGTGCTTCTGTAGATTTCGCATGCTAGGTGCCTCTCTTGCCTTACCCTAGCCCCAGCCCGAACCCCATCAAGCATAATAGAGATGCTATAGTTAATTACATTTGATTTAGATCAGCTGCCCTACCACACACCCAGCTGGCTTCTGACGTAGCCTGAGCCAGCCTCTGTAAAGGGAACAGAGATGACTCAGGACCAGAGTTTGAACTGACAAGCTTATGATCTGACAAGGGACGTAATGCAATTAGCTTGATACTCAGAAGGCCACGACAAGTTCCCTAACAGAGGGTCCTTGGTATGTGGGAATGACACAGGAAGGAATTGCTCCATGGGGGTTAGCATGGCCTCCTCTAGGACATCACATTTGGGATGGACATTGAAGAATGAGCAAGATTTTGACAGGTGAAGCTGAAAGTGGAAAGATTCCCAGTAGAAAGGTGAATGTGAGCAAACATGATTTTTACAAAGGAATATAAGGTAAAATGATGCATGGAGTGTAAAGAAAAGGTTTCAAGGGCATTCTGTGCCTAGCCTGCAAATGCCTGGGCATCATCAAAGTCAACGCAGCTCTTCAAGCCTGATATTTTTTCTGTCATTTTCTTTCTAATTAGTACAGGAGTTAAGCTCTCAAGGCTTAATTTTACTCCTATGCCTGTGTTAATGGCAGGATTGGCTATTAGCTGATGTCAAACCTGATTCTCCTCCACGTAGAGCATTTAAACTCTGCTCTCAGTTAATTCCTTCATCATATACTGAAGAAGAGTTTCCTCATCCAGACCTAATGACACTCTGAGAAGGAAGGTAACAGACTTCAACACACCAGCCAGGGGATTAAATGCACTAATTAAAATGCAATGCCCCCCAAGCCACCTGGTTTCCAAAGATCAGCAAAGCCAAGAAGTCAATGAGGCTAAAAGTTCAAATTGGCAAGTGGAGCAAGGATCATGGTCCCAGGAGGGAGGCCCCGGAACAGCTCCAAGCAGCCAGGCAGCTCCCACTTGGAGAGACGAAATGCTTTCCAATGGCTGTGTGTAACTCATAATAACATAATTTTATTCTTAGAAGCAATTTCCATTACTGGCCCTGTTTATTATCACATTATTTTCTCAATAGCAGCAATAAACACACTAAACTCTCTCTGTTTGCCCACATTTTTATTACTGTTCACGGTAGTCAGGAAAGGGTAAGCGGTGAAGAATGCATTCATTACCGGGGATCCCGGGGCTGCTGGCCTCACTGCCAGTCTGACAGCCCCACTGCGGCCTCAGAGGTGGCCGGGAGCCTGAGGCGACCCCAGGGGCCAGAGAAAAGCAGGTGGAACCAGACAGCAGTGCCCAAGCTGGTCAAGCTCATGGTTACCACCAACGAATTTGTTTTAGTCTCCACATTTGTGATTTCGACCTAGTATTTTATATATATATATATAATATATATATACCAAAGTATATATATATATTATCTATATACCAAAGTATATATATATAAAATATATATACCAAATATATATATAATATATATATACCAAATATATATAAAATATATATATACCAAATATATATATAAAATATATATACCAAAGTGTATATATATAATAAATATATATCAAAGTATTTTATATACCAGTATTTTATATATATACCAGATAGTATACCAAAAATGAATATTTGAGCATTCTGAAGAGTGGTTGTCAAACTGCATTAGTTGTGGCCTTCAGTGGGTTATGAAAATTTGTTTCAAATTTGAAAAAATTTAATGGGTCATAACCAGCATTTTGTAAATGAAAGGATTAGAACAGCATGGATGACAGTAGAGTCATCAGTTTGAAATGCTTTTGTTTTGTTTTTGTGTGTGTGTGTGTGTGTGTGTGTGTGTGTGAATGCATTGAACCATGATAGTTTCTTACCATAGGTTGATGTCAAAAATGTTTGAGAAACACAATTTATGATTCTAGCCTTCAAAGAAAATGATAGAATCATGAAATAAAAGAGCAGCTGACCTTAGAATTGGAGATAAGTGGGTTTGAATCCCGACCTCCCCACTTGCTCACTGTATGACTTCGGGCTTGCCGCTTCCACCTTCAGTCTGCCATCTGAGAGTGAGTGTGAAACACCTGCTTCAGCAGGGCTCTTGTGAGAATGTGGCGGGTTAATGTGCACTGTGGAAAGAGCAGCAGGTCTGAAATCAGAACCCGTGGGTGTCTGCTCAGCCCTGTGATTCATTAGCCGTGATTGAGCAGAGTACTTTATCTCTCTCGGCGTCAATCTCATCATCTGTAACATGTGGGTAATGACATCCACCGCACAGGTTTGTTGTGAGGATTAATGAGATAAAAAGATGTGTATGTGCGTTGCAAATGGAAAAGTGCTGTAAAATGTGAGGCTTGTTATTTCTGCTTTATCTAACGTTGATGCTGTTCCTAGTGGATTCTGGTGGTCCTATCTCAAAAGCTACCGGTGAAGGCCACAGCCAGGCATAGCCTGGGATGTGCTAAGGTGGAAGCATCAGTGAGTGGCAGGGCCTCAGACAGAAAACCAGAATGTTGAGGACTCTCCCTGAGACTTCCTCTCTCCTCTAAGGACCTGAAGGACTTCAGATGTGCTTCAGGGCACTGCTATCAATACGAAAATGAGGACTTTCCACAGAGATAAACTGCATGTCAGGCAGAGGCAGCCCTGAGACCCCATTCCAAATGTGTCAGATGATATAATTACAATTTATTCTCTTTGCTGACGGCAGCCTTTTAAAAATCCATTCCAGTCTGGTTTCAACAGAGCCGTAGGAGCCTTAATGAATATCAGGGCCTTCTACACACCATTTCCAAATAAAGATTCCAGGGCTGCTCTGAGGAGAAACTGTCAATTGGTCTGGTGGCACTTAGCGGTGTGTTCTTTCTTAAAAGTGGTGTGACTTTTCTTAAAAGCTCCTTGGCGGCTATGAGAATACACCCAGTTTCGGAGCATTTGCCTGTGGAAACCAGAAAGCTTGGCCATCCAGAGACTAAGATTCGTTTTCTGTAGAGGCAGGGAACATTTCTCATACTTTGTTATGCTTAAGAATTTCCCCAGAGTGTTAGGAAGTTTGAAGGATCCTGGGCCTCATTCCCCAGACATTCCAGTTAAGGTGGGGCCAAGGACTCTGCAGGACTGCTAAGTATCCCTAGGTGCCTCAGAGGGAGATGCAACAGAAACCAGTCCCCCCAAACACACTGCAAATTACTGTCAAATCATTTCTCTGAGCCTGCTTCATCAACTGCAAATTGGAACGATGCTACTCCCTGTATGTCTCTGTCACAGGGCTATGTGGGGGCCAAATGAGAATACTAATTTGTAAATTGCAAAGGGCTGTAAAAGATGTTTTTTATGGTTTTTATGTTTTTTATGGTTAACCAGATAGCTATGTAACTCAGAGCAGAAAGAATCACAGGACAAAAATCATGTTTCCAGGTGATCCCAAGCTATATTTTAAGAGAAAAAAAAGAAAAACAAATCTTGAAAACCAAATAGGAAAATGGAAAGACCAGGCCAAATTTATGCAATTTCTCATTCATTCAGTTGTCTGATTCTTGTTGAATTCGCCCTAACTTCTTTATATTCCAGACCCACGGGACAGTGCTTATTTTCAAAGACAGGCTAAAATGGCATATCTGTAGCCGCCATGAAGAATTGCAAACATTAAAAACTCTTCACATGTGCAAACAGTTGCTGGTAAAATACCTGAGGGCTGAGGACTCAATCTTCAGAAACCATTACTTGGTTAAAACTGGGTCCCCAGCGAAGCCCTAGACTATCACAGCTGGAAGGCCCCCCAAAGTCCCTTAAATATGAGAAAACCAAGACCCAGGGAAAGTCACAGCATCAGAGTTACAAAATCCATGTCATTTGACTCCCATGTCACTGGTTTCTCATTCCAGCAAGCCCTGAAAATAAACAGTTATTGGATGTCCACCATGTTTTTTGAGTGTGCACTTGGGATTTAAGGTTAAGTAGGATATAGTCCTTGTCTTAAAGGACCTTATAATCTATGTAGGGAGGTAAGAAAAAGAAATCCAAAGTTAATGAATCAGAGCAGAAAAGATATGAGCTAGTATTGCATGGTGCGCTGGGGCAAGTTAAGGTCTGGGCTGGACTTTGAAGTCTATGACCGGGAAGAACCGGGGAGTCGTGCCAGCCAGGCAAAAACAATTGAGGGCTGCTCAGGAATCCGTGAGACAACAGCGGTCTCCAGAGACCAGGACGCGAAGGAAGGAATGGCTGGAAAGAAGGCTGGGTTGGATTATGATGAGTCTGAAACATCATAGGAGGTCACTTATCTAGTTGAAGCATTTAGATTGCATGGGGAGCTATTGAAGATTTTTGAGCAAGGAAGCAACCAAATATTACAGAATCATGAAAGAGCTGAAGGGAATCTCAGTGCTTCTCAGACTTTGCCTTGTATTGTATCACCTGAGGTTATTGCAGATCCTGATTCTGCAGTCGGAAGTCGGACCTGAGATTCTGCATTTCTGAGAAGGTCTCAGGTTTTGCCATGCTGCTGGTCAGTAAACCACACTTTGAGTGGCAAGATTAGAGTTCAGTCTAGCCCAGTGGATTCTCATTCTGGCCACATATTGGCATCACCTGGAGAGCTTCACAAAAACTGCCAATACCTATGCCCTACACTGGAAAACCACCTAAATAGAAATAGTTGAGGTAGCTTGGACCAGTATCATTTCAATACTCTTCAGTGATTCCAGTGTGCAAAAGACATGAGATTCTAATTTTCAGTTCAACTTCTGATTGTTGTAGGAAAAAGAGCCAGAATAAGAAAATGACCTGCACAAGATCACTAACTTCAGGGAAGAGACTGAAAAAGGATCGCATTCCCTGGTCCTTGCTCAGAAGCTTCCCATTACATCCCACAAACTTCAGCGCACCAATCTTAAAAACTTATTCAAAAAAATGGCAGGAAGCTACAAATCTTATTTGAAGAATTTTTCTGGCAATGGTTTTTGGTGACATTCTTTGAGGCTATTCTTATGTATTGGCCTTTAATATTTTAGATTAACAAGTAAAGGAAAATCCCTATGAACTCCCCTTTCCATTCTGGGAGCCCCGTGATTCTATAACAAAGTTCATATGAAGTTTAATAAGAAAAACTGTTAATGTGTTACAATTAAGCTTGGCCGGCTAGGCACCGAACTCCACAATAGCAACGCAAATCAATTAAAATGGAAAGCAGCTGGTAAGTGAAGTTTTCATTTAGGAAACATGAAAGTGAAAATTTGCCCTTTCGACTTTTGTTTACCCTCATTCCCCAGAGGCAGCATTGCCCTGGGGAAAGAGCACTGGATTGGAGTTGTACTCCTGGATTCTACAACTCACCTTGGCTTTGGTCTTGGCAAGAAACTGCAATTTTGAGTCTCTGTTTTATCATCAGTGAAATAAAGGGGCAGAATGAGATGATTCCTATTCTTTCTACTCAGAACTGCTACAAATGTAAGTAAAATACAATGCAACTTGGGGGAAAGGAATCAATAACTTAAATTATTGGGAAAAAAAAAAGCCAGCAGAGTAATTAATTTAAAAGTGAGCAAAAAAACATAGTGAGAAAGTGAACTTCATTTCTGGTTGAAACACTGCTTGTTACTTATCTAATATCCAATTTCTCTTTCTTCCTTATGATCAAAACTCAGTTATGCTTCGGAGAGTCATGGACCAAGCTAAAAACTACATTTCTCAAACTATCTTGCAACTAAGATGGAACATGTAACACAATTCTGACCAATGAGACATAAGCAGAAATTTGCTGAAATTTTATGGAGAAGTTTTGTTTTCTTAATTTAGATGCTACATCCTCCTCCCCCTTTTGGCTTCTTAATTCTTCTTCTAGCATGGAGCACATTTATAAATTTCCAATCCATGGCATCTTCAAATGCTTTCAAGTAGCTATTATCTACTAATGCCTATAAACCTAGAACATGTACAACAAAATTGTTACTGGCAAGACCGTTGTGATTTTGCTCTAGGGATGATCCATCAAACTCTACAAGCCAACTAAGTCACCACTAATCGCTAGCTCAATAATTCATCGAATGACAAATGTGTTAAATTACTGATTTGCTTTTAAGAAGTTTCTATTAACCAACCAAAATTTATAACAGTTTTAGTTCAAAGATGGTTAATGTAGGCCAGGCGCGGTGGCTCATGCCTGTAATCCTAGCACTTTGGGATGCCAAGGCAGGTGGATCACCTGAGGCCGGCAGTTCAAGACCAGCCTGGCCAACATGGCAAAACCCTGTCTCTACTAAAAATACAAAAATTAGCCAGGCTTGGTGGCGGGTGCCTGTAATCCCAGCTACTAGGGAGGCTGAGGCGGGAGAGTCACTTGAACCTGGGAGGCAGAGGCTGCAGTGAGCTGAGATCGTGTCACTGCACTCCAGCCTGGCTGACACAGTGAGACTCCATCTCACAAACAAACAAACAAAAAACAAAGATGGTTAATGTGAAGTATAATTTTAGATTACAATTTCTTATATATTTTGAATTCAGCTGTCATGGAGGTCACACATGTTAAATGTTTTATTTAGGGTACCTTTTTTTCACTGAGTATATTTTCAATCCAGTTTCTACTTCGTTGATTTACTAACTTGCTTTTATGATTGAGAGAAAATGGGTGGAACTTGAGTAGTGCACCAAGATTGGGAATATTTCACTCATTTATCTGCACATAATACACACCCACCAAATCAGTACATACACACATATCTTACACAAACGCATACACACTCAAGCCAATGTGTCCACAGACCTGACTTGCTTAGTGAGGCTGGCATATAATAAACCATGCAAAAGTAACTCAGTTTTTTAAAATGACACACAAATCATACGATACCAATGGAAATAGTGATAGAGATGCAACACATTAGTAAATAGTATTCTGTCTTGATAAGTGGAGGTCATTTGCAATGAGAAACATGGTGCCATTTTACTCCGTATCATGAATGATTTGCAAAGACTATCCAAGAATAAAGAACAGCCTCTGTCTCTGCAAGGACATGGGCATATATGTGTCTGAGTGCTGCACGTTCAGTATGATGAGTGTGTGAAGTCACTTGTGAAAAATCATTTCCAAGCACAAAATCCTGGTGAACACAACTGCCTGCTTTCTCCTCAACTCAAAAAAGCAAATCTATGTTCTGAGAAAAGTAGGAAAGGCAGAAGACTGGATTTCAAATGTGCTTGGAGAGAGAGTCCACCCATTCATTTATAAAATCCTTGACATTCACGCTATACATTAAAATGAAATTCAACATTTATAAAATGTTATGCAAAAAAATGCACAGAACATTGGGCTAGTCTCAGTAAAACATGAATAGTTGCCATAAACTTTCTAAGTGGTTAATAAAAAAGATTTTTTTTGTGGACTAAGTATTCTGCGAATAGGCCCTTCAGTAAATTGTTATATTGGCCATTTGTTATAATATAATTGGGGTTGGGACAATTAGTCATTCCAAGGTAGACAAGTTAACTATCCAGCAAACTGGTCTATGACTTATCGTCAGTGAAGTAACCTAGGGCGTCCAGTATCTTGCAGCTAGCATTATTAACAGGTTATTTTTAAGCATTATAGACATTTTAAATTATTAAGTATGGCACTATTTTTAAAATTATTGTTCATTCATGAAAACAAAGCCATTATTTTATATATCTGGTGCTGAGCCTTTTAGCTAATTAAGATTACCTCATGGTCTTAATATCAGTTTAGCAATTCTCCTAAGTTACATTAAAAAATACTCAACTAAAAATAAGTTATCTCCTTCATTGCTCAGATCCTATAGTTGATCTTCTCTGTGTTACACACCATTCTTGTCCCACATAACCTACATTAGAGCTGTGACTTCACTTTAAGAGGAGGCATTTAATAACAATACAAAGATTTCTGTTTGTAGCTGTAATTGTTTTAAGTTCACATTTAATGTAGCATCGTCATCAAGTACATTTATTTAAATATGATCTTTGAAAGGTGAGACACATGTATTTATTTTGGAGAGGTCATGGAGATTGCAGTCTCTTTCTACACATACCAACACTGTGTTCTGCCTTCACTGTGTGTGTATATGTGTGCATGGGAGAGTGCAATGGTAAAGTAACATTATGGTTGATTCCAAACTGAAAACGAATGTCCCAATGTTCGAAAACAAAATCCATCACACTTCCTGTATTATGCCGTTAGCACCCTCCCTAGATGTAGCAGCTCAGGCGTTTCTGTTTAAACATTTTATACCCACTACCTTCTGGCTACGCCATTATGTAAATGTCAAGGAGGAGATTACAAATCATCAGTCATCTCTCCCTTTATCCTCCAGTACTTCAACTTCTGCATGGTTCTCCCTACTTTCAGTGTTAATCCTTTATCGTCCTCAGGCCTCATCTTTCTAAACTTAAAATTCTAATTTGTCACTGCCCTACATAACAACCTCTAATGAATCCCCCTCTCATATAGTATAGAGGGCAGACTCCTTAAAATGGCAAACTAAGGCATGCCTAACGCTGGGCTTCATACCCTCTGACACCACCCGTTGACATTACACGGACCTTCTTACGTCCGCACCTGCTGGCTGCTGTCCTAGTGCCTTTGCCCAGCTGGGTCCCTGTCCCTGAGGTGGCCATTCCCATTTCTGCAGGGTGCCTCATCATTCTTTGGAGGTTGTTTAAGCAAGTCACCTCCCCAGCAGAACTTCCCAAAGCAGAATTTGGCACTCTCACAGTATGTACTTATGTGATGGCAAAAAGAGGACCTGTATTGGAATCCCAGCCACACAAAGCATAAGACCGTATGTGTCTCACTTAACTTTATCTAGGTGGCTAGGTGTGCTCTTTAAAATGAGAATAATAATAGTGCTTAATGCATAGTTATAAAAAGTAAATGATAACACCTTCAAATACATGTTTTTCCCCAGATATTAGACTGAATCAATCACCATCTCAACAATATCTAACCCAGATCCTAGCACCTGTGGCTTCCAGATTAAGATATCTAGTATCTAAAGAATCTTAGATGAGAAACTATTTTTTGATAATTTTTTTTAAGTTTTAATTTTGGATTCAGGGAGTATATGTGCAGATTTGTTACCTGGGTATATTGTGTGATGCCGAGGGTTGTGAATGATCCCATCACCCGGGTACTGAGCATAGTACCCAACAGTTAGTTTTTTTTAACCCTTGTTCACCTCCCTCCCTCCCCACTCTAGTAGTCCCCAAATAAACTGTTTTTAAGACACCATTATAAGCTCTGTTCTGCTGGGCACAAGACTTATATAGTCGTTATCATGGCCATTGTTACCGCTGGGTTTTGCAGGCTGCACAATTCATGACAAACCATGCAGATGTTCCCTCAGAGGTCACAAGAAAGCCTGCAATGCTTACACACTATAGTTTGACCACACCCAGGTAGACCTAGACATAGCCACTGTGGGGCTCTGGAATGTACACATGAGTAGCTAGTGGTAAAGGTTTTAAGCTCCCTGCCCCATGCAGGTGGTGCACACACCACAGATCCTTGCTAGAGTCTCCTTAGTGAAAGGAGTATGATTCTTACACACACTGTGTCTTTTGCTTTTTCTAAAGCTTCCACGGAACTTGGCCAAAACTCTATTAGGTCAGATGCAAACTCAGCTTTTATAATTAGCCTACCCAAAGCCTCTGTTGTATGTGGCTCCTGTTTATTCTTGTTTAAGTTTTAAATTATGCTTCACTCAGTATTGAGTACAGAGTGTCCTGTAAATGCTAACTAACATTAATATTGTTCTAGATTATAAGCTCCTTGGAAGTAGAAACTATGTCTTTTTCCATCTTTTTTTTTCAATACAGTGTTTTACACAATATTTGGTACCCAGAAAGACCTCAATTAACATTACTTGAGTGAAATTAGCAATTATATAGTAACTTGTAATACATAAAGAACTTGTACATTCGTCCTCTTAGTTATTTTCACAATTATGCTGTGACTGAGAATTCATCTTATTGTCTACTAGAGACCTGAGATGTAGGGAAGGAATATGGCTTGCCAAGGCTACGGGATTAATGACAGAGCCATAACTCAAACCCATGTGTTGTTTTGCTCTGTTTTTCCTTTGTTGTTGTTTTGGATTTAAACTGGTCTTTTCACTACTCAATCATGTGTTTAATTTGCTAGCTAATTTTGACATTGCAATGTTGCTCATGGGTAGGTACTGTCCAAAGAGAGCCTTCTGCTTTTCCTCTCTCACAGGCAACTCTACTGGAATTTACTACCCTCAGAAAATCCTACACAGCCATAATCCAGAGTTATAACTAATTCATAAACTGTACTAGAAAGCAAGCAAAAGGAAACATAGAAGCCATTGTCTGCAAAAAGAAATAGTCTGAAATCACTTCTCTCAAGTCCATTGCCAGTAATCTCAGCTGAATTTCTGGAGGAACATATGTAATTGGATAGATAGTTTCCAAGAACATTCAAAGTTGTAACACTCCCAGCATTTAATATATAGGAGTATGTGATTCTTTCAGTAAATCCTGACAGTATTAAAGTTTCAGATGATGAATTGATACAATGAAAACATCTCTGAATGCCCCTTGTCATTTTTACTACTTACCCACTCAAAGAAGTTCCAGTCAAGTTATTATTTTGCAGTTAAAATATCCTCAGATACTAAAGGTTCTAAAAACCCATGCCTCATCCTGAAGAACATTCTCATAATTTAGACACAGCTCTTTATTAAATGTATAAAGGTGCAAAATTTATAAAGCTCATAAAAGCCTTCCCTGCTCCCTGTGTGTCTGACTTGCCACAGCCCTCTTCATACTACGTGCCACATCGATGCTGTTTTGCATAGTGGAACCATGTAAAAGGCAATCCAGATGGTTTAAATACTTGTAAAACCTCATTAAAAAGAGGGAAATGAATCTCCCCATGTATCTAACTGGTGACCTTCTAAGAAGTAAAGTAAAGGCAGCCAGCTAGCTCCCTTCACGCTTACGTATAGCTCGGAAGGGGAGTGAAGTTGGGACCACAGCACAGAATGAAAAAGATTGTTGGTGGTTGTTTCTTCAGGTGATGACTTTTTTCCTCCCTATTAGCGTCTTGACAGAATATGGATTAGAGATCAATGAGAGGCATGGCTATAAGGTCAAGTCAAAAGTGCCGATGAAGGAACAGACCACTTGATAAGAAATTATGTGACTGTCTTTAGAAGTGGACGTGAAAGGCGGTTACCCCTCAAACTATTCCTCCTGAAAGACACACTCCAAGGGCCCTAGATGAACCTTCCTTTACTCTTTTAGGGAGAGAACTGCTGTTGCTATATAGGTCCTAGATAATTTATTTAGTGAGATAGTGTATGTGAAATCATTTTATTATTTTAAATAAGGTTTTTATGTTTTCAGGTGCAGAGGGCTGTAAAAGTTCTTTGTAAATAATAAACTATTATATGAATTAAGAATAATTATTACTATAATAAGAAGAGTGTTTCTGCTCCCCAGTTTCCCACTGTTCCCTGCAGATGGGAAAATATATCTTTACAGTTTTCCCTTCCACCTCACTGAGACTAGTGAAGAAGCCCACACTGAGAATTTGAGCTGGTGCAAGTACAAGGTAAAACTATAAATCGAAAGGATGCTCCTGGTCTTGGCATAGCTAATTAAGAGTTATTGGAGATCAATGAGAGCTGTTTTGAATGACATTATTAAGAACCCCATGTCATATGTTTAAGTGGGTCCCTTGTCATAGACCAATGCATGTGAGGAAAAGGGAAAAGGAGAGAAAAGACATGAAAAGTGCTTCATAATTTAAATAGTACCACCCTTGGGAGCAAGACTAATCCTTGTAGATTAACAAACTTTAGGAAAGTATTTATCTTACATTTATTTGGACTGCACTGTCTCTGATAATTATTATCTGTCCTGAGAATAGTGTGTGCACATGTTGTGGGTTCAGTCCAAGGTTTATCCACATGAGACCAGAAGGCCCCAGGAAGAATGAGGGTGTGTGTATTTACTTCATACTGGTAGAGACACATGAAAATGACCAGTCTTGGGGTACAAACACCTACCCTGAGCTGTTCTACAGAAGTTCCATATGGTATTGATCTTGATAAAGCATCTTGGGCTTTGGGAAATAGGTTCTGTTGTATATAGATGGGATGGCTGCCTGCTGAGGTGGATGGAAGAGGATGGATCCAGACAGAGACCAATCCCTGTAGATGTACAGGGAGTTTCCCTGGTGAGGTATGAAACCCACACTGTGAAGGATAAAGATAGTGAATATTTCTCTGAAATATTTTTCTAAAACAAGACGCCTGTACATATTTTCCTTCCTTTGTTGCTGAAAACAATCTATTTAGTATCTAACATTAAGGGTCTTATTCTCAATGTTGAAATACCATTAATTATCCCCAAAGTAAATAGTCTTTGATAGCATAGCACATGTGTATTAGTAGAGTTATATAGAGTTAAGAGCCAGGCAGTAAGGGAAAGGGGTCTTCTACATAAAATGTCTCTCAAAGTCAATACGGTAGCACCAATATCTACCGGAAAGAAAAGAGTGGTCCAAAGTTCTAGGTATCGGGCATGAGAAAGTGAATAAAGGCTCAAAGCAACAAGAGCAAGGGTGGATTTATATTTCTACAAAGCAGCAGCTGCCTCAGGGACAACTCCTGAGCAGACACGGAGGCAAATTTCCCTTCTCACAAATACTCTAGAGGAAGTTTTTCCTTTTTTCCATTATTATTAGTTATTATGATTCTGCTTATCATTAAATTATTCTATAAATATTTATGCAATTGAATAAACGGAATAATTTATTTACTCTACCAATATTTACTGAGTGCTGAGTCTCAGGATATACAATACTTGCCCCCAAACATATACGCATATATATTCCCATATGCACACATATTCCCATACCTGCCCATATAGAAGTATGTTTGCACATACCGATACATGTACACATGTATGCAGAGTCACCCAATGTACACACACACATCGATACAGGAGGATACACACTCCACAGACTTGGAAGATCAGACACAAGCTACAGTGTTGATGACTTAAGATCCCAGAAGTTTGCCCAGGTAGCCCTGGCAAAGGCAGACCCTCTTGGCTTCATGGATGCTGACTCCTCCCAGTTATGTGCTCTAGCTCCGAGCACACCTGCAAAGCAACAGCCCTACTTTCTTTCCTTTCCTGATAGCACCAGGGACCTCCTAAGGGGAGTTTTGAGCCAGAATCTTTTACTTCGAAGGGACAGGAACAATTTTTCAGGTACCTGGGTCTTGGGCTAAAGATTGCTAGGTCAGTTTCAGTCCCCGTGAAATTTCAGCTACTTCTTCTGCCTTATGCTTTCACTGTATCCCACGTTGTCAGTTACTTGGCTGGCTGTTGGGGCACAGAGAGGGAGCATTCCTCTGAGGGTTGTTAAGGCACAAGAAAAACCAAAAAGAAATAAAATTGCATGGATAAAGAATGATAAATATAAAAGCAGATAAAGACTCAAATGGAAGAGAGAAAGGAAGCCCTAAATAGTAGATGAAGAATAAAATCAGTTGTCAAGGGACATGATGGAGTGGAGACAAGGATTAGAACATTGAGCAAGTCAAATCCAAAGATTAGGAATCTCAGCTGGTAAATGTTGAAAAAGCAGTAGGAGAGTTTGTTCCTTGCATTCACAACCTGGTGTGTCTTGCCAAGCAGCTTATTGAAAACTCCAATCAGCAGACCCAGCTAAATAGAATAAAAGGTTATTTTAAATTGTACATTTCAAACACAAATTTAAAGGTAAGCATTAGAATCAAAATATACATATGTAGCCAACAGGTTTCATGTTCTCATATGTGTATATATTGAACATCTAGCAGAGCAGATTGGATATCTGGCTGAAATATTTTGTTTTTCCTTGAGTTTTGGGGCCACACAGGTCTAGACTGTGTATGTACTTGTGCACTGAGAAAACCTGGTAAATGGTAAACCAGAACAATCAATGAGAAATAAAAGGGATGGGGTTTCTAAAAGTGAACAAATGACAAAAATCGAGGCATTCTTTTGCAACACACAAAAATGAATATATTACATTTCCATGTCCTTTTTTGGTATTTTTTTTTCTGTTTTAGGGAACAGAAACACTTTATCTTAGACACTTTTATAAGTGCAGGCTAATTGTTTCCAGCTCAGCTTCCCTATATTTGGAGGATTTTCACAATGACAAAACCATTCTCTATTTTTCAGACTCTTTCTTTTCTTATATAATGAAAATGTTGGTGATCTGCTGACATGTATAATCAATGAGGTTATAAATATGATAGTAAGAAAAGAAATTGTTTTGTTACCTTCAAAATAGTCTGTACTCATTATTACATAATTAGCAAATAAAATAATATCTGTATTTAACATTAATAAGGAATAAATATGAGCATTTTGAAATTAGCTATCAATATGCTTAGTTTAAGTTCTTTTTTAAAATTTAACCTGTTTAGAACCTTGTAATACTTACTACCCATTACCAGAGATAGTTGAGTACAATTTGACTCAGCCAATAAAGTTATTTAAGACTACTGACTAATTGCAAAAAATGTTGAAGATGATATAACAATTTATAAATATTTTTTATATTAATAGGATACCACACCAGGATTTATTCCCCGCTCTTTACTTCAAAATACTTCACAGAGTGTAGTCCTATAGAAGCCAAGGGAAAAAATATTCCAAGGATGTATTGGTTTACAAAACCAAATACCATAGAATGCAAGTCGGATAACTTCTGACAAACTCTCCATGATCTGGGAAATAGGAGATCCTTGGCATTCCTTTCTGCAAGACATGTTGAAGGAATGAAGAGAGCAAGATCTAGGTTACTTAAGGTTAAGGACTAAGAGCTGGGTAGGTAGAAGCTGAGAGTAAATAAAGAGAAAATCTCCTTCTGGCTGTACCAGTTAGCAAAGGCTAGGTGACACTATGAGAACAAACAACCCCTAAGCATCAGTGGCTTCATGTAGATTTGTTTCTCACCTACGCTACATGTCCACCACAGGTCGGATGGAAAGTCTCGTAATCAAACACAGGTAGCTGAGCCCACAGAGTCTCCATCTCAACACACTCATTCACAATCTCCATGGTAGGGACAAAGAAGATGGGGCAAAAACACAGCAATTTAAAGCTTCAACCTGGGAAAGACACCACTGCTTCTCCCACGTCAAAATAAGAATGTCCTACCCTTTGCATTTTGTGCCTGCTCTAGAGTTATTACCCCTGGAGGTCATAAGTGTATAGATGTGTATTCACATGAGTTTCCATCACTAGGTTATGCTGCCTTGAGGGTAAGAAGTCTGCTAATCAACTTTTTATCATTCCAGTGCCTACCAAGATGTCTGTCCAATTGCATACATCTAGGTTTATTTTAATGCAAAGTTGCTGGGTCTCTTTCTTTTTTACTTCTCAAGTAATTTCACACAGATTAGGGGCCCAGCTACAGAGCTGACAGATGGCATTGTGTATAATCAGCAGACATCACAGAATTTGGAATGTCGGAGAGAATTGTCTTTATGCAATCAACGGACTGAGACAAGGCCTTGATGGATATAATCCTGACAGTTGCTTACCCAGAGGGTCCCATCCCATCTTTAAATCCACCCCCACTCCTATCCCTACTCCTGACTCCCAGGAGTCTTGGTTTACTGCCCTGGAGAAAACCAATCTATGAATCAGAGAATGTCAGCTCTGGCAGGGATCTCAAAATGTCCCGAATCCTTATATTTCTAAGGAACTTAGAGTTCAACGAAGGTGATCTGTCACTGGAATCAAATGAGATCAACCTAAGGGAAATCCCACTACATGTCAAGCAATAAATTACCTATTCTACGCACATTATCACATTCTCTTCTATAAACAAACCCATGAGGTATGTTCCCAGCTCTTGCTGGGGAAAAATAAAAGCTCCAAAATTGAATTTTCTCCATTATAAGATTTCCTCACACAACTTTTCTTAAACTTTTAGCTCATACTACAGCTAGTCTGCTGGCAAGTAATAAATTAAATAAAAATTTCGTAGCTTTATATCATACCTGTTATCAAGTGTCTCTACTCTCTCTACTCGGCCGGGCAGGCTCACCCTTTATGCTGTATATGCTAGGTAAACCTAGGTGATTTTTATCAGACTTATACATGATTTCTTTAAAATATGTGGCATTCTCATTTGAGATTCAGAAAGGTGAGTAACTGTTGAAATAAGTGTAGAAAATAAGACTTTTTTCTAGAAAAAAAAATGTTTTCTGTTGGTATACAGGAATTAAATAATTTCATCGCATTTGGGACAAAGCACCCAAATTTCCTGTTGCTGCACTACATAAACAAATTTGGGAACCCTGCTCCACTCCAAGCCCTTTATTTATAGATGAGGAAAGCAATACTTAGAGAAAATAAGGGACTTACCCTAAGCTATAAAATAATTTAGTGGCAGAGACAAGACTAGAACTCATTCAACTCATTCCCTTAGATCCACGTTTAGTGCTCTTCACTCCCACAACACAGAAATAGCACACCTGTGCTTAGGGCCTGGAATCCGGGTTCTCTTAGTTAGTGACTATTGTTAGTGTGCAGTAAGAATTTATCTGAATTTGAATTCTGAAAAGGCCATCGGGAGGGGGAAATGCTTCAATAGAACAATTTCTTTCTAAATACACACTTAGGGTTCACAAGGAGAAATAAAAAAAGAAAAATAAATGCCCAAGTGGCAGGGAATTCCCATTAGTGCCTAGCAGGAATGTACACCAGACAAATCCATACATTTTGTTGTCACTGTTATGATGTGTGTCTGTGGGCCAAATTCAAGAGCCATCATCATCAACAGGTATGGGTGCAGCACTTACTCCACAAGACACCTACCACCTGCACCAGGAACTACAAATATAAGTAGTTGGGATCAGGGACAAGGAGGTAGAGTTATGTGCCACTCTAAGAAAAAGACAAATTTTCAAGTCTTTTCCAGTTCATCCAAATCCCTGGAATTGATGAGCCAGACAACTCACCACCCACCACTGAGAGTGACATGTGAATGAACTAAAAGTTCTAGGGAAAAAATGGAAACAATTTCTAAGTCTTGAGATCAAATCCCAGCTGCATTTTTCAGATGTGTAGCCTAGGGAATTAGTTGAACTCTGAATTTCAATTCTTTATCTGTAATTTGGAGATTATGAGATGTAAATGAGATGGCACAGGTAAGGCATCAGCATGTGGCATGTGTTCAGAGATTAGTCACCTACTAATTGCCTCTACCCCAAAGCCCTCAGGTTCACCTTGCTTGTATACTGTTGCTTTGGGAAAGTCCCATTCTCTAAGTGACACTGTTCCTTTCATCAAAGATGCTTATCTGGATCCCACACAGATGCTTCCCTCCATACTAACTCCTTCCGTCACCATCAAGCCAAACTACAATGCACAAAAACACAACAAGTGAAGGCTGACTCAGCAACTCACAATGCCCTTTCCTGGGTGCAAAAGCTAAAGCAAAAAAAGTCTGTTAGAAACCCTTTATTTTTCGAAACCCAGAAACCTCACCACTGAAGCTAACTGAAAAGGCTGATGAGAAATCAATAGCATTTGATTGTAAACCTGTCAAAATGATACTGATGGTAGTACATTATTGGCGGCTCTCAGGGATTGATTTCTGCCCCCTTCCTTTCTCCATCATCGCACATCACCTTCATACTAACAACAGATTCCTTTTTTCTAAATTAATCTCCAGGCCAGAAAAATCAATAGTATTTACCATGTGTAAATTTTTCTACCCTCCAGAGTCCACAGTTCCCACTACTTAAAACTCGAAGAGAGGTGCCAGTTACAGAGCATGCTATAAGGAGGGATTTTTGATGGTCAAAATGTGCACCGACGCTCCTCAGAGCAAGGGCTGGGCCGGTGCTAGCAAATAATAGAGAGGAAGAAAGAAACTCCAAGGTCCCCATGTATGTTTATTTATTTTTATTAATATTATTTGAGATGGAGTCTCCCTCTGTCTCCCAGACTGGAATGCAGTGGTGCGATCTCAGCTCACTGAAACCTCCACCTTCTGGGTTCAAGTGATTCTCCTGCCTCAGCCTTCCAAGTAGCTGGGATTACAGGTGCCCACCACCATGCCCGGCTAATTTTTGTATTTTTAGTAGAGATGGGTTTTCACCGTGTTGACCAGACTGGTCTCAAACCCCTGACCTCAAGTGATCTGCCCACCTCAGCCTCCCAAAGTGCTAGGATTACAGGCCTGAGCCACCGCGCCTGGCCCCCATGTATGTTTAAATGATGGAAATAAGGTTTTTATGTAAAGAGAGATTTTGGAGAGACAAAAGATGCCAGGCATCCAAAGTCTAGTTGCATTTCATAACAGAAAAAAATTAGACATAGGTGAGCTTTTCTCCTCCTCAAAAATTTTAGGATTAGGCCAGATATTAGATCTAGAAAAGAAATGAGAGGGTATCTAATTCTTTGAGTTCCATCTTTGGGTTCTGATTTGAAAATGATCATGTTTGTCCTAATTATTGCATCCTTTTTAAATGCAATATTTTAATTACTTTTTAATTTTAAATGACACTAAAGAAAAATGTGGGGTTTTTTTTAAGAAGTAAAAGGGGCATAATTTTAAAGCATTTGAAAAACACTGATCTAGTTCAGCTCCCTTAATCTAACAGTGGGGAAGTTGAGCCCAGCAAGAAGTGAGTCTGGAAGCTCACTCACGGCAAATGACAATTATTTTATGAAAATACCAGTAATAATTATAATAATGGATTTATTTTATTGAATATTTACTCCTATGACCAGTTTGGATAGGCACTTTACATAAGTATTTTCAATTCTCAGAGCAATCCCATATGGTAGGGCTACTATTATAACCCTTTTAAAGCTGGAGAAACTGGGCTCAGAAATGTTAGGAAATTTATCCAAGATCACACAGTGAACAGTCGGGGGATCTGGGATTGAAACCTCGTCTGTTTAGTTCTGAATCACCTTTTGTGTTTCAAAAACCATGCTGACTTTGCAGATACTTATAGGAACCTAGATACTTACAGGAAGTTATAGGAACCCAAAAACTTCACCTTCTGAATAATTAGTGTTCTGTGCTCAGGACTGAGGATTACCTAAAGATGGTCTTACTGTGAAACAAGGCATGAATACACAAGGAGGTGAGTAATAGCAATATGGCACAAATACTTAGTGACTCAGTGAGTGAGGAATTAGGGTACTAGGAGTAACAGAGGAATTAGTAGGAGCAACAGAAAAGGCTTTAGGAAAGATTGGATAGTTTTTGACAGGAGGAAAGAAAGGGATATTATTTCAAACTGAAGTGGTTAATCCAAACCATAGAAATAGGAAAACATAAGATATGGTGGGTGACTGTAAGTAAATCCTGGAACCATGGGGTTCATGTACCAGACCAGAAGAAATGAGATTGGAAGAAGAGGAAGAGATTGCATTGGGAAGGAAGCCAACTGCTGGGCCAAGAGAACTTAGATTTTGTTGGGGGAGAGTGTGGAACACAGGATGCAGGGAAGTTCCCCAAACAGTTATTTGAATGGCCTCAATATCACCCTACAAGGACCTGGACTCAGATGTTTAAAAAAGAAGGACAAATGAGAGACACATTGTGGAAAAAAAAAAAGAAAAGAAAATAACATGAATAAGTTCAGGAAACAATAGGGATTGGGGGACAAAGAAAAGGCATTGGTTATAGATGGTTCACATTGATGCTCATGGAATGGAGATTGTTGTAGCATCATTAGGAAAATAACAGTAATGTTATGAAGTAGATGAACACCCCTAATTTGTACAGTGCTTTTTATTTACAAGTTTCTTTTGCATATGTCTCTCAGAATGTCTCTGAAAGATTAGCAAGTTAGATATTATTCTCACCACTCTACAAATGAGCCCTCAGAAGCCAAGATCAAATGACTAATCCAAGACGCTTTGATCTTTGATTTGGAGTCCAAAATCTCTTGCAGAGTTCAGGTAATCAATGCAGTGAAAAGTATGAAGGATCAGCAGAACACCAATATCCAGGAGCTGAAGATGAAACAGAAAAGAGTGGGTAGGCATCTTCCAGACAGAGGCACTGATGTCCATGACAAGATCACATGTCTCATATTAGGAATTATCATTTTGGTTCATTGAACTGTGTCTCCCTCCCATGACTAACACAGTGACCTCCTAACAGGTATCTTTGTTGCAGCGCTTGGCCCCTTCAGCATAGTCTCAATGTAGTTGTCAGAATAAACCTGCTGAAATACAATAGCTCACATCAGTCCTCTGCACCGTTTGAGTGGAGTGCAAAGCCCAAGGTCAGCAGGCCCCAGGGACAGGCTCTGGCACCTTGCTGACCTCATTTCCTTAGCTCCTCACTATGTTCCCTCCACCCTGCAAACTGGCTCCTGGCTGTGACTCAAACCCACCAGGCTGGCTCCCACCCCAGTGCCTTTGTGCCTGCTATCCGCTCTGCCTACAACAGCTTTCCCAGACCAGATGTTCACTCCTTTAGTTCTCACCTTATCAGCGCTTCCTGGCTCCTCTATTTAAAATAACACCCCTGCCACCCTTCTCAGCTTTAGTGTTCTCCACAAAACTTGCCTCCACCTCACATACTATATATTTGTTTGTTGTCTCACTCCCAATTCTGGGCTGTGACCTGAGGAAAGCAGATTTTTGTCTTTTTTGTTCACTGCTATACCCCAGTGTCTGCAAGAGTTTATTGTATACAGTAGGATATTTTAAAAGATTTTTCAGATGACTGAATGAGTGAATTCTATAGTATCGTGAAGTTTTCTTGTTTGTTATTACATATATAACTCTCACATGACCCAAAGGGCCCATTTCTTTGTCAATATGTCACTGGCTGTCACTAATGACCAGCCAGGTGCTAGTCCCTGGGACCCCCGATCTTAACCCATTTCAGTCTCCTCTTTTTTCTGCTCCACATGTGGAGAGCAGAACTGAAAGAAAGGCAACTTCCAGTTTTTTCATACTCAGACTAGTGGTGTTAACACAAGCATTTAACCTCCCCAAACATCAGACACTTTGCAGTAAAATGGGGATAATAGTAGCTTCCTCCTGGGCTTGAAAATTGATTAGAGTTCATGGTTAGATGTGATATGAAAAATGATTTTTGAAATTAGTGTAACCTATGGGCCTGTACAAATTAAACACATGGAATGTCTTTTAAGCCAAAACTCTTAATCATGTAATTGCTATTTATGCAGCAGAACTTAGCCTGGATTTTGGATTCAGTCTGGAAGTTGATACTCTGCATTCCTGCAGGAAATGAAATTCTGTGAGAGGCGATCATGCTCAGTCCCTTCTAAATTAGGCCTTCATTTGATTTAAAGAGCTAAGACTTTCTAGGATGGCACTGCCAGATGCAAACATAAGCATAAAAGTTCTTTTAAAAGTCAGATGCAAAGATTTGGTAATCGTTCACTCTCCTCAATTATCCAATTAGCCATGTGTTTTGGAAGAATAGCTAGTTGTACCTTCTTCATAAAGCTTGCTTTCATCAAACATTCACCAGGGGATGAACCATTCTGTTTTTGTCTCCCAGAGATCTTCGAAGGACAAGTTAGAACCCCACTTTCACCCCAAATAACTTAGGGAACCTTTTTTTGGGGCAGTACATAATTGGTACTAAATCTTTATCATGCTGCACTGTGATAATCTGCTTATGTGTTTTATACATCTGTTTCCTCCAATAGACTTGGAGCTTCTTAAGAATAAAACTTGCATTTTCTTTCTTTGTAAATTTGGTCACAAATTTTTATTTGCATATTTTAGGTGCTTATAAAAAGGAAAGGAGGAAGAGAGAATGAGAGAAAGAGAGGGAGGATGCGAAGGCAGTAAGGGAACTAGAGAGACAATTCTATTTAAAAATTTCAGCCATCTTGGACAGAAAAATTTCATGAAATACTTTTTCTAGCTGGTAATTTGGCATTATCCATGCATACTGGAAAATATGCAATAAACAAAATGAAAAATGTTCTCTGCCATCTCCCTCTTTACTGGGATTGAAATGATGTTGCTAACAGTTAGAAGACGTATTTTAAATTGGAGGCTTCCTTGGTATTCCATGAGATTTCCATCTCTCATTTGAACAGACATCAATAACATTGAAGACTCTGTCTCCGTAGTGCCTTTACAATTTAGCACTTGTAAAAATGAGACTTTCCAGCTCATTAACTTGCTTACGCAAATACAGCCCAGAACCAGTTAATCCTGAAAAGTGACTACTCTGTTTTCATCTTTTAATGACGGTTTTATGCCTGGACTTCAGCCTAAACTAAATAAAGGCTCTTGACAGAGACTACTCATTTCCTACCTGGGCTACTTAAAAAAAAAATCTACAGGAAAAAAAAAAAATCCAATACAGCATGGCAGGTTCTGGTCATTTCTTTTCTGAAAATGGCAGAGGACATCATTATTCAATCCAAAGGCAAGGCTGCAGCAGCCAAGTCAAAGTGGTTCTCGATCAGCATGGGAATAGCAAGGTGCTTTAGATGACATTCCTGAGAGCCATAACCAGACTGGGGCCCCTCATTATATGTCCCTGAGACCTCCCTGAGAGTACTTTTATGAAGCACTCTCATGTTAAGGATCTATGTCTATGAGCTATTGTGACAAAAAAAAAAAAAACTGGCATTAAGTGTGTTTAATATCCCCATCCTTTAAGATGCAGATGTGCAAAAGGCAGAGAATTAATTGACACTGATAGTAACTGAAAGCTTGCTCTTGAAATTCTCCCCCTAAACAACACCCATTCTCTAACTCCTGAAGCATGAAATCCAAAGTCCATCCTCCTTAGCATGATGGTCATAGCCCTAATGATTTTGCTCCAACCCTGTCTGTCTCTTCCTCCTCCCCCGCCACAAGTTCATGGACCCACCATGCCAGGCTGTGTACTGTTACTGAAGCCTGCCTTCCACTAATAAAACTCCACTGACTGGGGTATCCATCATAATGGCCAACCCCTATTTTTACCTTTCAAACCCAGGTTAAAGTTCTTCCATGATCCTGGGCTAACAAGTAAAATCAACCTTTACATCCTCTGTTCTCCCCTAGCACTCCAGATTTCTCTTATAAAACATGCATCTGCTTCCTAAGCTAGGAAGCATTCATTAATTAGAACTTGTTCTTAAAACAATGTTCCCCCCATTAAAAAAATGGGCAAAATACATGATCAGACACTTTTCAAAAGAGGACATACATGTGGCCAACAAGCATATGAGAAAAAGCTCAATATCACTGATCGTTAGAGAAATGCAAATCAAAACCGCAATGAAATACCATCTCACACCAGTCAGAGTGGCTATTATGATAAAGTCAAAAAATAACATGCTGGCAAGGTTGCAGAGAAAAGTGAACACTTATAAACTGTTGGTGGGAGTGCAAATTAGTTCAACCATTGTGGAAAGCAGTGTGGTGATTCCCCAAAGAGCTAAAAACAGAACTACCATTTGACCCAGCAATTCCATTACTGGGTTTATACCCAAAGGAATATAAATCATTCTATCATAAAGACAGATGCACACATATGTTCACTGTAGCACTATTCACAATAGCAAAGACAAGGAATCAACCTAAATGCCCACCAATGTTAGACAAGATAAAGAAAACATGGTACATATACACCATGGAATACTACACAGCCATAAAAAAGAATAAGATCATGTCCTTTGCAGGGACATGGATAGAGCTGGAGGCCATTATCCTTAGCAAGGTAACAGAAGAACAGAAAACCAAATACCACATGTTTTCACTTACAAGTGGGAGCTAAATAAGGAGAATACATGGACACATAGAGGGGAATAATAGACACTGAGGCCTCCTTGAGGGTGGAAGGTGGGAGGAGGGAGAAGATCAGAAAAAATTGCCATTGGGTACAAAGCTAAGTACCCAGATGATGAAAAAATCTGTACAACAAACCCTTGTGAGAAAAGTTTACCTATATAACAAACCTGCACATGTACCCCTGAACCGAAAATAAAAGTCAAAAAATAAAGACAGAGAAAAAATAAAAATAAAACTGGGTTTTCCACATTCAATCTGATAATGAAATGGCAAATTGACTATGAATGAATGAACTAGTCACCCTGTTGTGACTAAACGTACTGGAAAATGTGGTTGACCTAACTATTCAGCCTAGTCAGATTGCTGGAGCCTCTGAACAAAAAGTTCCTCCAAATTCTTTTTTTTATTATTATTATTATTATACTTTAAGTTTTAGGGTACATGTGCACAATGTGCAGGTTAGTTACATAAGTATACATGTGCCATGCTGGTGTGCTGCACCCATTAACTCGTCATTTAGCATTAGGTATATCTCCTAATGCTATCCCTCCCCCCTCCCCCCACCCCGCAACAGTCCCCAGAGTGTGATGTTCCCCTTCCTGTATCCATGTGTTCTCATTGTTCAATTCCCACCTATGAGTGAGAACATGCGGTGTTTGGTTTTTTGTCCTTGCAATAGTTTACTGAGAATGATGATTTCCAATTTCATCCATGTCCCTACAAAGGACATGAACTCATCGTTTTTTATGGCTGCATAGTATTCCATGGTGTATATGTGCCATATTTTCTTAATCCAGTCTATCATTGTTGGACATTTGGGTTGGTTCCAAGTCTTTGCTATTGTGAATAGTGCGGCAATAAACATATGTGTGCATATGTCTTTATAGCAGCATGATTTATAGTCCTTTGGGTATATACCCAGTAATGGGATGGCTGGGTCAAATGGTATTTCTAGTTCTAGATCCCTGAGGAATCGCCACACTGACTTCCACAATGGTTGAACTAGTTTACAGTCCCACCAACAGTGTAAAAGTGTTCCTATTTCTCCACATCCTCTCCAGCACCTGTTGTTTCCTGACTTTTTAATGATTGCCACTCTAACTGGTGTGAGATGGTATCTCATTGTAGTTTTGATTTGCATTTCTCTGATGGCCAGTGATGGTGAGCATTTTTTCATGTGTTTTTTGGCTGCATAAATGTCTTCTTTTGAGAAGTGTCTGTTCATGTCCTTTGCCCACTTTTTGATGGGGTTGTTTTTTTCTTGTAAATTCGTTTGAGTTCATTGTAGACTCTGGATATTAGCCCTTTGTCAGATGAGTAGGTTGTGAAAATGTTCTCCCATTTTGTAGGTTGCCTGTTCACTCTGATGGTAGTTTCTTTTGCTGTGCAGAAGCTCTTTGGTTTAATTAGATCCCATTTGTCAATCTTGGCTTTTGTTGCCACTGCTTTTGGTGTTTTAGACATGAAGTCCTTGCCCATGCCTATGTCCTGAATGGTAATGCCTAGGTTTTCTTCTAGGGTTTTTATGGTTTTAGGTCTAACGTTTAAGTCTTTAATCCATCTTGAATTAATTTTTGTATAAGGTGTAATGAATGGATTCAGTTTCAGCTTTCTACATATGGCTAGCCAGTTTTCCCAGCACCATTTATTAAATAGGGAATCCTTTCCCCATTGCTTGTTTTTTCTCAGCTTTGTCAAAGATCAGATAGTTGTAGATATGCGGCGTTATTTCTGAGGGCTCTGTTCTGTTCCATTGATATATATCTCTGTTTTGGTACCAGTACCATGCTGTTTTGGTTACTGTAGCCTTGTAGTATAGTTTGAAGTCAGGTAGCATGATGCCTCCAGCTTTGTTCTTTTGTCTTAGGATTGACTTGGCGATGCAGGCTCTTTTTTGGTTCCATATGAACTTTAAAGCAGTTTTTTCCAATTCTGTGAAGAAAGTCATTGGTAGCTTGATGGGGATGGCATTGAATCTATAAATTACCTTGGGCAGTAAGGCAATTTTCACGATACTGATTCTTCCTACCCATGAGCATGGAATGTTCTTCCATTTCTTTGTATCCTCTTTTATTTCATTGAGCAGTGGTTTGTAGTTCTCCTTGAAGAGGTCCTTCACGTCCCTTGTAAGGTGGATTCCTAGGTATTTTATTCCCTTTGAAGCAATTGTGAATGGGAGTTCACTCTTGATTTGGCTCTCTGTTTGTCTGTTATTGGTGTATAAGAATGCTTGTGATTTTTGTACATTGATTTTGTATCCTGAGACTTTGCTGAAGGTGCTTATCAGCTTAAGGAGATTTTGGGCTGAGACGATGGGTTTTTCTAGATATACGATCATGTCATCTGCAAACAGGCACAATTTGACTTCCTCTTTTCCTAATTGAATACCCTTTATTTCCTTCTCCTGCCTAATTGCCCTGGCCAGAACTTCCAACACTATGTTGAATAGGAGTGGTGAGAGAGGGCATCCCTGTGTTGTGCCAGTTTTCAAAGGGAATGCTTCCAGTTTTTGCCCATTCAGTATGATATTGGCTGTGGGTTTGTCATAGATAGCTCTTATTATTTTGAGATATGTCCCATCAGTACTTAATTTATTGAGAGTTTTTAGCATGAAGGGCTGTTGAATTTTGTCAAAGGCCTTTTCTGCATCTATTGAGATAATCATGTGGTTTTTGTCTTTGGTTCTGTTTATGTGCTGGATTACATTTATTGATTTGTGTATATTGAACCAGCCTTGCATCCCAGGGATGAAGCCCACTTGATCATGGTGGATAAGCTTTTTGATGTACTGCCGGATTCAGTTTGCCAGTATTTTATTGAGGATTTTTGCATCAATGTTCATCAAGGATATTGGTCTAAAATTCTCTTTTTTTGGTTGTGTCTCTGCCCAGCTTTGGTATCAGGATGATGCTGGCCTCATAAAATGAGTTAGGGAGGATTCCCTCTTTTTCTATTGATTGGAATAGTTTCAGGAGGAATGGTACCAGTTCCTCCTTGTACCTCTGGTAGAATTCGGCTGTGAATCCATCTGGTCCTGGACTCTATTTAGTTGGTAAGCTATTGATTATTGCCTCAATTTCAGAGCCTGTTATTGGTCTATTCAGAGATTCAACTTCTTCAAGGTTTAGTCTTGGGAGGGTGTATGTGTCAAGGAATTTATCCATTTCTTCTAGATTTTCTAGTTTATTTGAGTAGAGGTGTTTGTAGTATTCTCTGATGGTAGTTTGTATTTCTGTGGGATTGGTGGTGATATCCCCTTTATCATTTTTTATTGTGTCTGTTTGATTCTTCTCTCTTTTCTTCTTTATTAGTCTTGCTAGCAGTCTATCAATTTTGTTGATCCTTTCAAAAAACCAGCTCCTGGATTCATTGATTTTTTGAAGGGTTTTTTGTGTCTCTATTTCCTTCAGTTCTGCTCTGATTTTAGTTATTTCTTGCCTTCTGCTAGCTTTTGAATGTGTTTGCTCTTGCTTTTCCAGTTCTTTTAATTGTGATGTTAGGGTGTCAATTTTGGATCTTTCCTGCTTTCTCCTGTGGGTATTTAGTGCTATAAATTTCCCGCTACACACTGCTTTGAATGTGTCCCAGAGATTCTGGTATGTTGTGTCTTTGTTCTCGTTGGTTTCAAAGAACATCTTTATTTCTGCCTTCATTTTGTTATGTACCCAGTAGTCATTCAGGAGCAGGTTGTTCAGTTTGCATGTAGTTGAGCGGTTTTGAGTGAGTTTCTTAATCCTGAGTTCTAGTTTGATTGTACTGTGGTCTGAGAGACAGTTTGTTATAATTTCTGATCTTTTCCATTTGCTGAGGAGAGCTTTACTTCCAACTATGTGGTCAATTTTGGAATAGATGTGGTGTGGTGCTGAAAAAAATGTATATTCTGTTGATTTGGGGAGGAGAGTTCTGTAGATGTCTATTAGGTCCGCTTGGTGCAGAGCTGAGTTCAATTCCTGGGTATCCTTGTTAACTTTCTGTCTCATTGATCTGTCTAATGTTGACAGTGGGGTGTTAAAGTCTCCCATTATTATTGTGTGGGAGTCTAAGCCTCTTTGTAGGTCACTCAGGACTTGCTTTATGAATCTGAGTGCTCCCGTATTGGGTGCATATATATTTAGGATAGTTAGCTCTTCTTGTTGAATTGATCCCTTTACCATTATGTAATGGCCTCTTTGTCTCTTTTGATCTTTGTTGGTTTAAAGTCTGTTTTATCAGAGACTAGGATTGCAACCCCTGCTTTTTTTTGTTTTCCATTTGCTTGGTAGATCTTCCTCCATCCTTTTATTTTGAGCCTACATGTGTCTCTGCACATGAGATGGGTTTCCTGAATACAGCACACTGATGGGTCTTGACTCTTTATCCAATTTGCCAGTCTGTGTCTTTTAATTGGAGCATTTAGTCCATTTACATTTAAAGTTAATATTGTTATGTGTGAATTTGATCCTGTCATTATGATGTTAGCTGCTTATTTTGCTCGTTAGTTGATGCAGTTTCTTCCTAGCCTCGATGGTCTTTACAATTTGGCATGATTTTGCAGTGGCTGGTACCGGCTCTTCCTTTCCATGTTTAGTGCTTCCTTCAGGAGCTCTTTTAGGGCAGGCCTGATGGTGACATAATCTCTCAGCATTTGCTTGCCTGTAAAGTATTTTACTTCTCCTTCACTTATGAAGCTTAGTTTGGCTGGATATGAAATTCTGGGTTGAAAATTCTTTTCTTTATGAATGTTGGATATTGGCCCCCACTCTCTTCTGGCTTGTAGAGTTTCTGCCAAGAGATCCGCTGTTAGTCTGATGGGCTTCCCTTTGTGGGTAACCCGACCTTTCTCTCTGGCTGCCCTTAATATTTTTTCCTTCATTTCAACTTTGGTGAATCTGACAATTATGTGTCTTGGAGTTGCTGTTCTCAAGGAGTATCTTTGTGGCATTCTCTGTATTTCCTGAATCTGAATGTTGGCCTGCCTTGCTAGATTGGGGAAGTTCTCCTGGATAACATCCTGCAGAGTGTTTTCCAACTTGGTTCCATTCTCCCTGTCACTTTCAGGTACACCAATCAGACATAGATTTGGTCTTTTCACATAGTCCCATATTTCTTGGAGGCTTTGTTCATTTCTTTTTATTCTTTTTTCTCTAAACTTCCCTTCTCACTTCATTTCATTCATTTCATCTTCCATCACTGATACCCTTTCTTCCAGTTGATCGCATCGGCTCCTGAGGCTCTTGCATTCTTCACGTAGTTCTCGAGGCTTGGCTTTCAGCTCCATCAGCTCCTTTAAGCACTTCTCTGTATTGGTTATTCTAGTTATACATTCGTCTAAATTTTTTTCAAAGTTTTTACCTTCTTTGCCTTTGGTTTGAATTTCCCCCTGTAGCCGGAGTAGTTTGATTGTCTGAAGCCTTCTTCTCTCAACTCGTCAAAGTCATTCTCCATCCAGCTTTGTTCCGTTGCTGGTGAGGAACTGCATTCCTTTGGAGGAGGAGAGGCGCTCTGCTTTTTAGAGTTTCCAGTTTTTCTGCTCTGTTTTTTCCCCATCTTTGTGGTTTTATCTACTTTTGGTCTTTGATGATGGTGATGTACAGATGGGTTTTTGGTGTGGATGTCCTTTCTGTTTGTTAGTTTTCCTTCTAACAGACAGGACCCTCAGCTGCAGGTCTGTTGGAGTTTGCTAGAGGTCCACTCCAGACCCTGTTTGCCTGGCCACAGAACAGCGGTGGCCACAGAACAGCAGAATTTCATGAACCACAAATGCTGCTGTCTGATCGTTCCTCTGGAAGTTTTGTCTCAGAGGAGTACCTGGCCGTGTGAGGTGTGAGGTGTCAGTCTGCCCCTACTGGGGGGTGCCTCCCAGTTAGGCTGCTCGGGGGTCAGGGGTTAGGGACCCACTTGAGGAGGCAGTCTGCCCTTTCTCAGATCTCCAGCTGCATGCTGGGAGAACCACTGCTCTCTTCAAAGCTGTCAGACATGGACATTTAAGTCTGCAGAGGTTACTGCTGTCTTTTTGTTTGTCTGTGCCCTGCCCCCAGAGGTGGAGCCTACAGAGGCAGGCAGGCGTCCTTGAGCTGTGGTGGGCTCCACCCAGTTGGAGCTTCCTGGCTGCTTTGTTTACCTAAGCAAGGCTGGGCAATGGCGGGCGCCCCTCCCCCAGCCTCGCTGCCGCCTTGCAGTTTGATCTCAGACTGCTGTGCTAGCAATGAATGAGGCTCCGTGGGCATAGGACCCTCTGAGCCATGTGCGGGATATAATCTCCTGGTGTGCCGTTTTTTAAGCCTGTAGGAAAAGCGCAGTACTGGGGTGGGAGTGACCCGATTTTCCAGGTGCCGTCTGTCACCCCTTTCTTTGACTAGGAAAGGGAACTCCCCGACCCCTTGCGCTTCCCAAGTGAGGCAATGCCTCACCCTGCTTCGGCTGGCACATGGTGTGCTGCACCCACTGTCCTGCGCCCACTGTCTGGCACTCCCTAGTGAGATGAACCCGGTACCTCAGATGGAAATGCAGAAATCACCTGTCTTCTGCGTCGCTCATGCTGGGAGCTGTAGACCGGAGCTGTTCCTATTTGGCCATATTGGCTGCCAAGTTCCTCCAAATTCTAAAACTCTGATATTTTAGGGGTATTCAGGCCATATATTGATAGAAATGTTTTAATACATTAGAACTCTAAATTTCTGAAAACTATTGGGCCAGTTAATTACCTTGCAATCATTCATACTTAGAGCAAACACATGTAGGCACAGACATCTTACAGTGAAAAGATGAAAATAAAATGATCCTAAAAGTAATTTTGCAAGATTGGAGGGATACCACCTCTCCCTTGGCCTCTGTGCCTTGTACGTGCTTCTATACTGATCCATTTGTTTATGGGGCCATCTCCCCATGACAGACTGAGCACAATTAAGGAAAGTAGAACTGTGTATTCATCTTTGTATCTCCAGTACTGCTGTACACAGCAGATGTTCAGCAAATGTTTAACAAATAAATAAATGAAACCAGAAACTGGACCTAATGCGGGAATTGTAACTTATTTGTAATAAGGGAACAGAAAACAGTCTAAGCTAAAGCTGAGCCATCCTTGGAATGGCAAGAATTACATTTATTGAGCTATTACTATTTGCCAGGCACAGAATATGGATTATTTTACTGAATCCCCCACAACACCACTGAAGAAACCAAATTACACAAAGTAAAGGACTTGAGTCCAAGATTATACAGCCAGGAAGTCACAGAGCCAGGATTCCAACTTAGGGTTCTCTGAGTCAGGAGTACAAATACTTAACAGCTATTTCACACTACCCACTTACTGCTAACTTCTTTGTGATCTTAGACAAATCATTACTTTAAAAATAGTCTCATTTTCCACACTGGTAACATAAGAGGTTTTGTACCAGCTGTTCTCTAGTGTCTCATCCAGTTCTGAGATTCTATAATCCTATCAACCAAAATTAAAGAACATTTGCTTTTGAGCCAGCCTCTGTGACAGGAGATAAAATAGTTACCCATTTATGGATTCCTCTCATACCAGTGAAATAGTCTGTTTTGCAATGTAAAAGCCAAAACTGTACTCTGAAATACTTCAGATTTCTTTCGAAAAAGTCCAAGTAGGGGAGGCAATCAATTTTCTTCCTTTCCTCTAAAAAAGAAATTGTGTGATAGAAACAAAAACATCTCAACAGAATAGGATGCTGTATCCAAGCCACTCTTTCAATCTCATGAAGGTAGATACTTCTCACAGAAAGAATTCATGCCTTTTTTTTTTTTTTTTTTTGAGACAGAGTTTCACACTTGTTGCCCAGGCTGGAGTGCAACGGTGCGATCTCGGCTCACCACAACCTCTGCCTCCTGGGTTCAAGCAATTCTCCTGCCCCAGCCTACTGAGTAGCGGGGATTACAGGCATGTGCCACCACACCCAGGTAATTTTGTGTGTGTGTATGTATGTGTGTTTTGTTTTGTTTTTGTTTGGTTTTTTTGGAGATAGAGTTTCGCTCTTGTTGCCCAGACTGGAGTGCAATGGCGCGATCTTGGCTCACAGCAACCTCCACCTCTCAGGTTCAAGCGATTCTCCTGCCTTAGCCTCCTGAGTAGCTGGGATTACAGACATGTGCCACTACGCCCAGCTGATTTTGTATTTTTAGTAGAGACGGGGTTTCTCCATGTTGGTCAGGCTGGTCTCAAACTCCTGACCTTAGGTGATCCACCCGCCTTGGCCTCCCAAAGTGCTGGGATTACAGGTGTGAGCCACCACGCCGGGCCCTAATTTTGTGTTTTCAGTAGAGACAGTGTTTCTCCGTGTTGGTCAGGCTGGTCTTGAACCCCCAACCTCAGGTGATCCACCTGCCTCAGCCTTCCAAAGTGCTGGGATTACAGGCATGAGCCACCACATCCGGCCTTCATGCCTTTTTTCTAACAATCTTTGAGAAATTTATCCCTAGTATACAGTTGTCTAGGCAAACCTGCTAAGTGGAACGAAAACACAACCATCTCCACCAATATCCTTGAAGAGAAAGTAAATAAAGTGTTGAGAAATTAAGATGAGGAACAATTGAGAATTCACTGGGTGTAAAATTTTGCACCAACCATAAGATGTGGGCAAGGGGAAGAGAATATAAAATGGGCATGAGGTTGGGAACAGTGGTTCACGCCTGTAATCCCAGCACTCTGGGAGGCCGAGGCAGGCACATCACGAGGTCAGGAGTTTGAGACCAGTCTGGCAAATATGGTGAAACCCCATCTCTACTAAAAATACAAAAAAACTAGCCGGGGATGGTGGCGTGTGCCTGTAGTCCCAGCTACTCGGGAAGCTGAGGCAGAAGAATCGCTTGAATCCAGGAGGCGGAGGTGGCAGTGAGCCGAGATTTCACCACTGCACTCTATCCCAGGCAATAGAGGGAGACTCCATCTCATAAATAAATAAATAAATAAATAAATAAATAAATAAATAAAATGGGCCTGAGTAGAACAGGTGGAAAGAAGTGAAAAACAGGCCTAGTCTCAACAAGCAGCCTGATCCCGAAAACATCTTGGTTTCCATGGGCTCAAGACTCTCCTCTTCTGACCAGAAACACTACAGAAACCTAATTTAGAGGGTGATCAGGTCAGGACATCAATAGGGGGAACCTACCACATCTCTCCCTAGTGGAGAGATACCTGTTGGCCTGGCCTGGGAAAACCACTCCCACCCCCTCAGGCAGCAACAGCAGGAACCAGGTGAGCCTCAGCATCACCTGTTAACCCAAGAAAACCAAAATAACACTGCACAGGTTCTGAAACTAAATATCAAAACCTGTCATTGGAATAACAGCCCAAACGTACAGACACTCCTCGACTTACAATGGGGTTATATCCTGATAATGCTATGTTAAGTTGAAAATATCATAAGTTGAAAATGCCTTAATACACCTAAGCTACCAAACACCATAGCCTAGCCTAGCTAGTGCTCAGGACACTTATAGTGGTCTACAGTTGGGCAAAATTAACTGGTTAACACAATACACTATTGAGTATTCGTGGTGTATCCTTGTGATTGTGTGGCTGACTAGGGGATGTAGCTTTTCATTGCTGACAGTATTGGGAGGGAGTATCATATTACATATTGCTAGCCCAGGAAAACATCAAAATTCAATATTTGAGGTATGACTGCTACTGAAAATATATGATTTCTGCATCATGGTAGGAAGGAAAAATTATAAAGTGAAGCACGGTAATTTGGGGACAAAATCCCACATGTTAACCCTAGTTCTACCCTAGTTACTAGGGTAACTACCTATGGAAATTAAAAAAAAAAATCGTAAATAGGACCTAGAGTCCCCAAACATAATAGACAAAATGTTCAGAATACAATTAAAAAATCATCCATTATACTAAAAACCAAGAAAATCACAACTTGAATGAGAAAAGGTAATCAACTGACACTAACACAAAGATACATCATCAGATGTTAGAATTATCTGACTAGAGTTTTAAAGTAGTGCTATGGACTAAACTGTGTCAGCCTAAAATTATATGGTGAGTCCTAACCCCCAATGTGACTATATTTATAGATAGGGCTTTATAGAAGTAATTAAGGTTCAATAAAGTCATAAGAATAGGGCCTTGATCTGATAATACTTGTGTTCTTATAAGAAGAGACACTAGGATGTTCATTCTCATTCTTTCTCTGTCTCTGTTTCTCTCTCTCTCTCTCTCTCTCTCTCTCTCTGCTATGTATGAACAAAGTAAGAAGGAGGCCATCTGAAAGCCAGGAAGAAAGGATTCACCAGAAAATCAGTCAGTTGGTACCTTGCTCTTGAACTTCTCAGCCTCCAGAACTGTGAGAAAATAAATTTTTGTAGTTTAAACCACCCAGTCTATGGTATTTTGTTATGGCAGCATGAGTTGATTAAAACAAACAGTCATCATAAAAATAATTCAACAATCTATTATAAATTCTTTTTTAACTAAAGAAAAATAAGAAATCTCAGCAAAGATGAAAAGGTTATAAAAATAATCAAATGAATAATAAACCTAAATATAAAATGTTGGATGGGTTTAACAGCAGAATATTGATGACAGAGTATGATAGATTCAGTAAACTTGAGGACAGAACCATAGAATCCACACAATCTGAACAACAGACAGAAAGTAGACTGAAAAAAATTAATAATAAGAAGAGTCTCAGGTATATGTGGGGCAATTATGAAAGACTGAAGATTTGTATCATCAGAATCTCAGAGGATCAGAGAAGGAGAATGGAGTGGAAATAGTCTAAGAAGAAATGATCGATGAAAAAAATGTTCCAAATTTGGTAAAGTCATACTTCTATACATTCAAGAAACTGAGTAAACACCAAACTCAAAATAAACTCAAAGAAATCTATACCAAAATATAATTAAACTTTTGAAAACTAAAGTCGAAGAGTCTTAAAAACAGATAAATACCATATACAAACAGGGGCACACTAATTCAAATGGCATTGGATTTCTCATCTGAAACTAGGAAGGTTAGAAGGAAAAGGCACAATATTTTACGAGTACCGTGAAAAAAAATGCTAACTGTGATCTATATCTGGAGAAACTATGCCTCAGGAATGAAGTAGAAATACAAACATTCTCAGATAAAGGAATACACTAAAAGGACTTGTCATTAGTAGTGTCACTCTTAAAGACTGCCTAAAAAAAATTCTTCAAACAGAAAGAAATGATTTAAGAAAAGAACCTTAGTATATCAGGAAGGAAGCCAGACAAAGGCATGAATGACTATTTTCCCCCTCCTTCCCCCTTACCTGAAAATTGTCCACTCTCAATATCCTGCCATTTCCCCTTTAAATTTGGAGCCCTCTTTTGGAGAAAGGTATGGACCTGTCCGCTGGGCGCGCATCCTTAACTTTGGCAAATAAACCTCCTAAAATGATTGAGATTTAGCTCGTCATGTTTTTCAATTGACGGTATATTTGATACTTAACTAAATTACAAGTATACATCTAAATTTAGGTCTTCTTTTGCTTTTATTACTTTTTACTTAATGACCAGTGCAATAGTATATTATTTTCTTTTCCTAAAAAACTTTTAGCATTTTATAACAAGTGATCATTTCATTCATTTATTGTAAGCCGAGAAACCATTCATTGTAAATGGTATTCAATAAATGTTTACATATTCACTTATAAATAAATGTTTATGTTTTATTTATATATTTATATCAATTTTTAAAAACTGCTTTATTGGGTAAAGTTTACATATAATAAATTGCACATAAAGTGTTTACTTTGATAACTTTTAACGTATGTATACTCTTGAACCAATTCCTGCAATCAAGATGGTGAACAATCCATAATCTCAAAAAATTTCCTCATGCCCCAATGTAATCTTTTCCTTCTGATCCTCCTGAATTCCCCATTCCCAGTCAAAAATTGATCTGCTTTCTGTCACTCCAGATTAGTTAGCATTTTCTAAAATTTTAAATAAATGTAATTCTATAGTATGTACCTTTTTATGTCTGGTTTCTTTCACTCTGCATAATTGAGATACACCTATGTTGTTGTATGTATTGGCAATTCATTCATTTTTATTGCTGAGTAGTATCCCATTTTATGGGGATATCAATTTGTTTGTCCATTCGCCTGTTAATGAACATTTATGTTGTTTCCAGTTTTTGGTTATTTCATATAAAGTTGCTATGAATATTTGTGTACAAGTCTTTATTTGGACATATGCTCTTGTTTGTCTTAGGTAATCCTTTAGAAATAGAATGTCTAGTTCATATGCTAGGTGTGTGTGTAACTTTTGAAAAAAAATTTTCAAAGTGTTTTCCAAAGTGTTGTATGAATTTTGCATTCTCACTAGCAGTGTAAGATAGTTACAGTTGTTCCTTATCTCTACAAACACCTAGTATCGTCAGTCTTTTAGACATTCTAATATGTGTATGGTAATATCTCACGGTGACTTTAATTTGCATTTACATAATATCTAATGATGAAAATCTTTGTGCATGCTTATTTGCTACCTATATGCCTTCTTTGGTGAAATGTCTATTCAAATATTGGTCCATATATTTATTGGCTTATTATTATGGAGTTTTGAAATGCCAAGATTTTACATATATATATATATTCTGGATACAAGCCCTTTATCAGATATAATTTGCAAATAATTTTTTTAGCCTATGCTTTGACTTTCATTTTCTTAAGTTTCTTTCAAATGAGAGAATTTCTTAACTTTATTCAAGTAAAATCTTGGTGTTATATCAAAAAGACATTTGCCTAACCCAAAGATTTATCAGCTTGGCACTATTAATATTTTGGACTGGATAAATCGTTGCTGTAGGTAAGTGTGGTGGACAGAGGAGGAGGTTTGGCCTTCTGTGCACCGCAAGGTATTTACTAGCATGCCTGCCCTCTACCTAGCAGATATGAGTAGCAACTCCTACCCCAACCCCAACTGTAACAGCCAAAAATATCTGCAGATATTGCAAACATCTCCTGGCGTGGAGGACAAAATTGCCCCTGATATTGAACCACTGGCCTAACTCGAAGTCATAAATATTCTTCTGTATGTCTTTTAGAAGTTTTATGATTTCTTTATGATTTAGAAGTTTTATGATTTAGAAGTTTTGCATTCAGGTCTATGATATAGTTTAATTTTTGTAACATTATATAAGGTAGTGTTAAAGTTTGTGTTTTTTGCACATGGATGCCCAATTCATTCCAGAACCATTTGTTGAAAAGAATATTCTTTCTCCACTGAATTGCTATGGAAAATTTGTTGATGAGGAACTGACCATATATGTGGTGGGTCTAGTTTTGGAGCCTCTTTTCTGTTCCATTTATCTGTCTTGACAGCACTATATGCTGCCTTGGTTAGTGAAGCATTATAGTGATTCTTGAAGTCAGATAGGGAAGGTTCTACAACTTCATTCTTCCTTTCCAAAGTTATTTTGACTATTTTTGTCATTCACACTTCCATATGAATTTTGGAACCAAGCTGTTAGTTTCTACATAAAGTGACTGCTGGGATTTTGATTGAGTTTACCTTGACTCTATAGATTTGAGAAACATTTACATCTTAACAATATTGAATTTACCAATTCATAAATATTGTGTATCATATTTATGTGTTCTTTAATTTCTCTTAGCAATGTTTTGTAATTTTCCTGCATGAGTTTTGTCAGATTTATCCTGCAATATCTTATATTTTTTATATTATTGTCAATGCTATTGATAGCGACAGGAGGCAGACAAATGTCTGGGCAGATAGAGGCGGGTCCCTGGTAAAACCTGACCTCCAAGCCAAAAACAGCCTGAAGCCTGAAAAACAAGCTGCTGGTTCCAGATGAAGTCCACAACCTGAGTGAGAACTTCTATTCCTGTTTGCCTGCTCTTTCCGGATTGATTCTGAGTAATGCTTTTTAACCAATCAAATGTTGCCTTTTCCATGGCTACCTACAGCCTATGCCTCCCCCATTGTGGGCTTATAAAAAACCCAGACTCGAGATGGAGACCATCCTGGCTAACACGGTGAAACCCCGTCTCTCCTAAAAAATACAAAAAAAAAAAAAAAAAAAAATTAGCCGGGCATGGTGGCGGGCGCCTGCAGTTCCAGCTACTCTGGAGGCTGAGGCAGGAGAATGGTGTGAATCCGGGAGGCGGAGCTTGCAGTGAGCGCGGACATCGTGCCACTCACTGCACTGTAGCCTGGGCACAGAGCGAGACTCCGTCTCAAAAAAAAAAAAAAAAAAAACCAAAAACAGACTCAGCCACTGGGGGACTACAGCCACCTGCCTTTGGGTTGGGGGGTGACCCACCTTCGGGTAGGCGTTGTCCACTTCAGGACCCCTCTCCGCTGAGAGATGTTCCGTCACTCAGTAAAACTCTTCTCTGCCCTGCTCGCCCTCCAGCTGTCCATGTAACCTCATTCTTCTTGGATGCAGGAAAAGATCTTGCGACCTGCCGAATGATAGGTGCTAAAGGACTGGCACCAATGTAGCTTTCTTGCCCTCTGCCAGCACTGGGCATCCATCCCACATGATGGCAAGTGGTGGTGGGGCTAGGCCAGCCCAGGAGCCGTGGGTTGGAGCAAGGCGGCGGGACTGAATGAGCTGTTAACACGCCCCATTCACCACACTGCAGATGGCAGGAACAACATCCCTTGGGGCTTTTCGGTTCCTGGCATCTCTGAGTGTTTAGGTGCCACTGCATCCCCCTCATCTGGAAGCTGGAGCCTGTCATGGAAGTCACTCGTGACACACCTACTCCAGCCAGGCCCTGGCTGTGCACTGTGGCCCGGCCTCTTTGCTCACACACCCCTTCCCACCTCAGGCTGAGCGTGAAGCTATAGTGGTCACAGAGTTCGGGCCAAGGAGGAAGCCAGCCACAGACTGTTGGGATGAGTGGGCAGAGAAATCCCAGCAGCCAGCCTGGAGCCGAGCGAGGCCCAGGCAGGGGCACCACTGGTCACGGAGGTCTCTGGCTGGTGAAGTAGCACCCGAAAAAGTCTTGCATCACTATTGTTTTTCTAATTTCCAATTTTTGTTGCTAATATATAGGAATATATTAATTTTTGTATACTGACCTCATATCCTTCAACCTTCCTAAACTAACGTTACTTCTAGTAACTTCCGTGTCAAATCCATCAGATTTTCAACAGAGGTGATTATGTCATCTGTGAATAAATAGGGTTTCCTTCTTCTTTTCTGCTCAAATATGCTATGTTTCTTTGTCTTGCCTTATTCTAATACCTAAACCTCCAGTACAATGCAAATAGAAGTGAAGAGAATGGACATGGCCTTGTTTCTTATATTAAGAGGAAATCATTCAGTCCTTGACTAGTAGGTTTGATGTTACTTAAAGGCTTTTTGGAGGTGCCATTTATCAGATTGAGGAAGTTCCCTTTAATTCTAAATTTTCAGATACCTTTTTGAGGAATAGGTGTTTGATTTTGTCAAGTGTTTTTTCTAAATTCAGATGTTAATATAAGTTTATTTTTAAGTATGTTAATACAGTGAATTACATAGATAGATGTTTGACTGTTAAACTTGCATTCGTAGAAAAAACTCCACTTGTTCATGATGTAATTTTTAAAATATATGTTGTCAGATTCAATTTGTCAAAGTTTTGTCTAGAATTTTTGTTTCTGCATTCATAAGTGCTATTGGTCTGTCAAAATTTTTTTAGTAATAACTTTCTATTTTGTTATCAGACCAATGCTGGCCTTACAGAAAGAGTTATGAATTATTGCTTCCTCTTTAATTTTCTGGAACAGTTGCGTAGAATTGATATTATTTTTTCCTTTAACATTTGCTACATTACCCTAGTAAATTCATCTGGAGTCTAGTTTTCTTTGTGAAAAGCTTTTTAGATACAAGTGTATCTTAAAAAAATATATATGGCTACTTAGGTTATCTACTTCTTCCTGAATGAGATGGTAATTTGTGTATCTCAAATTACTGTCTACTTAGGTAGGTGGTTAAATTTATTGGCATAAAGTTATTCATAGAATTTATTATCATTTTAAGATCTGTAGAATCTACAGTAATGTCATATATTTCATTCCTGATATTAGTAATTTGTATCCTTCTTTCTGACCAATCTGGCGAGAAGTTTATAAATGCTGTAATATGCTCAGAGAGAATTTTACTACTTTGTTTTCTTATTTTTCTCTCATATTTGCTATTTTATTAATTTATATTCTAAAATGTATTAGTTCTTTTCTTGTTTATTCTGAATACTATTTATTCTTTTTTTCTGATTTCTCAAGGTAGAAACTAAGTTCATTTATTTGAGACTCTTCTTATTTCATGAAATAGGCATTTACTGTCATAAATTTACCTCTAAATTCACTTACTAGTTAACTTTGATCGGTATCAATCACAAATTTTGACAGGTTATGTATTCATTCAGTCCAAAACTTTGTTTTCCCTTTTGATTTCTTTTTTGAGTCAAGGGTTATTTAGAGCTTTGTTATTTAGTATCCAAATATTCAAAGATCTTCTAGTTATTGTTCTATTATTGACTTCTAACTTTATTATATTTAATAGCCAGAGGACAAAATTTATCTTCTTTGAATCCTTTTTAATTTATTGTGACTTTTTAATGGCCTACTATATGGTCGATCTTAGTAAAAGTCTTATTTTTCTTCACTTGAAGAAAACATATATTTCTGCTGTTATTGGTACTCTGTTCTAAAATACCAGTAGTTCATGCTGGCTGATAATATTGCTTAATTGAGTAGTCTATATCCTCACCAAGCTTCTATCTACTGGTTCCATCTATTACTGAGAGAAGATTGTTGAAACCTCTCAATACAGTTGTGTATTTGTCTGTTTCCTTTGTAGATCTATAAGTGTTTGCTTTATGTATTTTAAAGCTTTGTTATTCAGTGCATAAATATTTAGTAGTGTTTTATCTCCTTGAAGAATTGACAATTCTTTTATTAAAAATTATAGTCTATCTCCAGTCTTTATTCTGAATTGTAGTTTGTCTGATAATAATATAGTCACTCCACTCGTCGTTTGTTTAGTGATAGTATGGATTATCTTTTACCATTGTTTTGTGTTTAACCTATTTTTGTCTTTATATTTAACATGTATGTCTTGTAGTCAACATATACTTCAGGTTTTTAAATCCAATCTGACAATATCTACCTTTTAAATGGAATGCATATACCACTAGCATGTATGTGCTTATCACTATGGTTGAATATAAATCTTCCACCATGGTATTTGATTTAGTTTCATTTATTCTTTGTTTCCTTTTAACTTTTATTCTACTCCCTTTGGATTAATTAAATATTTTTTGATTCCATGCCGATAAGGTTTGGCTGTGTCCCCCACCCAAATCTCATTTGAATTTCCACATGTTGAAGGAGAACCTCGTGGGAGGTAATTGAATCATGGGGGCAGGCCTTTCTGTGCTGTTCTCGTGATAGGGAATAAGTCTCATGAGATCTGATGGCTTTATAAGGTGAACAAGCTCTCTCTTTGCCTGCTGCCATCCACTCAAGATGTGACTTGGTCTTCCTTGCCTTCCGCCATGATTGTGATGCTTCCCCAGCCATGTGGAACTGGAAGTCCAATACACCCTTTTCCCTGTATAAATTACCCAGTCTCAGGTATGTCTTTATCAGCAGTGTGAAAGTGGACTAATATGCATGTTATACTTTTTACTGATCTATTTTCTGAAACTCTTTGTTATGCTATTTAGTGCTTGATTTAAGGTACATAGTACACATCTTCAAACATCACAGTATGTCTTCAATTTGTGACACTTTATTACATTTATAAACCTTAAAGACTTATATTTTCCTTTCTTCCCTCCTGTTTTCATATGCTTTGCTTCTACATATTTTATAAAGTCCATAGTACATTGTAATTATTTTCACTTTAAACAGTTGATTTTAAGAGATTTAAATTGTTTTTGTTTTTTTTTTTTTAGGCACTTACATTTGCCCACTTACTATTTCCAGTGCTCTTCCTTCTTTTGTGTAGATCAAGATTTTTATCTGGTATCATTTCCTTTGTGTGAAAAGTATTACCTTTAATATTTCTCATAGTGTAGTTCTGTAGGTGATAAATTATTTTAGCTTTTGTATGGTTAGGAAAAGTATTGATTTTCCTCTATTTTTTGAAAGATCTTTTCACTGGGTATAGAATTCTATGCTGACAATTTTTTTTCCTTTCAGTACTTCTTTCAGCATGCATTGCATCTGATGATAAATCTACTGTCATCCTTTAACCAATGCCCCCTGCCATCACTATCTTTAAAATTTACACTTTAGCACTGGTTTTAAGCAATTCAATTATAATTTCCATTCATTGGTGTTTGTTTTGGGGAGGATGATTGGTTTGGTTTGGTTTGCTTTGGTTAGGCTTGGATATTTTTCTGATTTTTTTCTCTCTCACTCCCTTCCTGTTATTCCAGAATTCCACTTACACATATATTATTAGGTTGCTTGAAATTGCTCCATAGCTCTGTTCATTTTAAAAAATTTTTTGTGTTTCACTTTGTTTATATTGCTATGACTTTAATTTCACCAATTTTTTATTCTGCAATGATTAATTTACTATTAATCCCATTCAGTATATTTTCAATCTCAGATATTATAGTTTTTATTTCTAGAAATTTGTGTTTTTTTATTCTATCTTCCATTTTTCAATTTCATATGTTCAATCTTTCCTTTGGCTCCTTGAATATATGGAATAAAATTTCAAACTGTTTTAATTAATTCATCATTCTATTCCCTGTAATTTTGGTGTTAGTTTTCAATGTTTTTTTCCTTTTATTATGGGTTATATTTTTCCTCTTCTTTGCATTCCTGGTAATTTTTTATTGAATTTCATTGTGAGTGGTATTATGTTATCACATTTTGTATTCCTATAAATATTTTAGAGCTTTGCTGAGGGATGTGATTAAGTTATTTAAAAACAATTTGACTGCATAAATGTCTTCTTTTGAGAAGTGTCTGTTCATGTCCTTCGCCCACTTTTTGATGGGGTTGTTTGTTTTTTTCTTGTAAATTTGTTTGAGTTCATTGTAGATTCTGGATATTAGCCCTTTGTCAGATGAGTAGGTTGCGAAAATTTTCTCCCATTTTGTAGGTTGCCTGTTCACTCTGATGGTAGTTTCTTTTGCTGTGCAGAAGCTCTTTAGTTTAATTAGATCCCATTTGTCAATTTTGGCTTTTGTTGCCATTGTTTTTGGTGTTTTGGACATGAAGTCCTTGCCCATGCCTATGTCCTGAATGGTAATGCCTAGGTTTTCTTCTAGGGTTTTTATGGTTTTAGGTCTAACGTTTAAGTCTTTAATCCATCTTGAATTGATTTTTGTATAAGGTGTAAGGAAGGGATCCAGTTTCAGCTTTCTACATATGGCTAGCCAGTTTTCCCAGCACCATTTATTAAATAGGGAATCCTTTCCCCATTGCTTGTTTTTCTCAGGTTTGTCAAAGATCAGATAGTTGTAGGTATGCGGCATTATTTCTGAGGGCTCTGTTCTGTTCCATTGATCTATATCTCTGTTTTGGTACCAGTCCCATGCTGTTTTGGTTACTGTAGCCTTGTAGTATAGTTTGAAGTCAGGTAGTGTGATGCCTCCAGCTTTGTTCTTTTGGCTTAGGATTGACTTGGCGATGCAGGCTCCTTTTTGGTTCCATATGAACTGTAAAGTAGTTTATACCCAAATGACTATAAATCATGCTGCTATAAAGACACATGCACACGTATGTTTATTGCAGCATTATTCACAATAGCAAAGACTTGGAACCAACCCAAATGTCCAACAATGATAGACTGGATTAAGAAAATGTGGCACATATATACCATGGAATACTATGCAGCCATAAAAAATGATGAGTTCATGTCCTTTGTAGGGACATGGATGAAATTGGAAATCATCATTCTCAGTAAACTATCGCAAGAACAAAAAACCAAACACCACATATTCTCACTCATAGGTGGGAATTGAACAATGAGATCACATGGACACAGGAAGGGGAATATCACACTCTGGGGACTGTGGTGGAGTGGGGGGAGGGGGGAGGGATAGCATTGGGAGATATACCTAATGCTAGATGACGAGTTAGTGGGTGCAGCGCACCAGCATGGCACATGTATACATATGTAACTAACCTGCACAATGTGCACATGTACCCTAAAACTTAAAGTATAATAAAAAAAATAAAAATAAAAAAATAAAAACAATTTGACACTTTTAAGCTTTCTTTTTAAACTTTGTTAATCAGGACCATAACAGCATTTAGTCTAGGAGTAAATTACTCTCAGGCAAACTCTTTCTGAATACTTTACCTAATGCTCCATGAAATCTGGGGTTTGCCTCTAGCTAGAAAGAATAAATACAATTCCTGGCCCTGTGTGACTCCAGTGATTGTCTCCTGTAATTTTATTGGTGGTTCTTTTCCATATCAGGTAGTTTCTCACATACATGTGCTGATTACTACTTAGCTGAATATTTTAGGGGAAGCCTCTGCTGGTCTCTGGGGCTCTCTCTCTTTGTGCAGCTCTATTTTCTGTGGTAATTTGCCTTTTGTACTCTCACTACCTTGGCCTTCCTAGACTCCAAGCTCCTTCTCAATTACTGGAGACTCCTGGGCTTCTCTCTGTACTGCATTTTGGAAACCTTTCCCCAGGTAGTAAGCTGAGATAGGAGTTACTCATTTGTTTCCCATCACTTAAAGATCACCATTGTTTCTTTCTGGTGTTTAATATCTTAAAAATCATTGTTCGTGTTTGTGTATGTTTTCTTTTTGTTGTTGTTTGTTTGTTTGTTTGTTTGTTTTTGAGATGGAGTCTTTCTCTGTCATCCAGGCTGGAGTGCAATGGCACAATCTTGGCTCACTGCAACCCCTACCTCCTGGGTTCAAGCAATTCTCCTGCTTCAGCCTCCCAAGTAGCTGGGACTACAGGCACGTGCCACCATGCCCGGCTAATTTTTGTATTTTTAGTGGTGATGGGGTTTCACCATTTTGGCCAGGCTGGTCTCAAACTCCTAACCTCAGGTGATCCTCCTGCCTTGGCCTCCCAAAGTGCTGGGATTACAGATGTGAGCCACCGTGCCCAGCCTTGTCTGCTTTCTTAGTTGTTACAGATAAGAAGCTAATTCTGATCTGTAATTCTCCATCTTGATCAAAGTACACAAATTTTAAATATATATAAAGTTAATTCATGGATTTTGTATGTCTGAATTTACCTACTTGCTAAAATGTATTTGTAACCCTGAAATCAATACTTGTGACATCTTTGCAGACATCCAAAGAATGGTGAAAAATTTGAGTCACCCAATGCACATGTGCCCCATGGAGGATAGATGAGGCTACCTCTGCCTTTCTGTTTCAGTTCTCATCCTGTAAACAAATGTTCTTCTCAGAATCTATTTAGTGCTACATTTTCACATATTTGTGCTTTTTATTGTTGACTTCACTGTTTACAATGGCCCCCAAGCATAGTGCTGAAGTGCTGTCTGGTGTTTTAAGCACAAGAGGCTGGGATATGCTTTATGGAGAAAACACATGTGCTAGATAAGTTTCCTTTAGGCATGAGTTTTGCTGTTGTCTGTGAGTTCTATGTTAATGAATCAACAATACGTGCCATATAAAGTGTCTTCAAACAAAAACACACGTCAGAACAAGATTATATTTCAATTAGTTGGGAAAAATATTGTGACCAGAAACTTATGGAAGCCTAATCCTATATTTATCCTAGAAGCAATCAATCAGTATTTGTTAATTCAGTTTTCATGCTGACTTTATAGAACACAACTATAAGGAATAATGAGTGAAAATCAACTTTATTTTAGCTCCGATGTAAAGTAGATAAATATCCAGGCTCTAACAGAGATTTTCTGCACAGTGTTCAGTCTGGTGAAGGGAAAAAATAATTCAGATAGGTGTATGTAATAAGATAAAAATAAGACACGTAGATGTAATTGTGTTACTAGAAAGGACTTGGAAAGGTTAGATAGTTAGAAATAAGAACAGGCCTAAAAGATATTTAAAATTATTAACTTATTATCAGCATCCTTGTTTCCCCAAACAGAAGGACCCTGTCAACTAGAGGATAAAAGCAATTTTCTTAGGCTTTTCTCTTGGGTTCTTTTGCCTGAAACACAAATCCCTTCATAGTTCATTCATTCAAGAAACATTCACTCCACACATACAATATGCCAGGCCTTGTGCTCAGATTTGAGGTTAGAAACTACAAAGACTGAGTCATTATCCGCCACAGGATCAGAAGCAGCTGGGGAAGAACAGGTGAAAAATATCAGCACAATGTGACAGGTGCTAGCAGAGATGCATCCCAGGATGTCGTATAATAAAAACACAGATCTCCCAGTCAGCTTCCCAGAGGAAAGGGTAGTCCTTGGGGCATTTTGGAGGAAGAGAAAATTAAATAAGTTAAATAGTGTCGCAAAGGAATGGCAATTGGGAAAGCAGCATATTGAAGACTCTGAGGAGACCCAGGAAGAGACAAAAGAGATGAGGGTAAGGAGGAAAACCGGCAAGATCATGCGAGGCATTATACACCAGGATAAGGAGTCTGAACTTTATTTGCAGGCAAATAAGAGCCATGAAAAAGTTTTAAGTAGGAAAGAAATAGGTTAGTGATATGGCCTATCTTTTAAGTAGGAAACTGATATGGCCAGATTTATCCCAAGAATGGATCTTTGTTTCTGTGTGAAATATGAACTTGATGAGGAGCAATCCTGGAGACAAGAAGAGGAGTAAGTAGGTTGCTGCAATAAACAAGTGAGATAATAGTGGCCTGGACAAGAGAGGGCTGCTTCCAAATTCTATCCCTTCACCAGTGCTTTAGCCACATCAAACCACCCACTGCAACCCATACAGATAATTTCTTTCTTGCCTTTGTGTCTTAGCATGCCATTTTTCTCCTGCCTGGACTTTTATTGACTGCCTTTGCCTGTTTGGAAAACGCCCATTGATCCTTCAGTGCACCTCTACTTTCAAGCCTTCATATTTGCAGAGTCTGTCTCCCCTTAATCTCTGTTTTCATAGCTCATCTCCAGTATAATGCCCTTCAAAATTAATAAGTAACTGATCATTTGTTTAAGATTTCAACTAGATTGAGATCCCCTTGCAGGCAAGGATTATGTCTTATACACCCTCCACTTCAATGAACACAGATTTTATTACATGCTGGAGATCAGTGGCTCTCAAATTTTAGAGTGCATCAGAATCTCCTGGGGAGCTTGTTAAAACACATATGGGTTTCCCCTGAGTTTCTAATTCAGTAGGTCTGAGATGCTAACCTGAGAGCTTCATTTCTAACAAGTTCCCAAATCAGGTTGATGCTGGCACTGCTGGTCCAGGGACCATACTTTGAGAACCACCACCCTAGATTTCCAGACTGTTGACTCCCTCAGTCATGAAGTTTATTATCTCCACCATCTCCTATGTTGTGATCTTCCATCATGTGTATGTGTCTCTGTGCATGTGTGTGAATATGTGCATATCTGTGTAGAGAGGTTCAGCCTGGGTGCATATTCTTTTCCTTTATTTTCTACAAATTTTTCAATGTTTCTATCCTTCAGAACAAAGATTCTTGGACATAAATTATTATTGTGATAAGCTTAGTTCATTACACTTTAAAAGAGCGATTCCATGCACTTTCTGCCACATACCTATTTATGCTCTGGACACACAGACCCCTCAGAGTCCCCTAGAGATTCCCATCCATGAGCAAGTATCCTAGAAACAGAATTCTCTATTTTCTATATAAAACAAATCATTCACCCCCGAAAACCCAATTTTAGCCAAAATAATCAAATATATCACTCACTTAAAAAATCTAAATCATTGTCCTGATTACTAATAGTTGCAAAGGCCAACACTCTAAAGGGAGGAAAATCGGTTGGCAGGAAGGAATGGGTTTTGAGCAACGCTCATAAATAACCAAGGATTATCTCAGTTTTATTTTTGTCCATATGAGCCAATCCTGATTATTCCATTGCATCACCAAAACAGTTTTTCTCTATAAAATCTATTCCGTTTCATTTTCTGTTAGTTGTCAGACCTCCCTGGGGGTACATGTTCTACTCAGTTCATTTATTTTTGTGAAATGCTGCATCATATTTTCTTTTGTTTTCTTTGTAATCTCTTGATATCTTCACAGCTTCTCTACAGAAAAAAAACAAAACAAAAAACCTACACTAACAAACAGAGGTAATTTGCATGGTTCTTTGCTTTACTTGGATCCAATGAGTGAGTGAGTCCCTGAGGCCCACCAATGTAAATATCAGGGGGGGGTTCACATGCCTACTACTTTCATGAGTTCAAATATAATTTTTTAAATTTCTCAATCATGACAGGTTTTCTTTTATTTCTAAACTTTCCATTGAACTTTAGAATGATTACAAAGTTAGCAATTATCTCAGAGTAATTTCTATTTATTATGGAGCCTGATTTTCCTGGGGTTTCTCTTGTAAAGCTATTTTCATAAATGTCCAAACTTCTTGTTTTTTCCAGATACCTCCAACAAAATAATTATCCATAGCTCTTTATAGCTCTTTACATTCTCTTAAAGAGTTTTCAAATCCCGTGTGTGTGTGTGAGTGTGTGTGTGTGTGTGTGTGTGTGTGTGTGTAACCGGGTGAATATTGCAGGTCCCCTGTTGGGCTCAGAGGCAACTTTGCCACATAGGCAGTTTTGTTTATCATCACTATGAAACTTCATTTCAGGAAGAAAATGAACATCTACAGATTTTTTTACATGATCAGGATTTGACACACTTATCTATTTTAAAACATGTAGTACAGCTGTAAAACTTAAAGCTTAAAAATGTCACCTAAAGGCAAAGTGATGCATCTATTTCAGAATCAAATAGACCAGTTTGAATCACAGTTCTGCCATTCAATACCTACATGAGCCACAACTTCTCTAAGACTTGGCTTTTCTAGAAATTAAGATAGTAACAAACGCTCTGAAGATAATTAAATGAGATAATTCATACAAGCATTGGGCACACAGTAGATGTTGCAAAGGGTTAGTGCTCTCTTGCTATCCCTCTCTGTCTCTCTCTCTCTCTCACACACACACATGCACATATATACAGACTACATTTTTCAAACTTTAAATATTCATATATTGTTTTACAGTTTTAACACCTTTTTTACCATACTCATCTTTAACTCAAGCATGACATAGTTATTTCAAATATTATAGCTATTATATGCATTTCAAAAAGAATGAATTACTTTTTGTGCATCTACTTTGTGCAAGACATCAGACTTTATTTAATGCTATGACAACCACATATGGAATAGGAATTATTTTCCCCATTTCTATTGAAAAATAAACTAAATTCAGAGAAGTAAATTAACTCAGCCAAGAACAGAGAGCTAGTAAGGTGGGGAGCTAGCCCAAGAAGACATTCTCTGACTTCATTGCTATATCCACTACATCATGTGGCATGGTGAATATCATTCTGAGAGACAGCTGGTGAAATGGTTTGGCTCTGTATCCCCATCCAAACCTCATCTTGTAGCTCCCATAATTCTCACGTGTTGTGGGAGGGACCTAGTGGGAAATCATTGAATCCTGGGGGCGGGTATTTCCCATCCTATTCTCATGATAGTAAATAAGTCTCATGAGATCTGATGGTGTTAAAAAGGGGAGTTTCCCTGCACAAGCTCTCTTTGCCTACTGCCATTGATGTAAGACGTGACTTACTCCTCCTTGCCTTCTGCCATGATTGTGAGGCTTCGCCAGCCATGTGGAACTGAAAGTAAATTGCCCAGTCTTGGGTATGTCTCTATCAGCAGCATGAAAACAGACTAATACAGTAAATTGGTACCAGTAGAGTGAGGCACTGCTGAAAATGCATAAGCAACTTTGGAAATGGATAACAAGTAGAGATTGGAACAGTTTAGAGGGCTCAGATGACAGAAAATGTGGGAAAGTTTGAAACTCCCTAGAGTTTTGTTGAGTGGCTTTGAGCAAAATGCTGTCAATGATATGGACAATGAAATCCAGGCTGAGGTGGTCTCAGATGGAGATAAGAGCAACTTCTTGGGACCTGGAGCAAAGATGACTTTTCTTGTGTTTTAGCAAAGAAACTGGTGGCATTTTGCCCCTGCCCTAGAGATTTGTGGAACTTTAAACTTCAGAGAGAAGATGTAGAGTATCTAGCAGAAGGAATTTCTAAGCAGCAAAGCATTCAAGATGTGATTTGGGTGCTGTTAAAGTCATTCAGTTTTATAAGGGGAGCAGGGCATAAAAGTATGGAAAATTTGCAGCCTGACAATGCAATAGAAAACAAAATCCGATTTTCTGAGGAGAAATTCAAGCTGGTTGCAGAAATTTGCATAAGTAACAAGGAGCCAAATGTTAATCTCCAAGACAATGGGGAAAATGTTTCCAGGGCATAACAGAGGTCTTCGTGGCAGCCCCTCCCACCACAGGACTGGAGACATAGAAGGAAAAAATGGGTCTGTGGGTTGGGCCCAAGATCCCAAGCTGTGTGCAGCCTAGGGACTTGGTGCCCTGTGTTCTAGCCACTCTAGCCATGGCTAACAGGGGTCAAGGTACAGCTTGGGCTGTTGCTTCAGAGGGTGCAAGCCCCAAACCTTGACATCTTCCATGTGGTGTTGAGCCTGTGGGTGCACAGAAGTCAAGAATTGAGGTTTGGCAACCTCCCCCTAGATTTCACAGGATGTATGGAAATGCCTGGATGCCCAGGCAGAAGTTTGCTGCAGGGGCAGGGCCCTAATGCAGAACCTGTGCTAGGTAGGGCAGTGCAGAAGGGAAATGTGTGGTCAGAGCCCCCACACAGAGTTTCTACTTGGCTACCACCTGGTGGAGCTGTGAGAAGAGGGCCACTGTTCTCCAGACCCCCAAATGGTAGACTCACCAACAGTTTACACCATGGACCTGGAAAAGCCACAGACACTCAGCACCAGCCTGTGAAAGCAGTCAGGAGGGAGGATATATCCTGCAAAGCCACAGGGGTGGAGCTGCCCAAGACCAAGGGAATCTACCTATTGCATCGGCGTGACCTGGATGTGAGACACGGAGCCAAACGAGATCATTTTGGAGCTTTAAGATTTGACTGCCCCGCTGTATTTTGGACTTGCATGGGGCTTGCAGCCCCTTTGTTTTGGCCAATTTCTCCCATTTGGAATGGCTGTATTTACCCAATGCCTGTACTCTCATTTTATCTAGGAAGTAACTAACTTGCTTTTGATTTTATAGGCTCATAGGCAGAAGAGATTTGCCTTGTGTTAGATGAGACTTTGGACTGTGGACTCTTGAGTTAATGCTGTAATGAGTTAAGACTTTGGGAGACTGTTGGGAAGGCACAATTGGTTGTGAAATGTGAGGACATGAGATCGTGGAGGGGCCAGGGGCAGGATGATATGGTTTGGCTGTGTCCCCACCCAAATCTCATCTTGAATTCCCATGTGTTGTGGAAGGAACCTGGTGGGATGTAATCGAATCATGGGGGCAGGTCTTTCCCATGCTGTTCTTATGATAGTGAATAAGTCTCACAAGATCTGATGGTTTTACAAAAGGGAGTTTCCCTGCACAAGCTCTCTCTTTGCCTGCTGCCATCGATGTAAGACATGATTTGCTCTTCCTTGCCTTCCACCATGATTGTGAGGCTTCCCCAGCCATGTGGAACTATAAGTCCAATTAAATCTTTTTCTTTGTAAATTGCTCGGTCTTGGGCATGTCTTTATCAGCAGCACAAAAACTAATACAGCTGGTCTGGTTTCAGATCTGGACTCTGGCCTAGGTTAGTTGTACTATTAGGGAAAGTAACATAATTTAAATTTTCAAAAAGGAATAAAAATAGTGCCAAGCTTCCAGGGCTTTGTGAGGATTAAAAACATTAATTCCTCTAAAGCCCTAAGCATGGTGGTGTCTGGCACATAGTAAAAGCATGATAAGTAACATCTATTAGCAATTTAACAAAGTGGAAAGGTAGGTCATATCTTCTGCAGATTAGAGTAAATGTGATTCTGACTTTAAAAAAAAATCCTGTATTTTTACATGAAACACTTCTTGAGATTTCTGTTCTCCTCTGCCCAGAGCAGAAAGATTAAGCTACCAAATGGAGTGCCTGATTTCAGATCAGAAGTGAGGTAAGAACATCCAAAACATCATCCCTCCTCCCCTACCATTTATTTCCCTGACATGGAGTGGGACTTATCTGGGAAATGTACCAAAGATAGTGGCTAATGATATAGGGTTTTAAACAGGAAAATAAAAGAATAAGGTTTTAGGCCAGGTGTGGTGGTTCATGTCTATAATCCCAACACTTTGGGAGACCAAGGTGGGAGGATCACTTGAGGCCAGGAGTTCCAGACCAGCCTTGGCAACATAATGAGACTCTGTATCTACTAACAAAACAAATTAATTAGCCAGGCATGGTGGCGCATGTCTGTATTCCAAGCTACCGGGGAGGTTGAAATAGGAGGATCCATTGAGCCCAGGAGTTCAAGGCTGCAGTAAGCTATGATCATGTCACTGCACTCCAGCCCAGGCTACAAAGTGAGGCCCTGACTCTAGAAAAAAAAAGAATAAGGTTTTCGGAATCCATTTTTAGACAGTGGTTCTTAACTGGAGGTGATTCTGCCTCTCCATTCCAAAGGATATTTGGTGATATCTGAAGACAGCCTTCATTATCATGACCGGAAGGACATCATGATACTGGCATTTAGGAGGTAGAGGTCAGGGATGCAGCCAAACATCATGCAATGCACAGAATATCTAGTCTGAATGTCAATAATATCAAGATCAAGAAACCCTTGTTTAAAATATATGGGAAAAATGATGCAGAGGGGCAAAGACTAGATGAGGGGAAGAAAGTAAGGTGGCTGTTGCAGTAACCCAGGAACCTAGAAACCAGGAACCAGGAACCAGGAATCTAGGAATGTAAATGATGAAATGTAAGAAGGAGGTAGGTAAGAAAGAGGTTAGCAGAATAGAACTGACATAACTTCATGAGTGGTTAGCTATAGTGGGTTAGGAAAAAGAATAAACAATCTATGAGGCTTTGGTGACTGAAGAAACGATTATCAAGAAATCATGAGCCCCATTTTAGTTACTCAATAGGAAATCAGTACAAAGCTTAGGGGATGAAAATGAGATCAATGTATTATTTCTCATGATTCTGTTTGTTGGCCAAGTGGTTCTTCAGCTCTGCATGACATTGGCTAGGGCACTGGGATAGCTAAATGACACAAATGGTCTTATTCACATAGCTGGCAGTTGGTACTAGCCACTAGTGCATAGCTCTATAGGCTAGGGGCCTCAGCTTCCTGGAGGCAGGCATATCCACGTGGTTAGTTGGGCTTTCTCAAAAAATGGTGGCCAGGTTACAAGAAGGGGCATCACAGGGAGACAAGACCAAATGGAAGTGTTTATCAAGCCTCTGCTTGAATAAAACTTGTCAGTTCCTACTAGTCAAAGCTAATCCCATGCCAACCCCAGAGCCAATGTGAAAGGGAATTATATAAGGAGTGCCAGAAGGGATGGCTTACCAGGAGATACTAGACTTCTACAAGTCCCCCACAATCTCTAATATCTATTGTTTTCATCTCTGCTAAAACACCCTGTACATTTCCCAGGAAGTATTTGCTTACATTAACATGTTCCATAGTAGATAACACTTCTTAAGAGCCAGAACTGTGTTGTTTTTATCAAGGTTCCAACCATAGCACTAGGAACATAATAGTGTTCTATTAATATTCAGTGAATCAAAGAAAAGGATAGAAGAAAAGAAGAAATGGAAAGAAGGAAGAAGACAGGCTAGGAATTTCAAATATTCACATGCACTTTATTTCTGCAGTAGAAATAAATGACAAGTTATTTGGTTTCTAGTTCCTTCATTTTCAAAAGATAAAGCCCCAGTTTGTGGCATAAAAAACCTGAAGATCAAATACTGATATGGTTTGGCTCTGTGTCTGCACCCAAATCGCGTGTTGATTTGTGATTCTGAGTTTTGGAGGTGGGGTCTGGTGGGAGGTGATTGGATCATGGGGGTGGTTTCCTATGGTTTAGCACCATCCCCCAGTGCTGTCTCATGATAGAGTTCTCATGAGATCTGGTTGTTTAAAAGTGTGTAGCACTTCCGCCTTCATTCTCTCTTACCTGCCACTATATGAAGACGTGCTTGCCTCCTCTTTGCCCTTCTGCCATGATTGTAAGTTTTCTGAGGCCTCCCAGTCCTGCTGCCTGTACAGACTACAGAACTGTGAGTCAATTAAACCTCTTCATAAATTACCTAATCTCAGGTAGTTCTTTATAGCAGTGTGAGAATGACTAATACAGAAAATTGCTACCAGAAAATGGGGCATTGGTATAAAGATACCTGAAAATGTGGAAGCAACCTTAAAACTGGGTAATGGGCAGAGGTTGGACGAATTTGGAGGGCTCAGAAGACAGGAAGATGGGGAAGGTTTGGAACTTCTTAAAGACTTTGTTGAATGGTTTTGGCCAAAATACTGATAGTGATATGGACAATGAATTCCAGGCTGAGAGGGTCTCAGATGGAGATGAGGAACTTATTGGGAACTGGAATAAAAATCATCCTCGTTATGTTTTAGCAAATGACTGGCAGCGTTGTGCCCCTGCTCTATAGATCTGTGGAACTTTAAACTTGAGAGAGATAATTTAGGGTACCTAGTGGAAGAAATTTCTAAGCAGCAAAGGATTCAAGATGTGATCTTGCTGCTTCCAACAGTGTATTCTCACATGCATGAACAAAAAGATTATCTGAAACTGGAACTTATATTTAAAAGGCAAGCAGTAAGGTTACATATAACTTTACTTATATGTAAAAGTTTGGAAAATTTGCAGCCTAACCATGTGGGAGAAAAGAAAAACCCATTTTCCAGGAAGAAATTCAAGCCAGCTACAGAATTTTACATAAGTAAAGGGGAGCCAAATATCAACAGCCAGGACAATGGGGAAAATGCCTCCAAGGTATTTCAGAAAACTTCTTGGCAGCCCCTCGCATCACAGTCCTGGAGGCCTAGAAGGAAAAAATTTGGGGGGGCCAGGCCCATGGCCCCACTGTTCGAAGCAGCCTTGAGACGTGGTGCCCTGCATCCCAACTGCTCCAGCTCTTCTAGTCATAGCTAAAATGGATCAAGGTAGAACTCAGGACTTAGTGGCTTCCACATGCTATTGGGCTTTCAGGTGTGCAGAAGGTAAGAGTTGAGGTTGAGGAGCCTCCTCCTAGATTTCAGAGGATTTATGAAAATGCCTAGATGTCCAGGCAGAAGTCTGCTGCAGGGGCACAGCCCACATGGAGAACCTCTACCAGATCAGTGTGGAGGGAAAATATGGAGTTGGAGCCCGCACATAGAGTCCCCACTGGGGCACTGCCTAGTGGAGCTGTGAGAAGAGGGCTACTGTCCTCCAGACCCCCAAATGGTAGATCCACTGACAGTTTGCACAGTGTGCCTAGAAAAGCCACAGGCACTCAATGCCAGCCTGTGAAAGCAGCCATGGGGGCTGTACTCTGTAGATCCACAGGGGCAAAGCTACCCAAGGCCTTGGGAGCCCACCCTTTGCATCAGCATGCCCTGGATGTGAGACATGGAGTCAAAGGTGATTATTTTGGAGCTTTGAAATTGAATGACTGAGCTGCTGAGCTCTGGACTTGCATGAGGTCTGTGGTCCCTTTGTTTTGGCCAATTTCTCCATTTTAGAACAGGAGCATTTACCTAATGCATGTAACCCCATTGTATCTTGGAGGTAACTAACTTGTTTTTTATTATACAGGCTCATTGGCAGAAGGGACTTGCCTTGTCTCAGATGAGACTTTGGGCTTGGACTTTTGAGTTAATGTTCGAATGAGTTAAGACTTTGGGGGGATTGTTGGAAAGGCATGATTGTATTTTGCAATGTGAGCAGTACATGAAATTTCAGAGGAGCCAGGGGAATGACATGGTTTGGCTCTGTGTCCCCCCCCAAACTGCATGTTGAATTGTGACCTTGAGTGTTGCAGGTGGGACCTAGTAGGCGGTGATCAAATCATGGAAGTGGTTTCTAACTGTTTAGCACCATCCCCCTAGTGCTGTCTTGTGATAGAGCTCCCTCAAGTCTGGTTATTTAAAAATGTGTAGCACTTTTCACTTTGCTCTCTCTTTCCTGCCACCATGTGAAGACATGCTTGCTTTCCCTTTGCCTTCCATCATGATTGTAAGTTTTCTGAGGCCTCCCAATCATGCTTCCTGTATAACCTGCAGAACTGTGGGTCATTTAAACCTTTTTTCTTCATAAATTACCAAGTCTTAGGTAGTTCTTTATAGCAGTTTGAGAACAGAATAATATAAATGCCAAGCTTTTTCAGATCAAAACAGGTTAACTAGCTATAAGGCTTAGGGCATGCACATCAACTCCCATGATTGAAAGCTACTTCACTCAAAATACTAGTGTGAAAACATTGGCCCAAATGTGATTCAAACTACCAACTACCAAGAACTGCTAGAGCCTGAGCACACACAGTCTCAGAGTGAGAGCCAAAAATGTCCTGCTTTGGGAAAAATTTCTTCACAGAATAAATCTAGTTCCTGGCACTCACACTTTGTTGTCAGCCAAAGAGTGCCCATTGGGAAAACATCCGAAAGCTGTGTCAACAATGAATAAGATCTGAAGCTTTTGACTTATAATTTCAAATAGAGAAGTCACTCAATACAATGCTCAGCCTCTTCTCTCTCTGTTTATTTGTCCTATTGGAAAACTCAATCACCTTTCTCCTCCCAAATTCCAACTACCTTTTATATATTGCTAGTGCCCAAATCTTAATCTGAAGCCCAGACATCTCTTCTGTGCTCTAGACCCTTCCTATTCTATTCAATCCAGTGTTCTACAGGACATATTAATCTGGAGGACCCACAAGCACCTCAAACCAAACAAATCTAAAACTCAATTCCTCACACACACCATCCCAGACTAGCTTTTCCTTCTGTAGTACCTGTACAGCAACATAACTATCTACCCAGACAACTAAACTAGAAATCACTGAGGCCTGCTAAATTTGTCACACACCATCATACTCCTCACACATTGGTAATTAAATACTAAAATTTTTACATCCCAATCTAGCCCCCCTTTTTCTCTTGCCAAGGTTGTAGCAACAGCTTGACAACTGGTCTCCCTGCCTTTATTCTTTTGCCTCTCCATTTCTTCCTCTCTACTGCATCCAAAATGATTCTTCTAAAACTAAAATCTATTCTGATCACTCTTTGCTTTAAAATTTTCAATGGCTCTCTAGACATGGAAGCCCAAACTCCTTTAGCTTACACAGGGATCTCCAACTTCCAGGCTGCTGACCTGTACTGGTCTGTGACCTGTCAGGAACCGGACCACAGAGCAGGAGGTGAGCAGTGTGAGTGAGCATTCTCACCTGAGCTCCACCTCCTGTCAGATTAGCAGCGGCATTAGAGTCTCATAGGAGCATGAACCCTATTGTGAACTATGCATCTGAGGGATCTAGGTTGCATGCTCCTTATGAGAATCTAATGCCTGATGATGTCAGGTGGAACAGTTTCATCCCAAATCCATCCCTCCTGCTGTCTGTGGAAAAATTGTCTTCCACAAAACCCGTCCCTGGTGCCAAAAAGGTTGGAGACTGCTGGCTTAGAAGTTTTCTTGGGACTGGTCTCTTCCTGCTTCAGCTGAACCTTGTACTTTACTCTTATCAATCCCCTTTAAAAACTTGATACTGGTCCAGAGTTCCATGTATGTTTTAATTCATCTACAGGGAAGAAGTTCCTTGGCTATCCGACTACTATTCATTCGTAAAGATTCAGTCTTAGGAGCATAAGCCACATCAGAACCTCAGCAATCCATTGTACACTTTACTGTCTCATGTGTGCTTTACCTCGTGTCTGTCTTCCCTACTGTACATTCTTTGGGAGGAAAGATCATGTTATATTTATTCCCAGAGATAATAAAGATCACTGGCTTTTCAGAAACTATATCGTTGTTATGACACAGCACACTGCAGATGTGGAGCGAGCCATAGCTGCCAAAGTTAAACAAGTGGGAAAAGAACTCATCCTGTGAAAGTCTTCTTCCCACGCCTGAATGAAGCAGAAAAAGTCACATGCAGAATCCCATCTGGCAGGATTTCATAAAGTAGAGGTGACTCCATAAAATAATTAGCCTCTTCCCTGAGGAGAGAAGAGAGGATTTGCTCTGTGTTTGCAAATGTTTGTCATTTATCCTTTTCATTAAGCCACCTGTTACATGGTTGACACATCATGCTTCCCCCAAACCAACCCATGTCAGTGTTGCTGTCTCATAATGTTATCATGTGTTATTGCATGTTGTCAAGAAAAGAATTTCTCCGCCTTGTAACTATGGAGATTTTTGCACATCACCTACCTGGAGTATTCACTATTCAGTACTTACCTCTACCCATGCTTATGCCTGGAAAACTCCTAGGTTCCCTTTGAGATCCACTTCCAGGAAGGACCATTAACTCTGAGATGCCCATTACATATTTCATAACTATGTTGTCCCTTCATTGCACATACTCACTGGACAATATTGCATGTGTCTGTTTGTCTGCCTGTCTTCTGTATGAGACAATGAGTTCCTTAAAGCTAAGAACAGGCTCCTGTTTATCTTTGGCTCCCCATTGCTTTATGTGTTGCCTAGATTATTGGCAACCCCAGTAAAAGTATGTTTGAATTAAACAGTAAATAAATTTGTGCATAAATAATTTGATGAAGGAGGTAGAGAGAAGGATTCTTGATACATGTAAATGTTGATAGGTTGAGCTAAACAGGAATTATCAGAAGAAATAATATACCTATAAATATATTCTTGTGTTAAATTTATTCTCCTCTACAGAGAACTATTATTCTCTGTAAAATAATTAATTATTATGATTAGGATTAAATCTGGACCCATTGCTTCCTTCAGGAGAGTGTTAAAAATCAGGAAAAACAAGAAAACTAAAAGTAAGAATTCCCAACTTGGAATCTCCATTCTGCAACTGACTATGGTTATGACTAGGAGCAAATTACTGAACCTCTCCGGAGACTAATTTCCTCACTAGTAGGATTAATATGTGAGGTTCGCTATTCTCCAGGATTCTTTCCTGCTCTACACATCTCTAAGCTCCTGATCATACTGTTCTTTCCACCCACTGCTTTTCCCACCCACGAAGTTCACAAGTCCCAGCCTCAGCACTCTGTCACCATGTTCCTGCACACACCTCCACTCATCCTCCCCACCTGTCTCTGCTCCATCTGTTTGGGAGTATCTCAAATCTCACTCACCTCTGTCCACCAGCACCATGGAACCATGGTTTCTTTAGAAATCACCTCCTACTTCGTGTCCAATATGTCATCTTTTCACCTTCCTTCAAAAAGTTCCTCAAGCTATTTTCCTTCCAGAAACTCAGATTTATTCTGAACCACACTTGTACATGTGAAGGGGTGTGTGTGTGATTTGTTATAATAGTCATCATTAGTACATTCTAATTCTTAAAAATTTTATCTGCATCTACCATCTCATTTACTTTTCTCAATAATCCTATAATAGTTAACATTATTCATCATGAATTTGCAGAACACAGATTCAAGGCAAATAATTGACTTGCCCAGAATCACAGTTAGGTTGTGGGAGGGTCAGGATTCATTTCCAGGTTTTCTGGCTTCTGGTTTCTCTTTTCCCCCATTCTTTTCAGCATGTCTCTCTCAACAGAAATTAATAGTGAACTGAGCATAAAATCTTTACATACAGTGAGCAGTAAATGGTGTTTAATCATTTTGATTAATTTGCGACAGTCCTTACCGTGTCAAGGTAAGTCCTATGTGAAGGACGCATGAAGGTCTGACTGCTAAACCTCTACAAAGCAGCTAACGGAGAAAAACGAATCTTCAACTAGCAAGGCAAGCTACTGAGGATACTTGGAGATGACACCAGGAAGGAGCCATAAAGAACTCTCTGCTCTCCGGGTACTGAAGCACAGTCTTGCATTTCTGTGAACTTGAAATATTTTTGTATTTTTAGGTCTTTGAACATCTACACTTTCTACCTGGAAAACCCTTTCCTACTACCCTTTTTTACCTAGAAAATTTCTACTCATTCTTCAAGACTAAGATCAAGTTCAACTCCTCTACAGAGTCTTCCCTGAACAGCCTAGGCTGGGCCCTGTGCCACTCCTGTAGGCTCTGTGGCTTCCTGTGCCTCCCTCTGTCATAACCCTCTTGCCCTGAGCTGATTGTTTATGGTTAATGTCTTTCTTCCCACTAGACCTTGTGCTCCTTGATAGCAGGAGTGACTTAGTGTTTATTTCTGTTTTCCCAGATGCTATCTAAGTTCCTGGGACATATTAGCTGCTCGGAACATGTTTGTGAATGAAAGGAAGACTTTTGTAGGTAGATCCCATGTAAGAATTGTTTTCTCTCTGCAAATCCTACTCTGACTATAGAACCCTTCCAATCCTAGAAGACCAGAAGGAGTGTTACAGCTGGCATAGCTGCATAATCAGAGACCAGCAACTCCTCCAATAATTCTAGGATTTCCAGTTGACTCTTTTATGTAACAGAAAATAGCAATATCAATAGCAAAAGATTTTTAAGCCCAGCTATGAAGTATGTATTAGGAAAAGTGTAAAATCACTGTCTAGTACAAAATGCTTTTGTATAGATCATGGAAAAGCATAAAACCCAGAAGTAAATGAGAGGATTTCAAGGACTTAAGTCAGATAAAGTAGAAGATCCCAATAGGACTAAGTCATAGACAAATATCTTTCCAGCTAGTGTCTGAATAAAGAGTGTTTACTAGTTAGCAGTACATCAAGTTTAAAAGCTTCTACACAGCAAAGGTTACAATCAACAAAGTGGAGAGGCAACCCACAGAATGGGAGAAAATACTTGCAAACTACCTATCTGACAAGAAATTAATAACTGAAATACATAATGAGTTCAAACAACTCTATAGGAAAAAATCTAATAATCCAATCAAAAAAATGGGCAAAAGATTGGAATAGACATTTCTCAAAAGAAGAGTACAAATGGAAAGCAGGTATATGAAAAGGTCCTCAACATCATTGATCATCAGATAAATGCAAATCAAAACTACAATGAGATATCCTTTCACCCCAGCTAAAATGGCTTATAGCCAAAAGACAGGTAATACCAAATGCCAGTGAGGATGTGAGGGGAAAGGGAACCCTCATACTCTTGGTGGGAATGTGAATTAGTACAACCACTATGGAGGACACTTTGGAGGTTCCTCAAGAAACTAAAAATTGAGCTACTATGTGATCTAGCAGTCCCACTGCTGAGTGTGTACCCAAAAGAAAGGAAATCAGTGTATCAAGGATATATCTGCACTCCCATGTTTGTTGCAGCACTGTTTACAATAGCTAAGATTTGGAAGCAACGTAAGTGTTCATCAACAAATGAATGGATAAAGAAAATGTGGTACATATACCCAATGGAGAACTATTCAGCCATAAAAAAGAATGAGACCCAATCGATTGCAACAACATGGATAGAACTGGAGGTCATTATATTAAGTGAAATCAGCCAGACACAGAAAGACAAACATCACATGTTCTCACTTATTTGTGGGCTCTAAAAATTAAAACAATTGAACTCATGGTCATAGAGAGTAGAAGGATGGTAACCAGAGGCTGGAAAGTGTAGCACAGGGGTTAGTGGGGAGGTGGTGGATGATTAATAGCTACAAAAAGAAAATGGAAAGAATGAATAAGATTACTATTTGATAGCACAATAGGGTGACTATAGTCAATAATAATTTAACTGTATATTTTAAAATAACTTAAAGAGTATAAATTCCTCAATGTGAGAAACCATTCAGGAACTTTCAAGAAGAAGGGCATGGAAGGAGTAGATACAACAGTGTCAGTCACTCTCTTGAGAGTGAATAAGCAGTTCTTTTAGGATGGAGCCTGAACAGTCAGCTCCCATCAGGAGGGTCACCTCACCACTTACAGCAGTGCTCTGTGGGCACAAGTGGCCAGGCCAGGTCAGCCACGCGAGCAGCTTCTGTGAGGTCTGCAACAGAGACACTCTTTTTTTTTTCTTTTCTTTTCTTTTTTTTTTCCGAGACGGAGTCTTGCTCTGTCGCCCAGGCTGGAGTGCAGTGGCGCGATCTTGGCTCACCGCAAGCTCCGCCTCCCGGATTCACACCATTCTGCCTAAGCCTTCCATGTAGCTGGGACTACAGGCGCCCGCCACCACGCAGGGCTAATTTGTTGTATTTTTAGTAGAGACGGGGTTTCACCGTATTAGCCAGAATGGTCTCGATCTCCTGACCTCGTGATCCGCCCGCCTCGCCTCCCGAAGTGCTGGGATTACAGGCGTGAGCCACCGCGCCCGGCCAACAGAGACACTCTTAAAAACCACTTAGAGCTGCCCTATATGGTAGGTGGCTTGGTGGTCAGAAGGAAATCAAGCCGTATTAAAGGGGCCTAGTTATGTTTACAGCATGAAAGGCAGCTCTCATTTGCATTTTCCAGAGTCTGTTATGTGACGCTGATGATATTCTTGCCTGACTTCAATCTCTTGACTACTTGATGCTGACATCCACCCTGCCCGCTCTGGATTTGGTGTTATCACTCTTCTCAGCTCAGGAATGCTTCACCTTGCCCACCTTGCCTCCTTCCAGCCCTGAATTTATTGAATCTCAAATCCCCTGCTATTTTCCCCGGACTAGAACTCAGCCCTAACTCTGGCCAGATCCCTTTTTCCAGATCCTTCCACAAGGAGAGGATTCAGTCATAAAACAGCCAAGAAGAGAACATTACTTGATTAATACAGAAGGCTCAGTGGTAGGACTCCAGCAAAAAAGTCTGCACTCTCCTGTCTGGTTAGATACATCCAAAATGGGCTGGGCGCGATGGCTTACACCTGTAATCCCAGCACTTTTGGAGGCCGAGGCAGGTGGGTCACAAGGTCAGGAGTTCAAGACCAGCCTGGCCAAGACGGTGAAACCCTGTCTCTACTAAAAATACAAAACAAAAAAAAAACAGAAAAGAAAATTAGCCAGGCACAGTGACAGGTGCCTGTAATCCCAGCTACTTGGGAGGCTGAGGCAAGAGAATCGCTTGAACTCGGGGGAAGGAGGTTGCAGTGAGCCGAGATTGCACCACTGCACTCCAGCCTGGGCAACAGAGTGAGACTCTGTCTCAACAATGAAAAAAAAAATGTAACATCCAAAATGACACCCAAAAATGTTATTAATGCGATCATCCTATGTGGTAAGCATGTTGAAATCTTGAATAAGAACTCTTACCAAAGAACCTGTGTAGGTAGTGTTTGTCTCACTGAAATACAAGGACAAGCTGGGTCATCTGTCAGTTGAAAATTTGTCCTCCATTTTTTTCTTGTTTTTACTATTGCCAGAAGGGACTGTCAACATTCCAGGTTTTAATATTTCACCAGGAAATGGCTTGAGTTATCAATTTTTCCCAGAAAAAAATTTGTTCCCAAGTGGTGTCACCAAAATTCCAATGTTCTATGACTGTGGTACTGCAGAGCCAAAAGGAAGCTGAAGATCACTGATATGAGAGACTCTCAGCTGTCTTCATGGACTCTTCTGAGAGTCTGATACATAGTATGGAATTTCACCCTAGAAAGCTTCATAAGACAACATTTGGCCTATGGCTTTTGTATACATTTCAGACCTCCAAAGGTCATGAACCCCAAGCAGGTAGATCTAGTCTAATGCAACCCACTATCTTATTTATAAATGAAGATAGCAAGACCCATGACAGAGGTGACTTTGCCAAAATGACACTTGCTTATCTCCCTGTCTACTTTCTTCCCATCACACGGTGTAACCTCCCAGTGAAAACTCCCACAAGGTGAGCAACTTGAATAGGCAATGGACATTTTAAGGATAAAACCTGTTATGAATGTAAGATTGTAGTTTGTTGTTGTTTGATATAATTATAGATCACACTTAAAATCACTAAAACGAGGCTATCACAATAACATAACAATTATTGAAAATCTGTGCACCAGACAATATGCTAAATGTAATATTTCACTTACTCCTCATCACTTCCCTAAGGTGGGTAAAGGCATGAAGCTTCTTCTAGAGAGAGCAAATGACTTTCCAAACAGTGACAGACCCAGGGTTTGAACCCAAAGTCTGGTAGCAGCATCTGAGCCTTCAACTGTCACATATAGTGTTCTGTCACAAGCTGAATTGGCAAAACAAACATAAATTTTAGATAGAATTTTTTTAACAAAATATACTCTTATTCCCGTCAGGACCCTACAGGGACTCGATTTAAGCAAAGTGTGTTTTCCAGTGTGCATTAATGAGCAGTTAAGAACGGTTTGCAATTAGCCAATCCATTTTTTGTACCTAAATCCATGCTCTGTAAGTGTTCAAATTGCTTGAAAGTGTTCTCTGAAGCATTTTAAACATTCCTCTTCATAATCTCGTTTACATGATTCACTTGTAAAACTTATAAGGAAATTGTTTTACTTGACTGAAGTTTTCATTTCTCCAATACTTGTAACTAAATTAATAAGAATAATAGTTGGCTTTTATAAAGCAGAAAAAAACTCTTAGGCATTACTTAGTCTGACCTACACATTTTGTAATGAGGAAACAGAACCTAGATACATTTTAAGTAATTTTTTATGAAGATCACATAGCTAATTGTTGGAAAAGCCAGAGCTAAACCACAAATCTGCCTTTCTATAGCAGGCCAGGGTCCTATCCCATGTCCCATTACAACTCTCAGGTTTTACATTTTTCGAAATGATTCGTTCATTCTTTCTAAATGAAAAGCAAACTCAAGTGACATTAAAACTTTTAAAAATGGTTGAAATTGCAGCAGACTTGATGGTACATTTACTGGAATAAAAGTTGCTTTTTTTTCCTAATAAATGCATGTTTCTTCTTAAAGCTTAGTTACCATATCAACCACCTTTCCTTGTGGTTTAAAAAGGGAATTTGAAAGCATATCTTAAATAAAATTTTAAAACAACAAAAATGTAAACATTTTCCAGCATATCATGAAATCTTTCCATGGAAGTTTCAAAATGAGAAACAGAACAGAAGAAAACCAAACCACTCCGAGGCACTGTCTCCTGATACTTTCCCCAACCTGCCCTGAACCTGAATCACCGTGATGTCTGGGGCTACTCAGTGTCGAGAAGGGCAGGAGAAAAGGCCACTGCCCAGAGCCAGAGGGGCAACCCTGCGCCAGACGTGTTGCAAGCAGCATCTCATTCCACTCTCAGCAACTGTCGTCCCCACCCCTCAGGTGATCGCACTTAGTCTCAGAGGCTAGAAAACGTGCCCAAATTTCACATCTAGTAAATAAGAGGTAGAACTAGAATTTGAGCCCAGATTTGTTGATTTCAGACTGTGCAACAAAATATTACCTAGGTTTCACAGGTAATTTTCTCCCTTCAAGGAGGTTACAATTGATTGAGAAGGAAGGAAAAAGAACTGTGAATCTAAATATCAGAAAAAGTACAAATATATAAGTAGATGAACTAAAAGGCAAATAAAATTACAATGCTATTAAGAGGTAGGTTTTACCTCTTCAATACCAGCACATAACACTAGTGTAAAATATAGGAGTCCAATAAATATTTGTAGGGGACAGAAAGAAAGAAAGGGAGGAAAATACTCAAAACCAATAAATCTACACTTTTGTTATTCAGGTGTGGTACTTAGACAAGCAACAAGGGCATCAGCAGCAGCTTATTAAAAATGCAGATTCTCAGGCCCACTCCAGACCTGAGTCAGAATCTGCATTCTAAGGAATCCTCCAGGTGAAGAGCATGCATATGAAATTTGGCGGGGCAGAGGTGCTGGTCTATAAAAAGCACCAAACAGCAAACATCACTGGAATTCCAAACAGTGGGAAAGCAGTGGGAGCTGGAGTAATCGGCGATTGCGACTTGGAGGCAGTAGAACCTGAGTTCATGTTCTATGAGATTATGGGTAGAACTCCTAGAAGGAGATGTTTAGAATTCCACCAAGCAGTGAGGGAAAAGGAAAATGCATGAGAAGGAGCAGACACGCAGGAAGTGAAGTGGTTCAGGAGCTGCAAGCAAAACCTTTCTGTCCAAGGCAAGGGGTACCTGGAGAAGAATGCTTGAGATTTTCTTTTCTGTTCTTTCGGTGCCCTAGGTTCATGTATTTCCACATAAAGTATTTTAATTCACAGAAAGAAAGAAAATTGTTAAAATCAGTAGATATATTTGGCATCTGGAAAAGATGGGTGCTTGTCGGGGTGTGGCAGGCAGCTGGAATCTCCTAACTCATCTTTGCTGATTCTGCCACCTGAGATCCAGCTACTGAACAAGGAACATCAATGTGCTTCATGATGCAGTGGGCTGGGCAGACCCACGATGGGGCTCTGGCCACCTGCAGGTGCAACTCACTTGGTAAAGCTCTATTCCTCTTGGAATAGAATAGAATTTTGCAGGTTCTACTGGCATGAAAAGGTTCTAAGTGCAATATCAATCTGGTGAACATGGTTGTTATCTATATAAAGTAGGTAGCGTATGGTCACTAGTTCACTGATGGTTAACTTGCCCCAGTGCCTTTCTCTAGACAGAAAATTTCACCAGAAGGGAGCTGACTCCCTGTAGCCCCAGTAATTTGCTATAATCATTAACTAAATGCTAATCATCCAGAATACAAATGGCATATGGCCTTAGAAATGAGCCTCGTCTCTCAGAATCTAGGGCAATCCATTCATTCATGCAACAGATCTTTACTGTCAACCTCACGTCAGGGCTTTTGCAGCTATTGTGGATTTGGGGAAGAAAAAAAAATGGTCCCTGTATTCCAGCAACTTATAATATACCTTGCAAATACCTAAGCAATTCAAACTCTCCAAGAAATTTGTTAAATTGGGGGAAAGGTAGGGTTTAGAGGAGTTTAGATGAAGGAAACCCCTAGTCATCCCAGAGAACTTAATGAGACTTCATAAATAAGGCAGGAACTAGGCTGGGTGTCAGTAGGCATTTGCCAGGTAGAAACGTTACATGAAAGGACACGGGTGTTCCAGGTGGAAAAAGCAGTTTGCACGAAATCGATGAGATACGAGTGAGCAGGATGTGTTGGGGGCTACAGAGGTTATGGATAATAATACAGACTTTTTAATCCAATAGTCCAGGATTCAAATAGGTTTGGCAATTAGTACCCATGAGACCATAAGTAACTGTGTGAAGTAATAAATGTTTTTTGTTTCAAGAGGCTAAATGAGGAGGGTGTAATTTGTTACACAGCAATAGATAACTAATACACTGTGAACTAATGAGAAACAAGTTCAGGGCTTCTCACTGGCACTAACTTTTTCTAAAGCTCAAAGGGGTGAGGAGGAGCTAGCAATGTGTTCACATGGTCACAAGTCTTTGTAATTATGTAAAATTAAAATATTGGATTTTGTGATGTTTGAGGTATTTGTTGGCATCTTAAAATTTGTAATTAGTTGTGCTTTTCTATTTATTCTGAATAAACATTGACTTTTATAACAAAATAAATATATAAGTAAATATGTAAATGCACACACATACATAAGACACTGTATTTAATGGGATGTGGTATGTGTGTGATGCTATTTAGTGGAAGGGATGTGAGATATTATATATAAATGAGATACCATGTAGGGATTTGAAAAAATTCAGTTCGTAGATGTGGCTAAATTCCAAGCCATGCCAATCTCTCCTCTTGCATCTGTCTTCCTGTCCCTTTCTCATGGCAGCTCCATGCAGAACTCTGCCCATCACTGTTTGCTTCAGGGCATCCAAGCTCAACAAACACTGTGGTGTTTTAGTGCACAAGAGAGGCTGACTGAGTCATGAGGAAGAGATCACATCATGCTCCTGTAGGGCACTCCCTTGCAGTCTGGCTGGCCTTCTCACAGAGCCCTGCTCCTTACCATTCAACCCTACCCTAAACCTCCAGTCCCAAAGTGAGGCCTTTGCTGTCACTCACAGGCGCTAGGAAGAAGTTTGGTCCAGCCCCTGCCTCTGACTACTTTTCTCCTGGAGATGCCTCCTGGAATGCTAGAGAACATGTTCCAACTCTTTGTAAAGCTATGCTGGAATATCCAGAGAATCCCCTTAAAAACAAGCCTGCAACACAATCCCACTACCCTCATTTTCTATAGGTTAAAGGTCACATTGCACCCAGAAGCAGGACTTAATTAAGAAAGGTTAATGAGAAAAGACCAGAGGTAAGTCTATTTCCAATATATCACACTCATTCCAAATAAATATAACACAGCATGATGTACAAGTTAATGTCTTATAGTAGTTCAAAGACAGAAAAGTCAGGAAAAATTTGAACCACCACAGAGCAAGGACCAGATAGTTCTGTGAATTCAAAAGAAACTGCATCTTACTCACATTGTGAGTGGTGATTTGGTTTCATCAAAATATCATCTATCATGTTAATATTGTTAATTCAAATTCTATTTGTTTTGCAGCTCTGTATGTAGTTTGTAAACATGTTTTGATTTTAGATACATATAAGAATTACAAGCATGAGGAATGTAACTGCATTTCACATTTGTGTAGACATGAGTCAACACTTGGGAGTCCGTGGGCATTTTTTCAGCTTGAAGAAACACTGGCTTTTGTGAATAATGCTGTCATGAACATGAGAGTGCAGGCATCCTTTCAAGATCTTGATTTCAATTATATTGAACACAGAAACAGCCTCCATGTTCATCAGTGGATGAATGGATAAAGAAAAGGCAGTATATGCATTTAATGAAATATTATTCAGCCTTAAAAAGAAGGAAATCCTGTCATATGAGACAACATAGATGAATCTAGAGAACATTATCCTAAGTGAGATAAGCCAGTCACAAAAGGACAAATACTGAATGCTTCCACTTATACGATGTATATGAAATAATCAAACTTAGAGGAGCAGGGAATGGAATGGTGTTTGCCAGGGGCTAGAGAGAGGGGAAGTGGGGAGTTCCTGTTCAACAGGAATAGTTTCAGTCCTATTAGATGAGTAAGTTCCAAAGACCTGCTGTGCAACACTGTGCCTGTGCTTGATACTGTACTTAAGTGCAGAGGATGGATCTTATGTTAAGTATTTTTACAATAATAAAAAAAAGACACTTTGAAATTTTTTTAAAAAATAAACTTTGGCTTAACATTTTAGAAAGTGAAAAATGAAAAACACAAAAACATACTATAATCTCAGTTATTCATTCATTTACTCATTCAGCATATGTTTATTGGATACTGATTGTATATGGTCAGAAATTATGTGAAACACTGGGTACAGCAGTAAATAAATTAGGTGGACATGGCTCTCCTGTATCTTACCTTCTAGAAAAAAAATAGATAATAAATAAACGTTTTTAAAAGACAATTTTAGAATGTGATGTGCGTATGGAAGAAAATACACCAGGTTGGTTTGATAACAAGTGGCTGATGGAGGCTACTTGGGTTTGGTGAGCAGGAAAGGTCTTTCCATGGAAGGGGCATTTGAGCTGACACCTGGGTGATGAGAGGGAGCAGCCCATGAAAAAGCCAGAGGATTAATGTTCCAGGCAGAGGAAACAGGAAGTGCAAAGTCCCATGAGTGACATGGGTGGAAAAAGGAGGAGAGGTTAGGCAGAGTCAGACCACATTGGGTCTTTCAAACCACATGAGAGGAATCTAGATTTTATTCTAGGCTCAATGGGAAGCCTTAGAAAAGTTCTTTAGAGGGGAGTAAGATTTAATTAACACATACAAAGATCACTTTAATGACTGTGCAAAAAAAATAAATTCTATGAAACAAGAGTGAAAACAAGGTGATGAGTTGGGAGGCTGTTGGAATGGACCAAGTAGGACATGATGGTGCCTGAGTGAGGGAGTGGCAGTGGAGCAGGAAGAAGTGAATGAATTTAACTAACTATATGCAGTCAGAGGTGCAATCCATAGGACTTGCTGATGGATTAGAAGTGAAAAGATGAGGGAGAGAAAGAGAAGAATCATAGATGTTTCATAGGTGTTGGGGTTGAAATTATTATTTAAACAAAATAGCATGGATGTCAAAATAATTCTGAATAAAAATATAACAAAACATTAAGAGTGAATCTTTGGATGATAGAAACAGATTGCTTTTGTGTGAATATGAATTATTTTTAAATGAGACTGTACAATTAATGCTTTCTGTTTAATTGCCTGGTGGTGATTTTTGTTTTTCTTTTTTTTTTTTTCACAGAGTCAAGACTCAAAGTCACCTGAGGAAGGCAGAGGTCTTTATTAGAAGTCTGACAGGATGAGGCCCAGAATAGAAGAAGCCAAGGATCAGAACCCAGGTTAATGGATAACGTTAAGGTACGTAAGGGCTCAGGAGTCAGAAAGGGAGATTACACTGAACTCAGCTGCTCAGGTCTACATGTGCTTCATGACTGCTTTGAAAGAGTTAGAAACACCTATCTGTTCCTGCTGAGCAATAATAATGCTTGTCAGTATTATTATTTCCAGAGACGTAGAATGAATGAGGGTGTTTCTCTACTGAAATGCACAGCTAGTACCAATCTTCTCCTGTATCTACTACTGAAAGTATAAAGAATACATAGAACAAGGCAACTAGGAGGTCACACCCAAATTGTCACAATTTATCCTCACTATTATCATTCTTCATCATTAAAACAGCCAACTTTATATGATTTCATAGATGATAAAACTGAGAAACAAATGGACAAAGTACATTTCTAAGATTGCACCAAAGAGCAATCTTTGGTGATGTTGTCCTATTACCTTCCCACCACACTGTGCTTAAAGACAGCATTCTGGTGCTCCTCAACTTTTTTCACACCATGCCACTCATAGAAACTGGTATTTTACAGGATACTGGAGCAAATAGGCAAGGCTACTCCTGAGCTGGCACAACTCCCTCAGGGGCTCCATTTGCCACAAGGCTTACCTGGCCACACAAAAACCGAGTGAGTAAACATCTTGACATACCTATCAGAAAACTCCGCATTCATTTTTAGGAAACTTAAGTCTTGTGGTTTCCGAACGTGGCTGATCATCAGAATCTTTTGGAAAATTTTTAAAATTGAGAGTCCTAGGCCTTATCAAAGACATATTGGTTAAATTTCTTTCAGTTGCAAGTAACAGAAAAGGCCTATTCAAATTCCCTTAAGCAAAGAATGGGAAATATAGAGGCTGGTCCAGTTTCACTTGGGTAATTTGTGGCTCAGCTGCATCATCTGGGATACAGATTTTATTTCTTGACGATCCCATTCTGAGTGTGTCAGCTTTGCCTTCAGGCTGTGTCCCCTTGTCATTCACACATGGTTGCAACAATTCCAGGCATTAAATAGCTTCTGTTATACAATATCCAGCAATGAGCAGAGGTAGAGGGGCCATCTTTTCTTAGGTCTCTTTCTGGAATTTAGGCTCTTCCTCAGAAGCCTAGCAGCAGGCGGGTCTCACATAATTAGCCTCATGTAATTAACATAATTAGCCTTGTGTAATTAACCACAACTGAGTCACGTGCCTACACTTAAACAGATCAGGGATGATTACCCTGATTGGTTTCTAGCACTCATGATTAACCCCTGGAGTTGGAGATACATTTGCCCTCCCCTGGGTCAGTAAACACCCAGAAAAAATTGGTTTTGCAAGTTAGGAAGAAGAGCAGCATTGTTGGATGTTGCACAAACCGAATAAATATCCATCAAAAGTCCTAATATCTACATCTTAAAAAATTGTAGGATAACCCACCAGGTTTGCGAACGACTGTCCTAAACTCAGGGTTGGCTGCTGGAGCATTTGTTGCCTTCGTGTAAATGAGTAGAAGAAACCCCTCCTGGAACCAGAGCCTTGTGAGCGTGCAGCTGTGAGTAGAGGGCAGCTTTGCATGAATGAAAAACAAAGCCCCTTCCAATCCATCCCCAAATCAGGGATGAGGGTTTGTGCCTGCTTGTTGAGCAGAGCAAGGGCTAAGGTTTAGTTTTTCAACTCTCCTCCCCACTGTGTCCAGTGGTGTGCTGATAACTGTCTGACAGCCAGCTCCTTGATTTACACAGTTTGCCCATTTCTGTGGTATAAATATTGCCACCATGGCCAATTTTAAGCTACTGAGTTCATATCACTGAATGTGGAGCTGGGAAGTGAGGCTCATAATCAGCTCTCACAAGAGGTATAAGCCAGCCCCAGGACACCATTGCCCACGGCCTGGAAGCCACCATGTGAAGACCACAGCCTGCAAAGCCAACTACAGTAGCCCTACCTGAAATCATGCTTTGTGCCACATGGGGAAAACTACCAAAATAAAACCTATTATAAAATTGGTGAGTCGTTTCTGTTTTGTTTTTTTCAAAATGAGTCCTAAACACAAACTCTAAAAATAATTGCATTTCAAACATCATGCCTTTAAATCGTCATTTCAGAACTCTCATCTTATTTGAAATTATACAACATTTGAAAGCTAATAATGGACAGAAACTTCCTGTTTTAAGTAACTCAATGATCATTACTATAATTTATTACTCATTCGTGGGGATAAAATAATATATTAAAAAAGTAGAATCCAGAAAAGGCTAAGTAAGGAATGGAAATAATGTCAAAGAAAACTATTATATCTTTGAATTGTGTTGAAGCACAAAATTTATTTTAGAAAATTTCTATTCCTGACACTACTTAATAATGCAGGGGAAGGCTAAGCAATATATTACATAGTCATGCAATTTTTCTTTGCCTCAGATGCTTACTTTGTATTGTTTTATATAAATGTTGGAATGCTCCTTCTTTAAATTATTATTTGCATGGAGACCAAAATCAAGGAAGCTAGTGCAGCCTAGTGGTTAGAAGCATCATTTCTTATGTAAAGCTGCTTTCGATGAAGCCCTAGCTCTACTACCCGCCAATAGTATAATCCTGTTCCCAGTCACTTCACTTCTCTTAACTCTAGTACCCTCATGGGTAACATGAAGATAATACCAATGCTTATATCGTAGGGCTTAAAAGAAGTGTAAGTGAAATAATAATTCATATCTGTGCTCCACATCATGCCTGGTGCATTGTAGATACTCCATAGACATTAGACATGAAATAGTCACATGGGGACAGACCTGGAATCAAAAGCCTGTAAACTTCTTTCTAGCCAATCAGTCAATGACTCATGACAGCTACACTTTAGGCATCACTCAGAGTGAAGGAAATCAGGAAGTGCTAGTGATCGAGTAGTCTGGGTCAGGCCTAGAATGAGAGATCTGCTATTGTTTTATTTCAAGGTCATGGCTGTGTGTTTTCACCTATGTATTTCTTCCTCCTCTTTCCCCCACCCTCCACCCTTCTCTAATTCCCAGAGGGTTTGTATCACCTGCACCCCAGGCTCTCATGGTGTATTCAGTCACCCATTTAGAACTTAAACAGAGAAGGAGCACCTGGCTAAATAGCAAAAGGACAGACCCCTATGTATGTTTGCTTTTTATTTGTTTTACTTTGTTGGTACAAGTGTTTTTTGTTTGTTTGTTTTTATGTTTGTTCTTTTCTCACAAAGACCAGGTAGAGCAGGCTGAGTAAGGAATGGGAAGAAGTAGAAGGTGAACTTAGGTAGGGAAGGATGACAGACAGTCCTTGATCCAATAGTGGGAGAAAGAAGTATCTTCCATTATAAAATTCAGGGATCTGTGAGCAGGCTGACTCAGAGCTATGCTTCACCCACTAAGAACCACTCCTCCTACTCTCTGTGCCATCGCTCCACCATTTATGGACAACACCCTTTCAATGATCCCAGCCTCCTGGGATACTCTACCAGAGGGAAAGTGGATAGGCAGCCTCTGAGGGGATAGCCACTACTGAAATAGGACTGCCTAGAACCAGCTGGGAAGTTTTCTGTGAGTCATGACTGTGGCGAATACATCTCCCGTTACATGCATATTATTGCATGGATTCTACACTAGGGTTTCTCGACCTTGGCATTGTTCACATTTTGACTTTGTTGTTTGGAGCTGTTTTGTGCTTTGTGGTAGCTTCTGCTCCCCATTTGTGACAAGCAAAACTGTTTCTGGATGTTGCCAAATGTCCCATGGAAGGCAAAATTGTTCCAGGTGAGAACCACTGTTCTATACCATAACCTCGTTGGATAGTTATGACTCCCATGGCACAGAAGAAGAGACTGAAATGCAGGTATTCAGAAGGTTGCCCAAGGTCCCAGAACTAGTGAATAGCAGACATTGTCTAAAGCACGTATTTCTTTACCATTCTGCCTCTTGTTTTGAGGCTTCAAAGTCTATCTCAGAATCTTTAAGACTGTAGGAACTTCATAAACATTTGTTAAATTAATCAAAAATTAGTGAACACAATAACCCTCCACATTAATTCTCTAGCCTCTAGCTCTCCATCAAAGTAAATAAGCAGAAAGTTAAGGCTTAGTAACAGGACCCACTGAGATTGAAAGCAGTCATATGCAGCCAAGTCCATACCGATACATAATGGACTCCCACTTGCCAGGGCAGGGTTGGGGGGTTCCAAGTTACATGAGGTTATTCTGAAACTATAGATAACGGATCAGAGATCACATGTGACAGATCTTGGACAATGTGTATAAATTTCTCTGAGACTCATCTAGAAATATTTCTCATCTATAAAGTATTCCTACCTCATGCTGTTATAGTGAGGACTAGAAATATGTTAGGTAAAGTATCTGTGACAGAGCCTGGTACATACGTGATCAATAAGTAAAAACTCTTACTGTCATTATTATCACTATTCATTTCATAAACAGTCTGTATATCTGTACCAGATAAATCAAAGAACAGTAGGATACTGTCTCCTTATTCCTTATATAAGCTAAGATTCTGAATCATTTATGTGCGTATTACAATTCTTAAGAATAAGAAAAAGCCTTGGACTGGGAGGTAGGAGACCTGGATTCTAGTCCTGACCCTAATTAGCTATATGACTTTGAATATGTCAACTGACCCCCGAGACTGTTTCATCATCTGAAACAGTATTTACAAGATTAAGCTACACGATATCTCAAATTTTTTCTAAATCACTTGTTCTTTGAAATGTGAATGCAAAATGATCATCTGCTATTTTCTAGACCTTTGTTCTTTGAATCCACATATATGAAGGACTATTTTCTGCAATATTACAAGAACAGTCTCCTCAAAGCCATTTCAGTGAATTACTACAGAATTCAGATTAGAGCTGTAAAAATCAATAATCAAGTCACCAAACATATAAGTTAGCGATCATGACTTGATTATATCTCTGCATGGCAAATAACTTGGATTTAAATATTTATGATTTTGCAGCCAGTTTAGGAATCTGGTCTTTCTGTCATGTATTGAATAAAAATAATCAATGGAAAATAATAGCTCCCATCAAGTTGTAGTCAAAATGAATGTTGAATAGCCTAACTGCAGACACAGCAGACTTATTTAAAAAATCAATCTTCCAACATAAAGCCGAAATTTATAAATACTGAACAACCCCATCTTTGCTGTGGAATCACATTTATATAATGCTGTGTAACACATCTGCCTCTGCACCTATGTTTGTGGCATTGTCTCCATTTTGAGTGCTCTCTCAGCTTTCAAGGCCTACTGCAGATGGACAATGAAGCTTCTGGAATCTCCTCAAAAGAGGTGACATTTTCTGCCTCTGAATTCATTTAGTAAAAAATATCCATTATGCAATTATTGAATACCTACTCTATCATATTCCCTGAGGCTCATAGCAGATTGTTACAAAACTGTCTGGAGGTATATGCAAGGTGCTATTCAGAACAACTTACACACAGGAAGACTACAGTAAGGTTACAAAAGTAAATGTGAAAAAATAGTACAAGACAAGGGTAGGAGGTAGGAGAGGGGGGAAGTGGATGCCACTGCTTTGTTCTTTCATCCCTGCATCTTTAATAAAGAAGACACTTTCAGAAGCAAGGACTGTGGGAGAGCATAATTAATAAGCCTACACAGAAAGGTTAAGAATGATTTCTGTAAGCTGACATAAGTCAGTACAAGCTTAATGAAGGGGTGGAAATCGTCAGATTAGCACTGTAGGTGAGAACTCTCTGGTGACAGTATGGAGGATACACTAGAGAAAGGCAACACCAAATAGTAGAGAGGAGAGAAGAGAGGCTGTGGAAGTGATAACAGATTACATACAAAGGAAGTGCCTAGAAATGAACAGGAGGAATAAGCTCAAAAGACATTAAGGGATAAAATCAATAGAAGTTTATTAAACGTGGTGAGCAAGAAAGAAGGATGAGTCAATGATGACATATTGATCCCTGGCCTAGAAGACCAAGTCAATGATGGTAGCACTCACCTATTTGCGAAATTCAGCAGGCAGAACAGATTTTTGAGGTAAGACCAATTGTACACATCAATTGAGATGTGTAGAATTTGAAGTGCCAATGGAACTATCAGTAGAAGTGTCCATTAAACACATAGATATATAAGTCAGAAGCTCAGGAAAGTGAGCTGAAAATATTGGTATTTTGAATATATTTGTGAAATATAAACACACTTCCAGAAAGGCATATAAAAATAAATGTATGGCATACTGAATTATTATAAATTAAACATGTATGTAACTCCCGGCTAGGTGAGGAGACAGAGCATTCCCAGATAGTCACCTGCCTAATGACAACCACATCCCTTCCTCCTAAAAAAAACTACTATCTTGATTTTATGGTAATAACATCCTTGTTTTCCTATCTATTTTACCACCTAATGATACATTCTTAATCACTCTACCTGAATTCTATTTTGACCCTTATATGAATGGAATGATACGGGGCACATTCTTTTATGCCCGGTGTCTTGTGTTCAATGTATTTCCAATACATACCCAGGTTGTTATATTGTGGTAGTTTATTTGTTTTTCACTAGAATATAGTATTCACATTTATTTATTTTTTTGTGGATGTTTGAGTTGCTTCAAGTTTGGGGCCATTATGAATAAAGCTGTTACAAAATCACATTTATCATCTAACAGACGTTTCTGTTGGGTAAATAACTTGGAATGAAATTGCTAGGTTAAAAGATTGCATAGAATCCTCAACTTACGTAGAAAATGTCTAAGTATATTCTAAAGTCACTGTACCACTTTACACATCTACCAGCATTAAGAATTCCAGTTGTTTCACAACCTCACCAACACTTGATATTGGGTGCCTTTCTAATTTCAGCTATTCTGATGGGTGTATAGGGATATCACTGTGGCATAAAGGCATAAAGTTGAATGCCTTTCCATCTGTGTGGTAATCATTTAGATAACTTATTTTGTGGAATGGCTGTTGCAATATCTTGTCCATTTATTTTTCCACTGGGTGGTCTATCTTTATCTTATTGATTTACAAGAGATCTTTGTATTTTCTGTAAGAGGTTTTTGTTATTTACATGTACTCTCACTCTATAAATAGCTTTTGTTTTGTTTTTACTGTTTTAATGGTGATTATTGATGGATAGAAGTTTTTCATTTTATTGTGTTACAACTATAAATTTTATCTCATGGTTAATGCTTTTTGTGTCTAGGTTTTTTTAAATAAGCTACCCCAAAGATAGAAGATATTCTTCCAAATTTGCCTTGATAAATTTGAGTATTTTGACTCTCATGTAAAGGTCTATGATTTATCTGGAATTGATTTTGCATATATCTTGAAGTTAATAGCAAGTTTCTTTTCTCCCATGTGGATATCCAATCGTTGCAGCAACATAAATCAAGTGCTCTTCCGTGTGCGTGACTTTTCCTGCATTCCATATTCTATTACATTTGACTATTCATCTATATTTTAACCAGCTATCTTAAGTACTGTAGCTTTAAAACAAGTTTTTTATATCTAGCAGAAGATATATTAGCTATGTGAAGCCCTCTATTATTCCATATAAATAGCATAATTCTGCGTACAGTCACACAAACCATTGGATTTTGATGGGGATCACATCAAATATGTAGATACATTTAGGAAGAATTGATAACTTTCTTAGATTAAGTCTTCTAATTCATGGACATGGAGTATTTTTCCATTTACTTCAGTATTCATTAATTTCTCCCAAATTTTCTAGAGGTCTTACACATCTTAGATTAATTCCTAGAAATTTGTTTCCTAATTGCAAGAGGCAACTTTAAAATTTTATTTTTTCATGTGTATTTTTATTATTGCATATAAAAATAAATGCCTTTTATTCTATGGATTTTCTATTAGCAACCTTGCTAAACTCATTTTTAAAATATTAATAATTTTATCTGTCAAACCTCTTAGATTTGTTACATACCAAATCACATCATTAGCAAAGAGTGAAAGTCTTATTTCCTTATTTCCATTCTTATAACTTTTATTTGTTCCTCTCACCTTCCTGCACTAGCTAGACCTCTCAGGATTAAGAAAAAGCAATGAGAGTAGGTATTCTCTTGTTCCCAATCTCAAATGGAAAATCTTTGTAGTAGATGCCTATGCAAAATTCTAAACTAAATATGAATACCGTGAACTCTGTAATATATGAAAAAGGGAAATATATCATGTCCAAATTGCATATTTTAGAAATGGAAGTCCTTGAGGAAGCTGGCCTTCAATATTTCTTTTTAGTAATACCCTTGTCTGATTTTGCTATCCAGGTTTTGCTGGATTTATGAAACTGTGTAGAGAATGCTGTTTCTCCTTTTTTCTAGAGAATTTTGTGGAAGATTCCTTCAATACTTATCTGGTAGAATTTGCTGGAGGAGCCACTTGAGCCTGAAGTTTTCTTGGTGGGAAAGCTTTTATTTATGAATTTATATCACTAATAGTAATAAAACTATTTAGATTTTATGTTTATTCTTGTGACAGCTTGGAAATTTCATTAGAATACTTAACTCCATTGAAATCTACCTTCTTTCTCACTTTTTGCTATAAACTTAATTCTTTAAATTTTATATTTTATGAACCCTAAAAAAATTATATTTTCAAAATATAATATTTGTTTGGAATTATCCCCCTATTTACCATATTCCTTGTATTTAATTTCTTTCCACATTGAAAACTTCTATCTGGTATAATGTTCTTTTTGCTGAAGAACACCTTTTAATATTGCCTTTAGTATTTACGCTAGTCTCCTACTGGAAAATCATTTGCTTTTAATTGGGCTGAAATGTCTATTTCACCTTCATTCTTAAAGAATATATTTTTGTGGTTATAGAATGCCATGTTGATATTCTCACATTTAAGATATCACTTAGTTTTATTACAAATTTCTAACTGGAGCTGGTTTGTTTGTTTGTTTACTTATTTTGCCTGCTTGAGTTTCATTGAGTTTTTGAATCTGTCACCTGATAACGCTCATTTATTCTGGAAAACTCTCATACATTATTACTATGAATTTTTTTGCTCCTATCTGTTCAGTCTTTTCTAAGACTCAAAGTGCCCATTTTACTTTATGTCTCATTCTAAAATGCTCTTTTTTATTTTCCATTCATTATTTCCATTATGCTCTATTCTAAATATTGTCTTCTGCTATACTTTTCATATCACTATGTGTTTCACTTGCTATTAATCTCATTAATTACATTTTTCAATTCAATTTCAGGCTTTTCAAAGTTCTAGAGCTTGTATTTGGTTTTCTTTCAATTTTGTTGCAACACTTTTTATAATTTCCAGTTTTCTGAGAAAATTTTCTCTTAACTTTTATCTGGTTATATATGCTAAGCATCACTATTTCAAAGTCTTTTTCTGACAATTTCAGTGCCAGAAGGTCTTGTGGGTCTGTTTCTATTGTCTATTGCTTTGACTAATTTTTTATTTACATTGTCTTGTCTGTTGATGTATGCTGTGATTTTTTATTGTATACCAGAGTTGAACAGATGTTTACAGAAATTTTTCAAGGACTCAGATAATATTATCAACCCCTATAGATCTTTGTTGGTTTCTACCAGATACCTGGTGGCATCAGCAATCCTAGGTTGCCTTAGTCTGGTTTCTAGAACTTGGATTTTTATCTACCACACACATAACTTTAAGTTACTTTACAAAATAGAAAGAAAGGTCAAATATGATTTTGAAAAAAAAAATTCATTGAATTTGGCAACTAGGAAGGTATCTTAAATAACCATGGTAAAGGTAATACCTGTAGGATAGTAGAATATGTCCAGTTTCAGCAGAGAAGAAAGAATGTTGAAAGAAACTAAATATAAAAATGTTTTCAAGAAGCTTGACATTAATAGGAAAGAAAGAGGTAGGCTAAAGGGCACATGTGAGGACTTCTGGTTCCAAAATGGCAGTGTAGTAGCAAACTGGCATCACTCCCCACCACACAAAACCAAAACCAAATATACAGCACCAAGATTATACTCAGCAATAACCCAGAAATCTAATATGAGGATGATACAGTTCCTGGGGCCACAGAGAAAATAGAAATTAAAAAAAACTCTGAGCAGATGGTAAGAAAATTAGACTTCCATATCCATGATGCCCCTCTGCCCAATCTATCTGGCACCAAGCACATGCAAAATTTCACCCAACTCAGGGTTTTTACATTGGAAAATGTGAGAGCAAGTGGACAACCAGCTTTCCTACCATCTTGAGTTTCTTGGCAGGAGATCAGTCCTTACCTCAACTCACAGGAAGAATCCAGAGTGACTGAGAAGAGAAATATCCCTGAGGACAGCCAGAGACAAAGTGGGGAGGTAAAACTACCATATCCAGCCTTGGAAACTTTACCCTGTAACTTAGCCAATGGAGATAACAAATCAGAGTAGCAGTTCAGTAGCACCATGTTGTAGATTTGTTTCACTGGTCCCCTGGGCAAGAACTTCTAGCTCACCTTTCCATTCCATCAGGATATCCCCCTTTTGAATCTCCCCCATTTGAGACAGGTGGCACGTCAATTCATTACTACAGCCAAGGCAAACCTGAACCTAAGGCACCATCTACTGCTGAAAAAGAAGCAGCAACCTAGCAGAAAACAAAGAAAGGAAATCAACAGGTAAATTACAAAGAGTCTCTAAGCAAACACACCTAGTAGAAGCCCAAACAAAAGCCAGACAAAGAAGACTAGAATAAATACCTAATCCCTCAATGAAAAGACACAAAGGTACATCCACAAGAAAAGACAGTAAATGCAGAACCATGACTTCCACCAAACAGACAAAGCAAGTAACAAGTGATTGACCCAAATGAGACAGTGAATGTAAGCTTTCTGGCCAAGAATTTAAAATGGCAGTTTTAAGAAAACTCAGTGATCACCAAGATAACACAAGAAAGCAATTCCGAAATTTATTATATAAATTTAACAAGAGATTGAAATAAATTTTTAAAAATCAAACAGAAATCTTGGAACTAAGAAATGCATTTGCCAAATTGAAAAATTAATTAGAGGCTCTCAGAAGCATAATATTTCAAGCAGAAGAAAGAATCAATAAGCTCAAAGATACACTATTTACAAACACACAGTCAGAGGATAAAAAAGAATGAAAATAAAGGAAAATCACCTACAAGATATAGAAAATTACCTCAAAAGAACAAATCTAAGAATTATTAGTGTCCAAGAGGGAACTGAGCAAAAACAAGGGGTGGAAATCTTCTGCAAATAAATAATAACAAAAAACATTCCAAACCTTGATAAACAGAGAAATATTAAGGTACAGGTAGGTTACAGAATACCAAAAAGACTTGACCCAAATAAAAAGGCATAAGAAAATAAAACTTTCTGAGATCAAGAACAAAGAGAGGATTCTAAAAGCAGCGAGAGAAAAGAAGCAAATAACACATAAAGGAGCTCCAATTAATCTGGCAACAGATTTCTCCAAGGAAACCATATAGCCCAGGAGGGTGTTAGATAATGTTTTCAAAGTGCCAAAAGAAAAAAAAATTGTCATTCAAAAATATTGTATCTAGCATAGCTATCCTTCAAACGTAAATGAGAGAAAAAATCTTTTCCAGACAAACAAAAGCTGAGATAATTTACCACCACAAGATCCATCTTACAAGAATTGCTAAAGAGAGTTCTCAATTTGAAAGAAAAGAAAACATGCAAAAAGAAAAATATATGAAGGTATAAAACCCACTGGTACAATTAAATGGATGGACAAACTCAGAATACTCCCAATATTTTTATTGTAATATGCAATCCATTCATAACTCTGGTATGAAGCCAGACAGACAAATCTACCAAAAACAATATACCTCCAGCAACATGTTAAGTGATAGGCAATATAAAAATATGTAAATCAAGACAACAAAAAGTAAAAATGTAGGGGGATGGAGTTAAAATACCAATTTTTTATTTTCTCATTGTTTCTATTCTTTTCTTTGTGATCTAAGTTGTCATCTCTTTAAAATATCTAGTTATATTTATATGATATTTTTTGAAAGATTCATGATAACCACAATGGAAAAACGTATCATGGATTTACTAAAAATAAAAAGTGATAGATTAAAATATATTCCCAGAGAAAATCACTTAATCACAAAGGAAGACAGTAAGAAAGGGGGAGTTTCAAAACAACCAGAAAACAAGAATCAAAATGTCAGTAGTAAGTATTTACTTATCAATAATAACACAAAATATAAATGGAGTCAATTCTCTAATTAAGAGACAGAGTGGCTAAAGAGACAAGAGCCAACTATATATTGCCTACAGGAATCCCACTTCACCTACAAAGATACATATAGACTGAAAGTGAAAGGGTAGAAAAAAACATTCCATGCAACTGGAAACAAAAAAAAAAAAAAACAGGAAAAGCTATATTTATGTCACATAAAATAGACTACAAATAAAAGACTGTAAGAGTCTATATATAAAAAAGGTCATTATATGATGATAAAGGGGTCAATTCAGCAAGAGGATATAACATTATAAATCTCTATACACTCAATACAGTCAACACCAAAGCTCCCAGGTATATAAAGCAAACATTAATAGATCTACAGGGAGGGATAGACTGCAATACAATAAGAGTAGTGGACTTCAACACCCCATTTTCAGTAATGGTCAGATTATTCAGAAAGAAAATCAACACAGAAACATGAAAGTTAAACTACACACTAGGCTTAATAAGCCTAACTGACATTTACAGAACATTTCACCCAACTGTTGCAGAATACACATTATTTTAATCAACATATGGAACATTCTCCAGAATAGACCATATCTTAGGATGCAAAACAAGTCTCAAACAATTCAAAAAAAATAAAATATCAAGTATCTTTCCTGACCACAGTGGAATAAAACTAGAAATCAATAATGAGAGCAACCTCAGAAACTTTAGTAACACAAGGAAATTAAACATGTTCCTGAACAACTAATGGGTCAATGAATAAATTAAGAGGGAAATTTTCAAACTTCTTAAAACAAATTAAAATGGAAATACAACATAAAAAGTCTTGGAAAACAACAAAAGTGTACTAAAATGGAAGTTAATAGAAATAAGTGTCTATATCAAAAAAATTAGAAAGACTTCAAATAAACAACCTCATGATGCACCTCAAGGAACAAGCAAAAACCATGAAAATCCAAAATTTTTAGAGGAAAGTAATAAGATCAGAGCAAAAATAAACAAAATTGAGACTAAAAAATGCAGAAGTTTAACAAAATGAAAAGTTGGTTTTTGAAAAGGTAAACAAAATTAATAAACTTTCTTTAGACTAACTAAAAAAATGAGAGTGAAGATCCTAATAATTAAAATCAGAAACTAAAAAGATGACATAACAACAGAGACAACAGAAATAAGAAGAATCACCAGAGACTATTAGGAAAAGCTATGTGCCAAAAAATTGGGAAACCTATAATAAATGGAAAAAATTACTGGACATACACAATCTGTGAAGATTCAACCATAAAGAAATACAAAACTTCATCAAACAAAAAACAAGATCAAAACCATAATGAAAAGTCAACCATCAAAGAAAAGTCTAAGATCTGTTGAGTTCACTGCTGAATTCTACCAAACATTTAAAGAACTAAGAATAATTCTACTCAGACTCAAAAACATTGAAGAGGAAGAAATACTTCCAAACACATTCTATGAGGCCAGCATTTTCCTGATATCAAAAGCAGAAAATGACAAAAAAAAAAAAAAAAAACATATACAGCAATATTGCAGATGAATATAGATGCAAAAATTCTCAACAAAATACTATCAAACCAAACTCAAACTCAACAACCCATTAAAAAAGATCATTCACAATAATCAAGTAGAATTCATCCTATGGATACAAGGATGGTTCAACATATGCAAATCAATAAATGTGATACTTCATACTGACAGAATCAAGAGTAGAAACTAAATTAGTATTTCCACAGATAATGAAAAAAGCATTTAATAAAATTCAACATCCTTTTATCATAAAAACCCTCAACAAACTGGATATAGAAGGAACACACCTAAAAATAATTAAGGCCATCTATGACAAATCCACAGCTGACATAATACTGAACTTGGAAAATTTGAAAGCCTTTTCTCTAAGATCCGGACCAAGACAAGGATGCCCATTTTCACAACTTTTATTCTATATAATACTGGAAGTCCTGGCTACAGCAATTAGGCAAGAGAAATAAACAAAGGGCACATAAATTGGAAAGAAAAACAAATCAATCTTGTTTGCAGACTACATGATCTAATACTTAGAAAAATCTGAAGACCCCACCAAAAAAAATGGTTAGAACTGATAAACAAATTCAATAAAGTTGAGAGGTAGAGCAAGGTGGACAAATATGAGGCTCCACTGATCATCCTCCCCACAAGGCACCAATTTAACAACTATCTACAGACACAGACACACACACACACACACACACACAAAAATACCTTCATAAGGACCAAAAATCAGGTGAGTACTCACAGTACCTCATTTTAACTTCATATAACTGAAAGAGGAACTGGAAGAGGGTAGGAAAGACAGTCTTGAATCACTGATGTCACACCTCCCTCATCCCCAGGCAGCTGCTTGGTGCAGAGAGAGAATCTGCACTTAAGAGAGGGAGAGCACAGGAATTGTGAGATATTGGATTGAACTTGGTGCTGCCCTATCACAGCGGAAAGCAAAACCATACTGAACTCAGGTGATGCCCGCCAACAAAAGGAGTATTTAAATCAGCCCTAGCCAAAGGAGAATTGTCCATCTCAGCGGTCGGAACTTCAGTTTCAAAAAGCCTCGGGCCCTAAATTAACTTGAAATACAGTCTAGGCCACAAGGACTGCAACTTCTGTGTGAGTCCTAGGGCTGAATTGGGCTCAGAGCCAGTGAACTTAGGGGGCATGTGACCTACTGAGGCACCAGTTAGGGCAACTAAGGGAGTGCCTGTCTGCACCAACTGTCCCACAACCCCAGGGAGCACAGCTTGTGACTACAAAGAAGATACCTTTTTTCCACTTAAAAAAAGAGGGAAGAGTAAAGAAGATTTTGTCATGCATCTTGGAAACCAGCTCAGCCACAGCAGGAAAGGACACCAGTCAGAGTCATCGTGAGGGCCCTGTTCCAGGCCGTAGCTCCCAGACAAAATTTCTAGACACACCCTGGGCCAGAAGGGAACTCACTGCCTTGAAGGGAAGGAGCCAGTCCCAGCAGGACTCATAATGACTAAAGAGTCCTTAGGTCCTGAATAATCAGCAGTGATACCCAAGTAGTTCATCGAGGGCCTTGGGTGAGACTCTGAAACTTGCTGACTTCAGGTGAGACTCAGCACATTCCCAGCTATGGTAGCTATGAGGAGATATCCTTGTATGTGAGAAAAGCAAAGGGAAAAGTAAAGGGGACTTTGTTTTGCACCTTAGGTACCAGCTCTGCCACAGAGAGGTAGCACACCAAGTGGGCTCATGGGGTCCCCAATTCCAAGCCTTGGGTCCTGGAAGGCATTTTGGTACATGCTCTGGGTCAGATGGGAGCCCACTGCCCTGAAGGGTGAGGCCCAGACCAGGCAGCATTCACTACAAGCTGGCTGAAGAGTTTTGGGACCTTAAGGGAATATCAGCAGTAGGCTGGCAGTACTCCCTGAAAGCCTGTGGTAATGGGGGCCATAGGATGAGGCTTCCCTGCCATTGGAAAGGGGAGGGGAGAGTGGGAAAGACCCCATCTCATGGTTTGAGTGCCAGCTCAGCCACAGTAAAATAAAATGCTAAGTAGACTTCTAAGGTTTTTTATTTCTGTCCCAGCCCCCAAATGGTAACTCTGAAACCAAATGGGGTCCAGCAGAACATGCCACCCTCAAGATGAGAGACACAAGCCTTGCTGGCTTTGCTGTCTGCTGATTGTAAAGCCCTAGGGCCATGAGCAAATAGAGGCAGTAGCCAGGTAGTGGTTACAGCAGGCTTGAGTGAGACCCAGTGCTCTGCTGGCTTTAGGTCTGACTCAGTGCAATCCCAATTGTAGTGGCCACAGGGGTGCTTGTGTCACTTCACCCCCAGTTCCAGGCGGCTCAGAACACAAAGATAAATTCCATTTCCTCTGGAAAAGGTAAAAGAAAAGAACAAGAGTCTCTGCCTGGTAATCAAAAGAATTCTTCTGCATCTTATCCAAGACCATCAAGGTGGTACCTCTATGAGTCTGCAAGAACCACAGTGTTACTGGGATTGAGATGCCTCCTAATAAAGATATGGCTTATATCACAACACCCAAGTTCTTTCTAATACATGGAAATCCTTCCTAAGAAGGACAGGTACAAACAAGGCCAGATTGTAAAGACTGCACTAAATCCTAACTCTTCGATTTCAAGACAGAGATGAACATCCACAAGCATTAAGAACATTCAGGAAAATATGACATCACCAAATGAACTAAATAAGACACCAGGGACCAATCCTGGAGAAACAGAGATATGTGACCTTTCAGACAGAAAATTTAAAATAGCTGTGTTAAGAAAATGCAAAGAAATTCAAGATAACGCAAAGAAGAAATTCAGAATTCTATCAGATAAATTGAAAAAGGAGATTAAAATAATTAAAAAGAATTAAGCAGAAATTCTGGAGTTAGAACATACAATTCACAGGCTGAAGAATGCATCAGTCTTTTAATAGCAGAATTGATTAAGTAGAAGAAAGAATTAGTGAGCTTAAAGGCAGACTATTTGAAAACACAGTCAGAAGAGAGAAAAGAAAAAAGAATAAAAAACAAAGAAGCAAGCCTACAAGATTGAAAAAAAATAGCCTCAAATGGCAAATCTAAGAGTTATTGGCCTTAAAATGAAGGTAGAGATAGGGTAGAAAGTTTATTCAAAGCGATAATAACACAGAATGTCCCAAACCTAGAGAAAGATATCAATATCCAAATACAAGAAGGTTATAGAATAAGTAGATTTAATCCAAAGAAGCCTACCTCAAGGCATTTAATAATCAAACTCTCAAAGGTCAAAGATAAAGAAAGGACCTTAAAAGCAACAAGAGAAAAGAAACTAATAACATACACTACAGCTTGAATATGTCTGCCAGCCATTTTTTTCAGTGGAAACTTCACAGGCCAGGAGAGAGTGGTATGACACATTCAAAATGCTGAAGGAAACAGAAACTTATAGAAAACCTATTATATACTTTTACAGAATAATATATCCAGTGAAAATATCCTTCAAATATAAAGAAGTAGTGAAAACTTTCCCAGACAGACAAAAGCTGAGGGATTTCATCAGACCTTTCCTACAAGAAATGCTAAAAGGAGTACTTCAATTAGAAAAAAAAAAAAAAGGATGTTAATGAACAATAAGAAATCAACTGAAGGTACAAAGCTTACTGGTAATAGTAAGTACACAAAAAACTATATAATATGATAAAACTGTAGCTGTGGTATGTAAACTATTTTTAAATAGAAAGACTAAAAGATGAACCAATCAAAAATAATAACTACAAATTTTCAGGAAATTGACAGTACAATGAGATATAAATAGAAACAAAAAAGTTGAAAAGTGGGGGTAAAGTTATAGAGTTTTTATTAGTTTTCTTTTTGCTTGTTTATGAAAAGAGAATTAAGTTGTTATCAACTTAAAATAATGGATTATAAGATAGTATTTGCAAGCCTCATGTAGCCTCAAATCAAAAAACATAAAATGGACACACAAAAAAATTAAAAGTTAAAAGTTAAATCATACCACCAGAAAAAATAATTGTCACTAAAAGGAAGACAAGAAGGAAGGAAAGAGAAAGAGAAAAAAACAACCAGAAAACAAATAGCAAAAAGGCAAGAATAAGTTCTCACTTATCATTAATAACATTGAATGTAAATGGACCAACCTCTCCAATCAAAAGAAATAGACTGGCTGATTTGATGAAAATGCAAGATCCAATAATCTGTTGCCTACAAGAAACACACTTCACCTATAAAGACAAACATAGACGGCCGGGCATGGTGGCTCACACCTGTAATCCCAGCACTTTCAGAGGCCGAGGTGGGTAGATCACGAGGTCAGGAGATTGAGACCATCCTGGCTAACACAGTGAAACCCCGTCTCTACTAAAAATACAAAAAATTAGCCGGGTGTGGTGGCAGGCACCTGTAGTCCCAGCTACTTGGGAGGCTGAAGCAGGAGAATGGCATGAACCCAGGAGGCGGAGCTTGCAGTGAGCCAAGACCACACCACTGCACTCCAGCCTCGTCAACAGAGCAAGACTCTATCTTAAAAAAAAAAAAAAAAAAAAAAAGACACAAATAGACTGAAAATAAAGGACTAGAAAATGATATTCCATACCAATGAAAATCAAAAAAGAACAGAAGTGCCTATACTTATGTCAACAACATAGATTTCAAAAAAAAAAAAACTACAAGAAGAGACAAGCAAGGTCACTATATAATGATAAAGGGGTCAATTCAGCAAGAAGATATAACAATTTTAAATATATATGCACCCAACACTGGAGCATTCAGATATATAAAGAAAATATTATTAGGGCTAAGGAGATAGATAGACTCCAATATTAGCTGAAGACTTCAACACCCCACTTTCAGCATTGGACAGATCCTCCAGACAGAAAACCAACGAAGAAACATCTGACTTAATCTGCACTATACAGCAATGGACCTATTACATATTTACACAACATTTCATCCAACTGCTGCAGAATATACATGCTTTTTCTCAGCAAATGGATCACTCTCAAGGACAGGCCATATGTTAGGTCACAAAACAAGCCTTAAAACGTTCAAAAATTGAAATTATATCAAGCATCTTCTCTGACCACAATGGAATACAACTAGAAATCAAGAATGAGAGGAATTTTGGAAACAATACAGACATATGGAAATTAAAAAATATGCTCCTGAATGACCAATATGTCAATGAAGAAATTAAGAAGAAAATTGAGGGGGAGGAGCCAAGATGGCCGAATAGGAACAGCTCCAGTCTACAGCTCCCAGCGTGAGCGACGCAGAAGACGGGTGATTTCTGCATTTCCATCTGAGGTACCGGGTTCATCTCACTAGGGAGTTCCAGAGAGTGGGCGCAGGACAGTGGGTGCGCGCACCATGCGAGAGCCGAAGCAGGGCGAGGCATTGCCTCACCTGGGAAGCGCAAGGGGTCAGGGAGTTCCCTTTCCGAGTCAAAGAAAGGGGTGACGGACACACCTGGAAAATCGGGTCACTCCCACCCGAATATTGCGCTTTTCAGACCGGCTTAAAAACGGCGCACCACGAGACTATATCCCACACCTGGCTCGGAGGGTCCTACGCCCACGGAATCTCGCTGATTGCTAGCACAGCAGTCTGAGATCAAACTGCAAGGCGGCAGCGAGGCTGGGGGAGGGGCGCCCGCCATTGCCCAGCCTTGCTTAGGTAAACAAAGCGGCCAGGAAGCTTGAACTGGGTGGAGCCCACCACAGCTCAAGGAGGCCTGCCTGCCTCTGTAGGCTCCACCTCTGGGGGCAGGGCACAGACAAACAAAAAGATAGCAGTAACCTCTGCAGACTTAAATGTCCCTGTCTGACAGCTTTGAAGAGAGCAGTGGTTCTCCCAGCATGCAGCTGGAGATCTGAGAACGGGCAGACTGCCTCCTCAAGTGGGTCCCTGACCCCTGACCCCTGAGCAGCCTAACTGGGAGGCACCCCCAGCAGGGGCACACTGACACCTCACACGGCAGGGTATTCCAACAGACCTGCAGCTGAGGGTCCTGTCTGTTAGAAGGAAAAATAACAAACAGAAAGGACATCCACACCGAAAACCCATCTGTACATCACCATCATCAAAGACCAAAAGTAGATAAAACCACAAAGATGGGGAAAAAACAGAACAGAAAAACTGGAAACTCTAAAACGCAGAGCGCCTCTCCTCTTCCAAAGGAACGCAGTTCCTCACCAGCAACGGAACAAAGCTGGATGGAGAATGATTTTGACGAGCTGAGAGAAGAAGGCTTCAGACGATCAAATTACTCTGAGCTACGGGAGGACATTCAAACCAAAGGCAAAGAAGTTGAAAACTTTGAAAAAAATTTAGAAGAATGTATAACTAGAATAACCAATACAGAGAAGTGCTTAAAGGAGCTGATGGAGCTGAAAACCAAGGCTCGAGAACTACGTGAAGAATGAATGCAGAAGCCTCAGGAGCCAATGCGATCAACTGGAAGAAAGGGTATCAGCAATGGAAGATGAAATGAATGAAATGAAGCGAGAAGGGAAGTTTAGAGAAAAAAGAATAAAAAGAAATGAGCAAAGCCTCCAAGAAATATGGGACTATGTGAAAAGACCAAATTTACGTCTGATTGGTGTACCTGAAAGTGATGCGGAGAATGGAACCAAGTTGGAAAACACTCTGCAGGATATTATCCAGGAGAACTTCCCCAACCTAGCAAGGCAGGCCAACGTTCAGATTCAGGAAATACAGAGAATGCCACAAAGATACTCCTCGAGAAGAGCAACTCCAAGACACATAATTGTCAGATTCACCAAAGTTGAAATGAAGGAAAAAGTGTTAAGGGCAGCCAGAGAGAAAGGTCGGGTTACCCTCAAAGGGAAGCCCATCAGACTAACAGCAGATCTCTTGTCAGAAACCCTACAAGCCAGAAGAGAGTGGGGGCCAATATTCAACATTCTTAAAGAAAAGAATTTTCAACCCAGAATTTCATATCCAGCCAAACTAAGCTTCATAAGTGAAGGAGAAATAAAATACTTTACAGACAAGCAAATGCTGAGAGATTTTGTCACCACCAGGCCTGCCCTAAAAGAGCTCCTGAAGGAAGTGCTAAACATGGAAAGGAACAACTGGTACGAGCCGCTGCAAAATCATGCCAAAATGTAGACAATCGAGACTAGGAAGAAACTGCATCAACTAACGAGCAAAATAACCAGCTAACATCATAATGACAGGATCAAATTCACACATAACAATATTAACTTTAAATGTAAATGGACTAAATTCTCCAATTAAAAGGCACAGACTGGCAAATTGGATAAAGAGTCAAGACCCATCAGTGTGCTGTATTCAGGAAACCCATCTCACGTGCAGAGACACATGTAGGCTCAAAATAAAAGGATGGAGGAAGATCTACCAAGCAAATGGAAAACAAAAAAAGGCAGGGGTTGCAATCCTAGTCTCTGATAAAACACACTTTAAATCAACAAAGATCAAAAGAGACAAAGAAGGCCATTACATAATGGTAAAGGGATCAATTCAACAAGAGGAGCTAACTATCCTAAATATATATGCACCCAATACAGGAGCACCCAGATTCATAAAGCAAGTCCTCAGTGACCTACAAAGAGACTTAGACTCCCACACATTAATAATGGAAGACTTTAACACCCCACTGTCAACATTAGACAGATCAACGAGACAGAAAGTCAACAAGGATACCCAGGAATTGAACTCAGCTCTGCACCAAGCGGACCTAATAGACATCTACAGAACTCTCCACCCCAAATCAACAGAATATACATTTTTTTCAGCACCACACCACACCTATTCCAAAATTGACCACATAGTTGGAAGTAAAGCTCTCCTCAGCAAATGTAAAAGAACAGAAATTATAACAAACTATCTCTCAGACCACAGTGCAATCAAACTAGAACTCAGGATTAAGAATCTCACTCAAAGCCGCTCAACTACATGCAAACTGAACAACCTGCTCCTGAATGACTACTGGGTACATAACGAAATGAAGGCAGAAATAAAGATGTTCTTTGAAACCAACGAGAACAAAGACACAACATACCAGAATCTCTGGGACACATTCAAAGCAGTGTGTAGGGGGAAATTTATAGCACTAAATGCCCACAAGAGAAAGCAGGAAAGATCCAAAATTGACACCCTAACATCACAATTAAAAGAACTAGAAAAGCAAGAGCAAACACATTCAAAAGCTAGCAGAAGGCAAGAAATAACTAAAATCAGAGCAGAACTGAAGGAAATAGAGACACAAAAAACCCTTCAAAAAATCAATGAATCCAGGAGCTGGTTTTTTGAAAGCATCAACAAAATTGATAGACTGCTAGCAAGACTAATAAAGAAAAAAAGAGGGAAGAATCAAATAGACACAATAAAAAATGATAAAGGGGATATCACCACCGATCCCACAGAAATACAAACTACCATCAGAGAATACTACAAACACCTCTACTCAAATAAACTAGAAAATCTAGAAGAAATGGATACATTCCTCGACACATACACCCTCCCAAGACTAAACCAGGAAGAAGTTGAATCTCTGAATAGACTAAAAACAGGAGCTGAAATTGTGGCAATAATCAATAGTTTACCAACCAAAAAGAGTCCAGGACCAGATGGATTCACAGCCGAATTCTACCAGAGGTACAAGGAGGAACTGGTACCATTCCTTCTGAAACTATTCCAATCAATAGAAAAAGAGGGAATCCTCCCTAACTCATTTTATGAGGCCAGCATCATCCTGATACCAAAGCCTGGCAGAGACACAACCAAAAAAGAGAATTTTAGACCAATATCCTTGATGAACATTGATGCAAAAATCCTCAATAAAATACTGGCAAACCGAATCCAGCAGCACATCAATAAGCTTATCCACCATGATCAAGTGGGCTTCATCCCTGGGATGCAAGGCTGGTTCAATATACGCAAATCAATAAATGTAATCCAGCATATAAACAGAGCCAAAGACAAAAACCACATGATTATCTCAATAGATGCAGAAAAAGCCTTTGACAAAATTCAACAACCCTTCATGCTAAAAACTCTCAATAAATTAGGTATTGATGGGACGTATTTCAAAATAATAAGAGCTATCTATGACAAACCCACAGCCAATATCATACTGAATGGGCAAAAACTGGAAGCATTCCCTTTGAAAACTGGCACAACACAGGGATGCCCTCTCTCACCACTCCTATTCAACATAGTGTTGGAAGTTCTGGCCAGGGCAATTAGGCAGGAGAAGGAAATAAAGGGTATTCAATTAGGAAAAGAGGAAGTCAAATTGTCCCTGTTTGCAGATGACATGATTGTATATCTAGAAAACCCCATCGTCTCAGCCCAAAATCTCCTTAAGCTGATAAGCAACTTCAGCAAAGTCTCAGGATACAAAATCAATGTACAAAAATCACAAGCATTCTTATACACCAACAACAGACAAACAGAGAGCCAAATCATGAGTGAACTCCCATTCACAATTGCTTCAAAGAGAATAAAATACCTAGGAATCCAACTTACAAGGGATGTGAAGGACCTCTTCAAGGAGAACTACAAACCACTGCTCAAGGAAATAAAAGAGGATACAAACAAATGGAAGAACATTCCATGCTCATGGGTAGGAAGAATCAATATCGTGAAAATGGGCAGGTAATTTATAGATTCAATGCCATCCCCATCAAGCTACCAATGACTTTCTTCACAGAATTGGAAAAAACTACTTTAAAGTTCATAAGGAACCAAAAAAGAGCCCGCACCGCCAAGTCAATCCTAAGCCAAAAGAACAAAGCTGGAGGCATCACACTACCTGACTTCAAACTATACTACAAGGCTACAGTAACCAAAACAGCATGGGACTGGTACCAAAACAGAGATATAGATCAATGGAACAAAACAGAGCCCTCAGAAATAATGCCGCATACCTACAACTATCTGATCTTTGACAAACCTGAGAAAAACAAGCAATGGGGAAAGGATTCCCTATTTAATAAATGGTGCTGGGAAAACTGGCTAGCCATATGTAGAAAGCTGAAACTGGATCCCTTCCTTACACCTTATACAAAAATCAATTCAAGATGGATTAAAGATTTAAACGTTAGACCTAAAACCATAAAAACCCTAGAAGAAAACCTAGGCATTACCATTCAGGACATAGGCATGGGAAGGACTTCATGTCCAAAACACCAAAAGCAATGGCAACAAAAGCCAAAATTGACAAATGGGATCTAATTAAACTAAAGAGCTTCTGCACAGCAAAAGAAACTACCATCAGAGTGAACAGGCAACCTACAACATGGGAGAAAATTTTCGCAACCTACTCATCTGACAAAGGGCTAATATCCAGAATCTACAATGAACTCAAACAAATTTACAAGAAAAAAACAAACAACCCCATCAAAAAGTGGGCGAAGGACATGAACAGACACTTCTCAAAAGAAGACATTTATGCAGCCAAAAAACACATGAAAAAATGCTCATCATCACTGGCCATCAGAGAAATGCAAATCAAAACCACTATGAGATATCATCTCACACCAGTTAGAATGGCAATCATTAAAAAGTCAGGAAACAACAGGTGCTGGAGAGGATGTGGAGAAATAGGGACACTTTTACACTGTTGATGGGACTGTAAACTAGTTCAACCATTGTGGAAGTCAGTGTGGCGATTCCTCAGGGATCTAGAACTAGAAATACCATTTGACCCAGCCATCCCATTACTGGGTATATACCCAAATGACTATAAATCATGCTGCTATAAAGACACATGCACACATATGTTTATTGCGGCATTATTCACAATAGCAAAGACTTGGAACCAACCCAAATGTCCAACAATGATAGACTGGATTAAGAAAATGTGGCACATATACACCATGGAGTACTATGCTGCCATAAAAAATGATGAGTTCATGTCCTTTGTAAGGACATGGATGAAATTGGAAACCATCATTCTCAGTAAACTATCGCAAGAACAAAAAACCGAACACCGCATATTCTCACTCATAGGTGGGAATTGAACAATGAGATCACATGGACACAGGAAGGGGAATATCACACTCTGGGGACTGTGGTGGGGTGGGGGGAGGGGGGAGGGATAGCATTGGGAGATATACCTAATGCTAGATGACGAGTTAGTGGGTGCAGCGCACCAGCATGGCACATGTATACATATGTAACTAACCTGCACAATGTGCACATGTACCCTAAAACTTAAAGTATAATAAAAAATAATAATAATAATAAAAAAAAGAAGAAAATTGAAAAATTTATTAAAACTAATGATAATGGAAACAACATACAAAAACCAAAACCTATAGGATACAGCAAATGCAGTACTAAGAGGGAAGTTACAGCTATAAATACCTACCTTGAAAGAGAAGGAAAACTTCAAATAAACAACCTAATGATGCATCTTAATTAAAAAAGCAAGAGCAAATAAAACCCAAAATTAGTAAAAGAAAAGAAATAATAAAGATCAGACCAAAAATAAATGAATTTGGAGAGGGTGGAGCAAGATGGCAGAATAGAAAGTGCCATCAACCCTCTCCCCATGTCCCCCAGCAATGACACCAACTTAACAACCATCTACACAGAAAAAAAACCCCTTCACAAGAACCAAATATCAGGTGAGCACTCATAGCACCTGCTTGTAACTTCAAATTGCTGAAAAAGGTGCTGAAGAGATAAAATTAAAAAAAAAAAAGTCCAGAAATTGCAGACCCCGCTCCTCCCCTCACCCCCAGCAACAGCATGGTTCAGAGAGTATCTCTGGGACCTGGGGCAGGGAAAACACAGAAATTGTGAGCCATTGAATGCAGTGCTGTCCTGTTAGAGCAGAAAGGAAAACTGGACCAAACTCAGCTGATGCCCACCCATGGAGGGAGCATTTAAACTAGTCCAATCCCAGCTGTTAAAACTTGAGCTCCTGCAAACCTCACCACCATAAGCTATAGCACTCTGTTTCTCCAAGTAAACTTGAAAGGCAGTCTAGACTATAAGGACTGCAACTCATAGGTGAGTCCTAGTGATGAAATAGGCCCAGAGACAGTGGACTAGGGGTACATGCAACATACTGAGACACCAGCTGGGGCAGTCAAGGGAGTGCTTACATCACCCCTCCTTAACCCCCAGGCTGCAGAGATCATGGTTCCAAAAGAGACCCCTTCCACCTGCTAGAGGAGAAAAGAGGGAAGAGTGGTGAGAACTTTGTCTTGTATCCAGGATACACCCCAGCCACAGCATGATAGGGCACTGGTCAGAGTTGTGAGGCCCCCATTCCAGGCCTAGCTCCTAGAAAACATGTCTAGACACACCCTGGGACAGAAAGGAACCCACTGCCTTGAAGGAAAGGACCCGGTCCTGCCAGCATTCATCACCTGCTAACTGAAGAGCCCTTATGCAATGAATAACCAGCAGCAATACCAGGTACTACATCAAAGGCCCTAGCTCTGAGACTTGCTGGCTTCAGGTGAGACTCAGCACCTAACCAGCTGTGGTGTCTACAGGGCAAAACTTCTGCTTGAGAAGAGCACAGGAAAAAGTAAAGGGGACTTTGTCTTGTACCTTAAGTACTAAGATTGCTACAGGGAGACAGAAAGCACCAAGTGGGCTCTTGGGGGTGCCTGATTCTAGGACTTCACTCTTGGATGGCATTTCTAGACCTGCCCTGGGCCAGAAAGGGAGCCCATTGCCATGAATGGTGAGTCCCAGGCTAGGCAGCATTCATGACAACCTAACTTAAGAAACCTGGGGACTTAAGGGAATATTGGTGGTAGTCTAGCTGTACTCCTCATGGCCTGGGGTAGCAGTGGCTATGGAGTGAGGTTCCTGTCCCTTTGGAAATGGGAGGGAAGAGTGGGAAGGACAGCCTTGTGTTGTTTGACTGCCAGGTCAGGCACGATACAATAGAACACTAAGTAGGCCTCTAAGATTTTTGACTCTAGGCCCTGACTACCAGATGGCACTTCTGGACCCACTTAGGGCTTGTGAGACCTCACCACCCTAAAGGAAAGAACACAGGCCTGGCTGGCTTTGCCACCTGCTGATTGTAGAGCCCCAGGGCATTGAACACACATAGGCAGTAGCAGGGAGTGGTTACAGCAGGTCTTGAGCAAGACCTAGTGCTGTGCTGGCTTCCGGCCTGACCCAGTGCAGCCATAGTTGCGGTGGCCATAGAAATGCTTATATCACTTCACCTACAGCTTTAGGTCACTCAGAGCAGAGAGAGAGAGAAAGAGAGAGAGAGACCCCAAACATTCACTATGTTTGGAAGAAAGTAAGGGGAGGGAACAAGAGTCTCTGCCTCGTAATCCAGAGAATTCTCCCAGATCTTGTCCAAGACAATCAAGGCAGTACCTCTATGAGTCTGCAAGAACTACAGCATTACTGAACTTGGGGTGTCCCCTAAAGCAAATACAGCTTAGATCACAACATCCAAGTCCTTTTAAATATCTGAAAAGCCTTCCTAAGAAGAATGGCTACAAATAAGTCCAGACAGTGAAGACTATAATTAATATATGACCCTTCAATGAACAGACAACAAAGATCATCTATTAGCATCCACAACATCCAGGAAAACAAAACACTGTACCAAATGAATTAAATAAGGTACCAGGGACCAATCCTGGAGAAAGAGAGACATGCAACTTTTCAAACAGAGAATTCAAAACAGCTGTGTTAAGGAAACTCAAAGAAATTCAAGATAACACAGAGAAGGAATTCAAAATTCTATCAGATAAATTTAACAAAGAGACTGAAATAATTAAAGAGAATTAAGCAGAAATTCTGGAGCTGAAAAATGCAGTTGGCATACTGAAGAATGCATAAGAGTTCTTTACTAACAGTATTGATCAAGCAGAAGAAAGAATCAGTGAACTTGAAGACAGTCTAATTGAAAATACACAGAGGAGACAAAAGAAAAACAAAAGCAATGAAACAAGCCTAAAAGATCTAGAAAATAGCCTCAACGGGGCAAATATGAGTTATTAGCCTTAAAGAAGAGGGCATCCAAATTGGAAAAAAGGTATTCAAATTATCCTTGTTTGCTGATGATATGATTTGATATTTTGAAAAACCTAAAGACTTCACAAGAAAACTATGAGAAATAAGCAAATTTAGTAAGGTTGCAGGATGTAAAATCAGCATACAAAAATCAGTAGCATTGCCAACAATGAACAATATGAGAAATAAATTAAAAAGGTAGTACCATGTACAACATTCACAACAGCCACAGATAAAATTAAATACCTAGGAATTAACATAACCAAAGCAGTGAAAGATGTCTATAATGAAAACTATAGAACACTGATAAGGGAAATAGAAGAGGACACCAAAAAATGGAAAAATAGTCCATGTTCATGAATTAGAAAAATCAATACTGTTAAAATGTCCATACTATCCAAAACAATCTACAGATTCAATGCACTTTCCATCAAAATACCAATGATGTTCTTCACTGAAATAGTAAAAATAATCCTAGAATTTATATGAAACCACAAAGACCCAGAAGAGCCAAAGCTGTCATAAGCAAAAAAGAAAAAAAATGTAAAAAATCATATTACTTGACTTTAAATTATACTACAGAGCTATGGTAACCAAAATGGCATGGTAGTGGCATAAAAGCAGACACATAGATCAGTGAAACAGAATAGACAACCCAGCGATAAATCCATACATCTACAGTGAACTTATTTTGACAAAGGTGTCAAGAGCATACATTGGGGAAAGGACAGTCTCTTCAATAAATGCTGCTGGGAAAACTAGATATTCATATGCAAAAGAATGAAACTAGACCTCTTTCTTGCTATATATAAAAATCAAATCAAAATGGATTAAAGACTCAAACCTAAGACCTCAAACTATGGAACTACTGAAAGAAAACATTGGGGAAAACTCTCCAGGACACTGGATTGGGCAAAAATTTCTTGAGTAATACCCACACGCACAGGCAACCAAAACAAAAACGGACAAATTGGATCACATCAAGTTAAAAAGAATCTGCACAGCAAAGGATACAGTCAACGAAGTGAAGAGACAACCCATAGAATGGGAGAAAATATTTGCAAACTATCCCTCTGACAGGGGATTAATAACTAGAATATATAAGGAGCTCAAACAACTCTATAGGAAAAATAATCTAATAATCTGATCAAAAAGTGGGCAAGAGACTTTAATGGTCATTTCTCAAAAGAAGACATAAAAATGGTAAACAGGTAGATCCTCAACATCACTGATCATCAGAGAAATGCAAATCAAAACAACAATGAGATGTCATCTCACTCCAGTGAAAAGAGCTTTTATCCAAAAGTCAGGCAATAACAAATACTGGTGAAGAGAAAGGGAACCCTTGTACACTGTTGGTGGGAATGTGAATTAGTACAACCACTATGGAGAACAGTTTGGAGGTTCCTCAAAAAACTAAAAATAGAGTTACCATATCATTCAACAAACCCACTGCTGGGTATATACCCAAAAGAAAGGAAATCAGTATATCAAAGAGATATCTGCACTCCATATTCATTGCAGCATATTCACAACTGCAAAGATTTGGAAGCAACCTAAGTGTCCATCAGTAGATGAATGGATAAAGAAAATGTGGTACATACACATGATGGAGTACTATTCAGCCACAAAACAGAATGAGGTCCTGTCACTTTTATGTCTCTTGAATGGAACTGGAGATCATTATGTTTAAGTGAAATAAGTGAGGCACAGAAAGACAAACTTCGCATCAACTCACTTATTTATGAGAGGTAAATATTGAAATAATTGAACTCATGGAGATAACAGTAGAAGGATGGTAACCAGAGGATGGGAAGTGTAGTGGGGTAGTTGGGAAGAGGAAGTGGAGATGGTTAATGGGTACCAAAAAATGCTTAGAAAGATTGAATAAGAACTAGTACTTGCTAGCACAACAGGGTAACTATAGTCAAAAATTATTTGATTGCACATTTTTAAAAACTAAAAGAATATAATTAGATTGTTTGCAACACAAAGGATTAATGCTTGAAATGATGGATACCCCTCATTTACCCCGATGTGATTATTATGCATTGCATACCTATATCGAAATATCTCAGGTAACCCATAAATATATACATCTACCATGTACCCACAAAAATTAAAAATGAAAAACACAAATTCAGTAAAGTTGCAAGATACAAAATTTAGTAGCATTTATATATGCCAACAGCAAACAATCTGAAAAACAAATCAAGAAAGTAATATCATTTGCAATAGCTACAAAGGATATAAAATATCTAGGTTTTAATTTAACAAAGAAGTGAAAGATTTATATAAGAAAAATTATAAAACACTGATGAAAGGAGTTGAAGAAGATTCAAAAATTAAAGAAAGATATTCCATGCTCATGATTGGAAAAATTAATATTGTCAAAATGACAATACTACTGAAAGTAATTTACAGATTCAGTGAAATCCCTATCAAAATACTGATGACATTCTTCACTGAAATAGAAAAAACAACCTCAAAAATTTTTATGGTATGGAACCATAAAAGACTCTGAATAGCCAAAGCCAATCCTGAGCAAATAAAAAAAATATGGAGGTATCACACTACCTGTTATCAAAATGTACTACAAGATTGTAATAACCAAATCAGTATGGAACTGACATTAAAACAGACACATGGATCAATGGAAAAAATAGAGAACCCAGATTCACACATTTACAGACAACTCATCTTCAACAAAGGTACCAAGAACATGCATTGGGGAAAGGACAGTCCGTTCAATAAATGGTGCTGGGAAAACTGGATATTCATATGCAAAAGAATGAAACTAGCCTCCTGTCTCTCACAATACACAAAAATCAAATCAAAATGGATTGAGGACTTAAATTTCAGACATGAAACTATGACACTACTGGAAGAAAACATTGGGAAAATGCTCCAGGACATTGGTCTGGGCAAAGAATGTATAAGATTTCAAAAGCAAAGGCAATCAAAGCAAAAACAGACAAATGGGATTACATCAAGCTAAAAAGCTTCTCCACAGCAAAATAAACAATCAACAAACTAAAGACATAACCCACAGAATGTGAGAAAATATATGAACGGTCCCCATCTGATAAGTGATTAATAATTAGTATATATAAGGAGCTCACATAACTCAATAGCAAAGACATAAATAATTCAATTAAAAAATGGAAAAAAGATATAAATAGAAATTGACATTTCCTAAAAGAAGACACACAAATGGCCAACAGGTATATGAAAAAAATGCTCAACATCACACTAATCATTGGAAAAATGCAAATCAAAACCACAATGAAATATAAATATCTCACCCCAGTTAAAATCGCTTTTATCAAAAAGGATTAACAAGAATGTGGAGAAAGAGAGAACCCTGGCACATTGTTGACGGGAATGTAAATTAACTATAGCCACTATAGAAAACATCATGGTGTTTCCTCAAAACCCTAAAGATAGAGCTATCATATGATCCAGCAATTCCACTACTGGGTACAGATCCACAAAGAAAAAGAATTGATGTACTGAAGAGACATCTGCATTCTCACGCATTGCAGCACTATTCAGAATAGCCCAAATAGTGAATAAATCTAATTGCCCATCAATTGATAAATGGATAAAGAGAATGTGATATATAAACACAATGGAATATTTCTCATCCATAAAAATGAATGATATCCTTTCATTTGCAGCAACATGGATTGAAATGGAGGTCATTATATTAAGTGAAATAAGTCAAGCACAGAAAGACAAATCCCACATGTTCTCACTCATATATGGGAGCTACAAAAGTGAATCTCATGAAGATAGAGATTAGATTGGCAGTTACCAGAGGCTGGAAGGATAGGGAGTGTTATATGGGAAGGATGAAGGGAGGGTGATTAATGGGTACAAATATACAGTTTGATAGAAGAAGTAAGACGTGGTGTTTGATAGATCAATAGGGTGAGTATAATTTATAATAAACTGAGGTAGATTTCAAAATAGCTCGAAGAGAGTAATTCAAGTGTTTCTATTAATAGCATAAAGAAAAGACAAAAATTTAAGGTGGTGGAGATCCCAGTTACACTGATTTGACCGTTACAAATTAGATTAATGTATTAATTTATCACATATACCCCAAAGCTATGTACATCTATTATGTATCAATTTTAAAAAATAAATTAAAATTTCAAAAAATTTAAAAGGCCATATGCAAGCTGTTTTGTATAATACCTCTTTATTACATCTAAATGATGCTTATGTGAAGATTTACATTCTCTATTTGTAATCTATCTCATTGTCAGTAATATAATCTTCTTGAAGTCCCATACTTTGAGTTCTATGCACTTACAACTCTAATACACATCTTGGAGCTTTGCACATTACAGATGTACAATGAATCTAATTCAGATAACGACATTATTCATTTGGGAGTTATTCTGAATACTTAATTCCAACAAAATACGTGTTTTGTTTTATGGTCTTCATTTATCTCACTGGTGTCTTCAGGGAAGGGTAGTGCATTCTCGAAGGAGCCACAGGAATTTATGAGCATTTTAGTGCATGTGCACCAGCAGTCTGCATGTGAATTGAGAGACAAAAGAACAGGAAGTCTTGACACACCTGGAGGAGCACTCAGTCTGGTAGAGGAGATGAAAATGCACATGCCAGTTTAGAAAAACAAAACATCTTCCCTTTTAGTTCTTGAAAAACACAGACTTTAGATCACATTATTGCTTTCAAGGGTTGCACTGAGCAGACATAGCTCTTCAACAAGTACTCCTTTGAGAAATCTCAGGATGATGCTATCCCCTCAATAATTTAAGTGTTCTATTATGTGGCAACTTATATTTTACTGTTGGGCTTAAAATTTTATATTGCACTTTTTTAAGAGTCTGGCACTGCACTGCAAAACAGGCAATGTAAAATAGCTTGGATATACTTTCACAATATCAGCGTCACTCTCTCTCCCAAGTGGGAAAGAAGGTGAAATAGGGTTGTCTTGGTGAATACAGGCCCTAGATCGCCAGAGTGAAATGTGGGGCTTTCCTACATTTATTGCTCTTTATGTCCATAGCCACAAGGCTAGGACCACAGAACAGACCTAGAAGACCATTTCTAACCCATCAGGAAAGTATCAAAGTCCCAGATAGGAATTAAGGCCGGTATCTGGAGCCAAGGGTCAGTGATAAATGCCTAAGAAGCAAGGAGTAACAGATCAGGACACAACTCAAGAAGGGAATCAGTGTGAATGCTGGAGATCATTGACGTTGTTTTCAACCATTCCTGGCATTCTGGAAGTGAGCCAGATTTATTTAAGCATTTTTTTTTTTTTTGAGATGGAGTCTTGCTGTGTCACCCGGGCTGGAGTGCAGTGGCACAGTCTCAGCTCACTGCAATCTCCACCTCCCGGGTTCAAGTGATTTTTCTGCCTCAGCCTCCCACGTACCAACACACCTGGCTAATTTTTGTATTTTTAGTAAAGACGGGGTTTCACCATATTGGTCAGGCTGATCTCGAACTCCTGACCTCGTGATCCACCTGCCTCAACCTCCCAAAGTGCTGGGATTACAAGCATAAGCCACTGCGCCCGGCCTATTTAAACAATTTTTAATGAAATAATTAGTTTCTGGAAGGTGGGTTAGCATAATTTCTAGAGCCAGGGAGACCAGGTTTCATTCCTACCTTATTTTCTTAACTGTGTAATCTTGTGAAGAGAAAAAAACAAACAAACAAATATGTAACCTTTCTAAGTTTCAGATTCTTCATCTGTAAAATTAAAATAATAACTAAATTTCAAGGTTGCTTTATAGTTAAATAAGATAGCACATGTAAAATCGCCTAGTACAATGTTGGGCATATAAAAGGAAATTAATAAATACTATTTTCCCAACACAGCTTTTATTATTTAAGGTAATGTTAGATGCTATAGCAGATGATTCCCGAATTCTAAGTGGCTTAAGCCAGTGAAAATTATTTGCTCACTCACAACACAACCCAATGGCAGCCTTGGTGGTCGGGCAGCCTCCCACAGGGTAATTCAGGGACTCAGGTTTCTCCCATCTGGTGAGGCCACTCTCTCTGAGGTTACTGGTGTTCCCTGGATTCAGCCAATGCAAGCAAAAGAAAGCTATGGAGAAAGCACACCACTTTTATACATTTTGACCCAGAAGTGACACATCAGTGGCATGTTTCAGGAACCCTGAGATTTGGAAACTCTGTCCTTATGTAGATGTCTGGCAAAGCTTCACATTGTCCTCTCTGTAGACACAATGTCTTCTTTACTCTGGAATATGGCACATCTGCTCTGCAGAAGAGCATGACATAGCTCCACCTTTATAATCTCAAATGGGATTAAATTTGCTAGGAAAGAAGTCATCATCTTTCTAAGGCCATTGGTTGTCATGCATGTCCATATAGAAGACCACCTAAACAGGCTTTGTATAAGCAACAAGACTGTTTATTCACTTGGGTGCAAGTGGGCTGAGTCTGAAAAGAGAGTCAGGAAGGGAGATAGGAGAGGGGCAGCTTTATAGGACTTGGGTAGGCAGTGGAAAGTTACAGTTGAAAGTGATTATCTGTTGTCAGCAGGGGAGGGGGTCACAAGGTACATGGTGGGGAGATCACGAGATCCATTGTCCAGGAGAAGAATGTCATAAGATCAATTGATCAGTTAGGGTAGGGCAGGAACAAGTCATAATGGTAGAATGTCGTAAGGTTGGTTAATCAGTTAAGACAGAAACTGACTGTTTCACTATTTTTGTGGTTTCACGGCTGCTCCAGACTTCTTGGTTCCTGCAGGCCATCTGGATGTATACATGCAGGTCACAGGGGTTACAATGGCTTAGTTCCGGCTCAGAGGCCTGACATTAGCTTATGTAAACATTCTTGAAAAGATAGTCAGAAACGAATTGGCTTTTAATACATGGATATGTCAACATGAGAGATTTAAACATTATATTCCAACACTTCTAATACCTATTTTTGTAGACAAGGAAACTGAGGTTTTAAAAGCTTACTACCTTCCTGCAGGTCACCTGATGGCAAGTAGTGAGTAGCAAAACCAGAAGTAGAATCTTGATCTCCTTGGTCTCATATCAGTTCTTCCAGTGAGGAGTGGCATTTGAGGGCAAAAGCTAATTTTCTACAAATGGCAAGATTAACACTCCAACAGGATGACTTAACTGAAATCACTTAGTTACTAAGTAACAGAGTTGGCCAGGCACGGTGGCTCACGCCTGTAATCCCAGCACTTTGGGAGGGCAAGGCAGGTGGATCATGAGGTCAGGAGTTCGAGACCAGCCTGGCCGTCATGGTGAAACCCCGTCTCTATTAAAAATACAAAAATTAGCTGGGCGTGGTAGCACACACCTATAATCCCAGCTACTCAGGAGGCTGAGACAGGAAAATCACTTGCACCCAGGAGGTAGGAGGAGGTTGTAGTGAGCTGAGATTGCATCACTGCACTCCAGCCTGGGTGACAGAGCGAGGCTCCATCTCAAAAAAAAAAAAAAAAAAGAAAGAAAGAATAAAACAGCCAAGACTTGAATCCTTATTTCAAGACTATTCATACTATTCATACTACCCAACAGGTAGCCATAGGGTAACCAGGTAGTGGCACAGGTACAGAAACAGCGAATATCCAAGTCCCATTCTCCCATTTCTAATAGCTGTTTGAGCCTTGGTCAGTTCTTTAAGTTTTCTAAACTCAGAATCCTTTTCTACTAAACATGAAAAACAGACCTTCATTTTGAGTTTGTGGTGAGAATTAAAAGGAAATAATGTATTGTAAAGGAGAAAACATAGTGCCCAATAACACATGGACTCGAGGCTTTGGGATTAAGGACAAGGACATCGAAGGTGTACTATTCTGGCTGCCCAAGCTGTTATTTACTAGCTATGTGACCATGAGCAGTTGATTTAACACCTCCCTGACTCAGTTAAAGCATCTGTACAAAAGGGATAATAATAGCACCTATATTCCAGGGTTGATGAAAGAATTAAATACGGTAATACATATAAAGTACCTAGAACAGAACCTGCCATGTAGTAAATGCTCAAAAAGTGTTAGCTTGTATTATTAAAGATAGTGTACAATTGTTGTCATGCCATCAGTTCTGCTGCTTTAAGGAGCCCCTCTGTTCACAGACCCCTTAGTCTCCTACTAGACTTCAATCAGAGCAACTCAGCTTTTGTCTTTATTATTAGCTGTCTCTCCATACATGAATTTCCGCCAACAAGGGTTTCTGTGTTAAAAGTAAATAGAAACTACCGCCTTCTGTTCTGGGCTTCTTAACTATACTAGAGCTTAGATAAGTCACTCCTACCTCACTGAGCTTCCATTTCTCCATTCGCAAAATGGTAGGAGGTGGTGGGGTGAGTGGGGGGGAATAATAACTCTAACTTCTTTCCCCATCACCTCCTATAACATTAAAATTATAAACCTTTGTATCAATACTCCATTAGCCTGTTCTTAGTAATTTACATCTCAGTGGAATTCAGGTTGGGGAAGCAGGTGGGGGTGGGGAGTCTAGAGGGAAAGAAGTAGGAAAATGTGAGAAATCTCTCGGAGACAAAAGTGTGAGCAAGCAAAAGAAGTGGACCCAGAGAGGAACAAGAATATGAAAATCCAACTTCACTGTCTTAGACAAGTCAGTAAGCATAGCTCCTTTGCCATGAAAGACAGGGGAAGCTTAATTTTCAACTAGGCTTAAAAAGAAAATCCCTTATAATTGTAAAGCATGTATTATTTTTCACATTTTAACCTCTCTGAAGTGCAAAATCATCTTATGCCCAGCAAGTATATTAATCTAATATTGTTTTGTTTTGTTCATTACAATTGCTGACACTAAATCAATGAAGCATCTTATAATTATGTACTAGACTTATAGAAATATAGTAATACACATACAGTGTCTATAATGTGCCTAGATGCCTTCTCTATGAGATTGCATTTTATCCTCACAACAATCCTATGAATCTGTTATTGTTATTATTATTATTATTCCCATGCTACTAGAAAAATTGAAGCTTGGAGAGTTTCTTAAGTTTGACCAAATTGGTAGAAAACTCTTAACCAACAAGATCAAGATCCAAACTGAAGATCTCATTCACTCCAAATCTCATACTCTTTCAATTTTACTAAACATGCCCTTAGAAGAAATTGTTTCCCTGGTCTCTATTTTCAGATGGATTTTTTTTATCAGCTACAGTCTCTCGGGCCACTACATGAGAGGTGGGATGCTTTATCTGATTGGCAAAAATCATGAGACTGACATCTATTAGTTCACATCACTCCATGGAACAAGGATCTGATGTTCAAAGTCCATATTGGCCATGTGGTCCTTCCCACTCCATTATTTTAGAGAAGCCATCTTCTCTTTTATACAGTCAGCTTAACAGTGCAGGCTCTGCCCTTGCAATTAGTGACTAGCAATTCTGGGTGCTTTCATCAAGCAGATGATAAGAAGGCTGACTCTAGATAAAGACCAACCCATGTTCTCTAACCTAGCAATACTAGTAATATTTTTTTCTCTCCAGCTGTCAGTCTTATCTGTTTCTCAATTGCATTGGTACCAAAAATGTTTGGTTACTGGTTTGTAATAAATTGCTAATACAAATAAGTCTAGAATATACTACAAGAGCAAAAACCATAATATTATCCATATTTTTATTTATCTAGAATGTCTCTTACTTAGTTTTTAGATGCAGGAGTCAAATCTCAAGAACGCTAAGTGACTTGCTAAAAAGCTCTCAGCTCTGACATGGAATGAGTATGAGTAAAATCCATGTTTCTGGATGTCTAGTCAAATATTCTTCTCACTCACTCCATGTAATCATGTACTGATTAAAACATAATGGTCAAATGAGGTTATGTGGCTAAAACTGACCACTGAAGGCATAAGAGACATCAGGATCTTACTCTTGAGACATCAGGATCATTCTGAAAAATGCTGCTAAGCAGATTTAATGTCAATCAACAATCAGAGCCAATGTCCATTTGAACCACAAAAAACAGATTATCTGAAATGGGCCTTGGCTCAGTATTTAAGTGGTATTCATGCAATTCAGAAATGGCTTTGGTGAAATCTAATGCTAAGAGACTACTAACAACTCACAGATCTAACTGCGACACTGAGTCATAATAATAATATATGCCTGACTTTTTTAGTCACAGAAAACCCATAGAATTTTGTGCCAAAAAGATCTTGCATGGCTTATAAGCTATGCAGAGAAATGAAAAGCAAACAGAATAAACTGTAAGAGCTTAAGAGTGGCAAACAAAACCACCTATTGGGTAAATGAAACAACTTGATATATCATTAAGTGAAGTTTACAGACTGCTCTGTGGATAGGTCACAAAGCCAACCTTTCTGGCTAAGGTCCAGGAGTCAATAAAATCTGCATTGAGCCATAGCAGTTTTCTAAATAGAAAGCAACACAAAACATTTCTCAACAGCTTTGTCTCTACATCATGGCTCAGGAGGGTTGAGGGGTAGTAGATTGGTAGATTAATTATATCATGTTTGCTAACAATCTGAAAAGCCCAAGGAAGCACAGAGTCAGCCTTCTCTTGGGGTAAGACCTGAGCAATTGGCCTAGAAGAATAAAATATATAAATGTTCTACCTCAAGACCCAGGCAAGGGCAAACATCTTTATTTGGCAAGGTCTGTATTTTAAATCTGATGTTTCTAGATGCTTGCCCTTGCTCCTCCATCTTACAATTCTACAAGCATCGACTGAGCACTAATAAGCATGCCAAAAGTGCTTTGTAAACTGAAAAGTGGATGAATGTAAGGAACGGTTATCATTAATTAGAATATGTAATAGATCATGCACATGATTGTTGTAAAAATGAGAAAGACATTATTCTTCCTCTGTCTTCTGAAAGGTGGAATTTTTTGCTTGTCTTTTGTTGTGGTTTATTTGCTATTGTAAAGAAAGGACCATGTTTATACATTTTCTGTTTATATTTTGTTTTAAACGTGCTTACCCATATTTTTTTAAATAAAAGAGTAGAAAGCAAACCTTATTTTTCATTGCTTACTATGGTTTAGAATTATTAAATGTTTTCTTTCCTAGTGATCACGACAGCCATGCAGAGGCACAGAAAAAGGAAAAAGCATACCCCTAGTCATCCAAATGAAGTGGCATTCAAACCCACAACTTCTCACTTCACATTCTTTATTACTAGACCTTGGCACTTGGTGCCTTTTATGGAGCACCTGCTCTGGGCCAGACATTGTTGTGTATTTTACACAGGGTATCTCAATTATTATCTTTATTTTACAATCAATGAGACTGAAGGTCACAGAAGCTAAGCAATTTGCTTAACATTATACCTTATAAATAACAAAACTGGAAACTAAATCCAGATGGGTCTGGTTCTCAAGTTTTTGATTGTTGTACCATACCATGCATCCCATCTAGTCTATATAGGCAGGAATCCATTAATAATGGCAATTGCTGCTTCGGGGCACCTTGATCAGGTATTTCTTATTATGTTTCTAATATTGGAAGTAATTATTTTAATTTTGGATTTTAACAAGACTACAATAGAATATGTTGAAAATGACTAAAATTTCACCATGGCAACATCTACATGTGGTTTACCAATATTGATTTGAAAATAAAGGTCTATACGAAAGTATAAGAATATACTCATGTAACTGGTACATGGTATTACTGAAAAAGCCTTCTCACTAAAGTTACTTTCCTGATACTTTCTTCATTATTGTGCAGCCAAGGTTGTAGGCACGGACGGAATTTTTTCTTAGTATGTTGCAGCCCAAGACTCAGAACCTTTCTGTGGTTTCTTCAGTGATTGCACTAGGTACATCCTCTCCTTACTGAGTTTAGTCTAACTAACAAAGCAGGGATTTTGCTACTAGACTGTCTTGTGTAATCAATCTATATGGCTTTGTCTTTCCAACACCCCTTTCTTCCTTTGGAAAAGTATCCCTTCCCACTTTCATTTGGTTCTGGTAAGACTACAAATTATAAAAAGACACTTTGCCTTACAGCAGAGCATAGGGAATAGAAAGATGGCTGAGGGGTGGTGCTCATGAGCCAGACTGAGCCCAACAGAATCCTTCCCCAGAATTTTCCAAAGGGAGTTGTCTCTCTGCACTTGGATTATAAATCGTATGTTACTTTCAAGGTTCCAGGGGACATGTCACCAGTTATATGTTTGACCCTGAGAGAATGAAGTCAACTCACAGCTAAAGAAATAGAAAAAACTCTACTTTTGTGGTCCTCGCAGCTAATGGAAAAAGACAGAAAATGAAATAAATAAGCAAGTTTTACAGTGTACTAACTGCTATTGTTATTGCCTCCCAAGACAATTTCCTATCTTGGTACCTGCCTCTTTCTTGCTCTTTGCCAAGAACTTCCCCTTGCACCTAGAATGGTGTTCATTCATTCTGCAGAGCTGCTCAGAAGTGTGAGAGTTTTAATATGCCTAGAGCAACCATCAACCACAAAAGGATCCCAGGAATCTGTGGAAAATATCCGTTTCTCCATCCCTCTTTTGGGTAATTCTGGAGTACACTCTAGCTGGCTATTCAGAAAATCTCTAGCAGGATTGGGTCAAAGTTACTCATCGTGGTACCGGATTAAACATGCACCCTTCACTGGCTTCACTCCCTTCTCTGTGTCACTTTCTCTACTCCTTCTTTTATGTTTTAATTTATCAAAGTTTTTTAATGAGACCAACCATATTCCCTAATTCTGCATGTGGTTTTACCAGGTCACAAGCAATCCATACCATCGTCCTCCTCCACTAATCATTTTACACTCCTCTTACCCTCAATCAGCACTCCTCCTTGTCTGGGTGGTTTAATGGGTGGGATGACCAAAGTCCTCAACTCCGAGATTTCTGAACTCTTGGTTTCCACGTCCCTCTTGGGCCATGACTGCTGCCCTTATCCATTTACCACCAAAACTAGGCAAAAAGGTAGCCAAAGATGTCCAAGCTGGTTAGCTAAATGTCCACTGTATTCTCCTCTGTGGCCATTGTGGACTTGTAATGATCAGGGTCAGTCATCACAGCCAGGATGCTAATTCCTTTCCTTCCCTATGGGACTTTCATCACAGAGTCAACACTGATGAGTGGTAGACATAACTTAAATTAGAATGAGGCCTCTACTTCTGACCATAATCAAGTAACAAAAACTGGGTTTACTTTTTTCTTTAAATAATTTAAAACTGGACAAAATATTTAAAATGATGGTTTTCAAACATTGGTCAACAGGTAGAGCTTAAGAGTGGTCCCTGAGAGAAGGGAAGTATATCAATGATCCCTATAAATTCCTTCAGTTTACTGCCTCAAGAGATTCTACAGTGCAAGGAGGGGAGCCCAAACCCAAACTAAGGGGTTCCCTTACTGGCAGAGCCAGCTTAGATTTCAGGGAGGCCAAAGTGGCTAGAAGCCACAGGACAGTGTACTCAAAAGCAGAGGGATGCACAGAGAAAAAAATTCCAGAGAGCTGCAAAGGGAACCCTCAAGTCTTTGGCTGAGTGTTGATCCAGTCATGGGTTTGAAGAAACTACCAAGTGCAGAGAAAAGTCATCAGAAAGGAACATGCTGAATGATCACCAGGACTTACAGGGATTAGGGAAGTTTATGTCTTCCTCTAGCTCTAGTGGAGAAGCCATCTAACATAGGGAATTGAGCAGAATTTTGAGAAGGTATTGCCTCAGCAGTGGGCCAAATTAGCCCAGAATAAAGGTGGCTTAGGTCCTAGCTAGCAAAGCTTAAAAGCAAGCCTCAAGTGAATTGAACTACTTCCATGTAGCTTAACTATGTCCTAGGAGTGAAAAAAAAAAGGCAAAACAAACAAACAAAAAATTTTAAACACACAAAAAATCCAGTATGCAATAACATAAAATTCACAATTTTGGGCATCCAATAAAAATTACAGCTGTGCAGTGAATCTGGAAAATCAACCATAGCAGGCAGAAAAAATCAACCCATGGAAGCAACCCAAAATTACACAGATAACAGAAGTTTGTAAACAAAGATATTAAAGTATTATTATCAATATGTTCCTTATATTCCAGAAGATAGAATGATGCAATTGTTTAATAATGAGAAACATAAAAGAAATTAGGAAACCACAAATCAAACTTGAAGACATAAAAAAAAAGTCTGAGAGTAAAAATAAACTAAAAAAAAATTAAAATAAAAACACACTGAATAGGACTAGCAGCAGCTTACATACTAAAGAAAAATAAACATTAGTGACTTCAAAGGCACAGTAATACTACACAAAGTGAAACACACAGAAGGAAAAAAAGATTGAAAAAACAAAAAACAAATGATCAGCTTTGAGGCAACACCAAGAGGCCTAACATACCTATAATTGGAGATTCTGAACAGAAATAGAGGAGAAAGATGAGGGAAGAGAAAAAAAAAATCTAAAGAAAATATGGCAAACGAAATGACACATTTGAAACAAAACCTATAGAACAAAGAAACTTACAGACTCCTAGAACCAAGTCTCACATAAAGACACAAAGGTGTTTTCAGACACAAAAGTAAAATAAAAACTTTTTAGACATATGACATCTGAGAATATCCATTGCCAGCAAATCATACAATAAAAAATGTGAAAATAAGAATTTCAGACAGAAAAAAATGAGACTAGTTGGAAATCTGAATTTACACAAAAATGTGAAAACTATCAGAAATGCAAAAACATGGATCAATATAAAGTTATTTTTTCTTAAAAATTCATGTAAAAGATAAAAGCAAACATGATGACAAGATATTGAAGGTTTATAACATGTGGAAGTAAAATGTATAATAGTAGCACAAAAGGCAGGAGAGGAGAAAGAGAAGTATATTACTGTAAAATAGACTGTATATAATATGTTGTAATATTACATAAAAGTAGACTGTGTACACTTTAAATACTAAGATAATCATTAAAATATTGTGATAATATAATAATGAAATTTTAAAAATGCTCAATTCAAAAGACAGCAGGTAAGAGGCCAAAATTGACCAAAAATAGACAACACAAATAGAAAACTAAATAGAATGGTAGATTTAAATCCAATCATGTCAATTATCACATTAGATATAAATTATCTAAACACAACAATTTGTAGACAGAGATTGTCAAATTGAATAGAAAATCAAGACCCAAATATATGCTGACTACAAGCACACATATACACACACATGTATAGATACTCACATTTACATATAAAAACAGACACAGATTGCATGTACTAGGATGGAAAAACACATGCCTTCACAAATGAAAGGAAAACTGGAGTGACTATATTAACATCAGAGAGTAATTTCAGAGTAAAAAGATAAAACAGAGAGAGGGTCATTTGAGAATTATTGAGAGAACATAGTAATTCTAAATATTTATGTATAACAATAGAACTTTAAAAGACATAAAACTGATAAAACTGAAAGGAAAAATAGGGAAAGCCAGCAGCCTTCCTTCAACAATTGATAGAACAGACAAAAAAAATTAGCAGGTATCTAGAAGTCTTGAACAAAACTGCCAGCCAACTAGATCTAATTGATATTTATTACTACATCTACACAAAAAAGCAGAATATGCATATTTTTTTTCTTTTTCTTTTCTGCAACCTCTGCCTCCTGGGTTCCAGTGATTCTCCTGCCTCAGCCTCCCTAATGCGTCTGGAATTGGTGGGTTATTGATCTCACTGACTTCAAGAGAGTTTGTTCCTTCTGATATTTGGAAGTGTCTGGAGTTTATTCCTACTGGTAGGTTCACGGTCTCGCTGACTTCAGGAGTGAAGCTGCAGACCTTTAGACCTTCGGGGTGAGTGTTACAGCACTTAAAGGCAGCACTTCTGGAGTTGTTCATTCCTCCGGGTGAGTTCGTGGTCTCACTGGCTTCAGGAGTGAAGCTGCAGACCCTCGCAGTGAGTGTTACAGTTCATAAACGTGGCGGGTCCAGAGTTGCTCTTCCTCCCAGTCGGTTGGCAGTCTTGCTGACTTCACGAGTGAAGCTGCAGACCTTCGTGGTGAGCGTCTTACAGCTCTTAAAGGCGGCGCCTCCGGAGTTGTTTGTTCCTCCCGGTGGGTTTGTGGTCTCACTGACTTCAGGAATGAAGCTGCAGAACTTTGTGGTGAGTGTTGCAGCTCATACAGGCAGCGCAGACCCAGTGAGCAGCAGTAAGATTTATTGCTAAGAGCGAAAGAAAAAAAGTTCCACGTGCGGAAGGGGACTCTCGGCAGGTGGCCGAGGCTAGCTCGGGTGGACTGCGTTTATTCCCTTAACTGGCCCCACCCACATCCTGCTGATTGGTCCATTTTACAGACAGCTGATTAGTCCATTTCACAGAGAGCTGATTGGCCCATTTTACAGAGAGCTGATTGGTCCATTTTCACAGAGTGCTGATTGGTGCATTTACAAACCTTTAGCTAGACACAGAGTGCTGACTGATGCATTTACAACCCTTTAGCTAGACAGAAAAGTTCTCCAAGTCCCCACCCGATCCAGAAGCCCAACTCGCTTCACCTCTCACTAGTAGCTGGGATTATAGGCGTGTGCCACCACACCTGATTAATTTTTTTGTATTTTTAGTAGAGATGGGATTTTGCCATGTTGGCCAGGCTGGTCTCAAACTCCTGACCTCAGGTGATCCACACGCCTTCGCCTCCCAAAGTGCTGGGATTTCAGAGGTGAGCCACTGTGCCTGGCCAGAATATGCATGCTTGTGCACATAAAATATATACCAGGATAGACTATGTGATAAAACAGATTTTAATACATTTATAAGGATTGAAATAATATAAAATATGTTCACCAACCACAGCAGAAGAAAATTAAAAATTAATAACAAATATATCTGGAAGATTCCTTGATGTTTTCCAAAAAAAAAAAAAACCCACACATACCACACATATTTAAAATAACCTGTAGGTCCAAAATAAAAAAGAAAATTAAAATATATTTTGAACAAAAGAAACGAAAACATGACATATCAAAATATGTGGCTAAGGCAGTACTTAAAATATATTGCATTACATTTTTTTTTTACTAAAAAAGTATAAATCAATGATCTAAAATTTCAATTTATGAGAATGGGAAAATAAGAGCAAATTAAGCACAAAATAATCAGAAAGACGACAAAGATAACATGATAAATCAGCATAACAGAAAACAGAATAAAAATAGACAAAGTCAATATAATCAAAGATGGTTATTTGAAAAGGTTTATAAAATTGATAAGCCTCTAGCCAGGGCAGGAGAAAAAGCAAAGACACAAACTACTAATATAGAGAATGAGTCATGAGACATTTCTACAGATCTTAGAGACAATAAAGGGATAAAAAGGGAATATGTAATTTGTGCTTAAAGGGACCAATGCCTTAAAGATACAGACTCACTCAAAAGAAATAGGTAAATCAAAAAATAAATAATAGTAATTCTACATATGTTTTTCCAAAACAGTTAATGAGGAAACACTGCAGAACTCTTTCTATGAGGCCTGCACTGCCCTGATAACAAAACATAAGAGATTACAAGAGGCTGGGCACGGTGGCTCACGCCTGTAATCCCAGCACTTTGGGAGGCCAAGGTGGGCAGATCACGAGGTCAGGAGATTGAGACTATCCTGTCTAACATGGTGAAACCCCGTCTCTACTTAAAAAAAAAAAAAAAAAATACAAAAAATGAGCCGGGCATGGTGGCAGGCGCCTGTAGTCCCAGCTACTTGGGAGGCTGAGGCAGGAGAATGGCGTGAATCCGGGAGGTGGAGCTTGCAGTGAGCCAAGATGGCGCCACTGCACTCCAGCCTGGACGACAAAGCGAGACTCTGTCTCAAAAAAAGAAAAAAAAAAAAAGAGATTATAAGAAGCAAAAACCACAAACCATTATCTCTCCAAGCATAATGCTTGGAGATTTTTACATCTCCAAGCATAGATGTAAAAATTCTTACTACATACTTGGAAAATACAATTTTTAAATATTTTCAAAGAATAATAGGTCATGACCAAGTGGGATTTTCTCAGGAATGCACGTTTACTTTTGCAGTCATAAATAAATAATATCATTCACTCTACTAAGAAACTAAAAAAACAAAACTCATTTGGCTATCACAATAGATGCAAAAAATCCTTTGACAAAACTCAACATTCATTCATGATAGAAACTGAGAGAACTAGAAATAGAAAGGACTTCTTATTCTATGAAAAAAGTGTAATCTACAAAAAAAAATCTGTAAATAACACTAAGTATACTTAATGGTAATAGATAATACAGATAGAAAGCATGAATATACAATCTCGCCACTTCACTCAAGATCCTAGGGATATTTGGCAGAAAAAGAAATAAAACATAAACAGATTAGAAAAGAGAAAATAAACTGTATTTGTAGACTGTATGAGCTGATTGTCTATGTAGAACATCCCAAGAAATCGACCAAAAAAAACAAACAAAACGCTAGAACTAGTACTCTTACACAACAAATGAGACTAGCAAGATTGCAGGATATGAAATCAAAAGTAAAAATACATTTCAGGGCTGGGCATGGTGGCTCAAGCCTGTAATCCCAGCATTTTGGGAGGGCAGGTGGCGAACACGAGGTCAGGAGTTCAAGACCAACCTGGCCAACATGGTGAAACCCCATCTCTACTACAAATACAAAAAATTAGCTTGGCATAGTGGTGGGCACCTGTAATCCCAACTACTCAGGAGGCTGAGGCAGGAGAATCACTTGAACCTGGGAGGCAGAGGTTGCAGTAAGCTGAGATCACACCACTGCACTCCAGTCTGGGTGACAGAGTGAGACTCTGTCTCAAAAAAATAAAAAATAGTAAATTTTAGTTTAATAAATTAGCCACAATAAAATATTAAAATTAAAAATACAACTAAAATAGCTTAAAATATGAAATGTTTGATATTTGGTGCCCCTGAAACTTGATACTACATTATAAAGAGAATGAGATTGTTAACACAGCTCTATAGAACAATCATAAAATTATACTGATGTCTGGCCCATGTAAAGGCAAACTACTTTTGTCCTCCTCTCTCTGGAAAGGAAGGGGAAAAAAAAGCATTCTATAGATCAATGGCTGCGTATCATGAGATTGTGTTAATTTCCCTAGCAAAAATACTGCATCAGGCATAGCAGCTGCAGTTGGGGCTACAGTTTGATTGAGCCCTCCAGGATCCATCTGGTTTTTGTACAGTCACACAGGTAAATTTAATGGGGATGTGATGGAGACAACCACTTTTGCATCCTGTAGGCCTTTAAAGATGGGATTGACCTCTGCCATTCCCAATGGATTGCGCTGTTTTTTAAAAATTGTATTTATTGTTCATTTTATTTATTATCACTGTTGGGGAGAATGCAGTTTCAGAGGCTTCTACTTGGTCTTTGCCATAACAATAGCCTTTACTTTTCAGGTTAAGAAACTAATGTAAATTTTCCTTTAAGTATCAAGTATGTCCATTCCAAAATTTAGGGATTGTGGAAAAGACAACCAAGTAGATTAACAGAACTAGTGTATCCACTGTGAGCCAGATATAGTCCAGAACTCCATTTATTCCCCAGTTTCCTTATGTCTCCACTCTAACAGAGGGCAAATGATACTAGGTCTAGGACCTCCACTATCAACTTCCAGTCCAGCCTTGTATTCAGCAGTCCTCAAAGTGCCTGGGGATTTTCTTTTCCCAAGAGTATCTGTTGGGTACATGGATATCCAACTAAATGGAAAAGGTCCCTTTAGGGAAGGACTTAGGAATCATTCCTGTGTATACTTTGTGTGGTATTGCAGTGTTATTGGGAAATGGATCTAATTTTCAGTCAGTGAATTTAGAAACTAGCTCAGCCAGAAGACTGGGCAAAGAATTATTATTTTTGGTTGGGGAAGCTGATGTCAACCTTCTGATCATCCTTCCATATTTCCTTTTGATTGTACAGGTAAAGCTATCCCCATGTTGGCTGATCATTCTTTTACAGACTAACACACCCTTAGCTCTCTGTAGGACAGGGCCTCCCGGCCGCTGACTCCAGCCTTGCTATTCCTGATGTGTCCAGCCTGCTTCTGATGATTATGTGCTACCACTTGGTCACATGTATTTCAGGAATGCAGCACCTCATTGGAATCAGGGAATCCCAGTTTTATAAAAGTATCTCCTACATCATCCCAGGCCTACGAAAAGCAACTACCACTAAGCCTCTCAGTGACACTTGCCCCCTCTAACCAGCACAATCCTCACCACGTTCTTAACTCTGAGCTCTCCTGTGGAATGTGGTTAATGGATGATTTTTCAGGCTTGTACATAGTGTATGCACTTTAGCATGACAGTTTCCCTGCCTTTTGACTTAATCCCTCCTTCCACTGTGTGTCTACTTCACATAGTGTGGCCCATACTTTTTCCAAGTTTCCAAGAGCCATCCTAGCTGTGTTTTCGCACTGCTTTCCACCCACTTTAAAAGGACATTAATTCCCATATTAATGTGGCTGCTTCTCTGTCAATTAACTCTCTTTACATTCCACCCCCCTTGATTCAGCAACTTCGGGATCTAGTTCAGTATGTTTTCTCCTGGCTCCTACTGGTATATACTGGCTATCTGCAGATCTTTTGTTCCTTGTTCCCTTATCAGACCTAGCATTTCTACATTGGATAATGTTACTATTTGACTCTAGTTATTGATGCTAAGCAAAGTGGAGGTATATTCTAAGACAGGAATGCATTGTCTAATAAGACAAATACTTCTGCATCACCTTCAAGCAACATGGGTGCACCAGCCTTAATCAGGAAGGAGTGGTATCTTCTTTAGGCCTGGGGAGTTAGGAAAACATGGGTTTTCAAGATTTTTTTAATGCATTCGCTCAAATATCATCATCCCAAGTTTCAGAGTCTCACTTTTTACTAACTAGAGCCTGACTTGAGTGTTAGAGACTTTCTAGGGTTGAGGGTTCAAATTTGCAGACACTACTATTAATTAAGTCCTGGACTTAATCCTCAGCTTTTCTTGGCCTCCAGCCGCAAGATATGAGACTCTTTTTATATGCTATAAAGGAGCTTTCTGGCTTTATATTTCACATTTAACCACCAGTCACCTTTAACCTTTTACTGTCTTCCTCCAATATATTAATAAAATTCAGCAACAGCCATCAGATTCCATTATCCTTGTAATTACTAATTCCTCCAAACCTCTCAAAAGCCTGCGATACTGTACCTGCCAGCGCATTTCCCCAACCCATTTCATCCCAGTTCACCATGGGTAAAAGCACTAACTATTGTTCAACTACAGCGTGCCAGGGCCTACTAGTGCTCCCATTTAGTGCTAGCTTGCTGGCAAGTAATGCAACACTAAAATCCTGCCTTATTGCCTACTTCCTCAGAACACTCCTGGCACCAACTGGCAAACAGACTTTAAGATGAGTTTTCCTACATGAAACTTAATGGGGAATGTTCTCAAGAGCACACCTGAAGAGAGGAAAGAGCTGCTGAACAGAGGGAGTTGAACTGCAACGCCATTGCAGCAAAGGTTAAAGGCAGTCCCACAGGGAGGTATGGGCCTGGGGTGTCCTTCACAGTTGTGCCAAATTAAAGGAAGGGGGTCGTTGACTTTGTACCCTCACAATGGCCAGTCTTGCATGTGAGCTGCTTACCAAAAGGAGCCATATCATTGGGTGGGCCAGCTTCCTTTGGCCAAGGGAAATTCTCAGAGAGGTCCTTAGCTGTGAGTCATCAGCATCCAATACTCCTGGAAGCTGGAAAACTGATTACCTCCACTCAGAAGCTGGGATCTGAGCAGGATCCCAGGATATCCTCTATGTACTCACTGTTTTTATTTTATTTTTAAGTAGACTCTATTTTTAGATCAGTTTCAGGTTCACAGAAAAATGGAATGCTTAAAAGTAATGGCAGTTCCCACATACTCCCTGCCTTCACACATACAGCCTCCCCAACTATCAACATCCCCCATCAAGTGGTACATTTGTTACAGTTGATGAACCTACAGTGACACGTCATTATCACCCCAAATCCATAGCTTACATTAGGGTTTGCTGTTTGTGTTGTACATGCTATGGGTTTAGACAAACATATGATGTCATGTGTCGACCATTATAGCATCATACAGAGTAGTGGCACTGCACTAAAAATCCCGTGATCTGTCTGTTTACCTCAGCATTCCCACGAACCCCTAGCAACCACTGATCCTTTCACTATATCCATAGTTTTCACTTTTCCAGAATGGCATATATTTAAAATTATATATACTATGTAGACTTTTTAGATTGGTTTCTTACACTTAGTAATATGCATTTAAGTTTCTACCATGTCTCTTCATGGCTTTATAGTTCATTTCTTCTTAGCACTGAATAATATTCCATTGGCTGGATATACCATAGTTTATCTATTCACCTACTGAAGAACATTTTGGCTGATTCCAAGTTTTAAAAATTACATATAAAGCTGCCATAAGCATCCATGTGCAGATTTTTGTTTGTATACTCACCATTTTGGGGGACCTGCTAGACCTCAACTAGAGTATATTCTTCTCACTGTTTTTGCTGCCATGTGGCAAGTTTATCAGAACAATTTTCTAGCCACACTGCTTAAAGGTAGACAAACAAGTTCAATTCAGGAGAAAATTGTAGGTCAAAGCTATGTTCTCTAACCCACCTTTACCAACGGTGACATTAACCGTATATTTTTATTTTGATATAATTTTGTGTATATATATCAATATACAAACATTACTAAAATATAAACAGATTACAAATCTGTTTACCAAGATTTGTGATTAAGGATTTATAGGGAAGACTTCATTTCTCAGTTCTTACAAGATAATAACATAACCCATAGATTAAAGAGAAACTCAAGTAAAACTATAAACAACACAGCTTATAGCATGCCTACAGGATGACTAGAACACTATGCTACAAACTTTAGTATTTATGTAAGCAGTAAAATAAAGATCCAACTAACAAAGACCACTTTGGGGCTTATCCCAGAGCAGAGAATGGGGAGACAGACTTCATAGAAAAGAGAGTGCATCATACTCCTAGAGGTGGAGAAACACAGATAACATCATGCTCAGAAAAAGACCTCACTTTAAATGGAAAATGCCAGTAAAATGTCTAAGACAGGGTAGACTAGCAATTGGAGAAGCTATAGGAAGCAGTTTGAAAATACAGAGGCATAAAGGAGGCAGTCTTGGAAAAACACCAGTTCTGGAGCAGAAGGAGCCAACCTGAAAGAAGAGCCATTCCTTGGAGACTTAGCAGTGAGGATAAAGAAAGAAGTATATTACAGAATTAGAAGACCCTGTTGAACAACATCTACCCCTCAAAAGAAAGTTTTTTATTAATTTAAAAACCATATACAGATGAAGGAGCCCTTGAACAAAGAAACCCGGTAGGGATACCCAAATCCCCCATACCTTTTCATAGATACATTAATTATTGCTATTTCAGAAAATCTAAGACCTTTTAGGATGAACAGGAAAAGAAAGCAAAATCCATATGAAATCACTATAAGAGGAAATTAAAAATGAGTACTAAAAATTTTCAGCTTTAAATGTTCTATCAATTCCACATAAAATAAAGGAAAACTATGACACAACATACCAGCATGAAGTAAGTTAAACAAGCAATGACAAATAGAAAACAATATCATTAATTAGAAATTCAAAATGGAATAAAAATGGATTTATGAAACATGAACGAACTAAAGAAAGAAATTGATGAAAAAGACAAAATCATATTAGAAATTAAAGCTACATTATAAGGTAAAAAGGAGGACAGATTGTGCTGAAACTATAAAAAGAAACATTGAAAAGAGTAATCAGTCAGGAGAAAAAAATAAGATGAAAAAGACCAAAAGAAATCTGAAAATAAGAGATATGAAAGACAATAAAAGAGGATTCAACATATATATTTTCTGGAAAACTACAACAATGTAACAGAACTAATATTTAATCCAAGAAAACATTCCAAAATAAAATAAGACCTAAATATTCAGATTAAAAAGACCTACAATGTACCTTGGGAAAAATTTACTCTGAATGGTCAACTTTGAAGGGTATCCTACAGAAATTATTAGGCTTTAAAGTCAAAAGAAAATAAAAGGAATTTTATGGACCTCCAGGATAGCAAAAAAAAAAAAAATTTATTTACAAGAAGAAAAAATCAGATTGGCATCAGACTTCTCAATAACAGCACAGAAAGCATGAGTGAAAAAAAGTTCTTTAAGACTCAAGAAAGAAAAAGTGTGAGCCAACAATAGCAAAGTCACAGAATCCACCTAAGTGTCCATCAACAGTGAATTGGATAAAGGAAATGTAGTATATGTACACCATGGTATACTATGCAGCCATAAAAATAATGAAGTCATATCCTTTGCAGCAACATAGATACAGCTATTATCTATGTGACATATCTATGGCGGCCATTATCCTAAGTGAATTAATGCAGAAACATAAAATCAAATACCACATGTTCTAATTCATAAGTAGGAACTTAACTATGGGTACACATAGACATAAAATCAATGGAAACAACAGACACTGGGAACTCCAAAAGTAGGGGGAGAGGAAGAAAGGGAAGGGTTCAAAAATTATCTGTTGGGAGCTATGTTCATTATTTGGGTGATGGGTTCACTAGAAGTCTAAACCCCACAACTATGCAATTACTCATGTAACAAATCTGCACATGTACCGCCAAATCTAAAAACAATTTTCAAAAAGAAAAACTGTGAATCCAGGAATCTACATGCAGCCCAGGTATCTTTCAAGAACCATCTAAAGCAGAACATTTAAAAACTCAGAGAATACTATATTATTGAATCTTTTCTGAGGAATCTACTAGATTGGGGCTAGCCAGCCAGGGCCTGTGGGCTAAATCCAGCTGCCACCTGTTTTTGTTTTCATGGAACACAGCCACCCTATTCATTTATGCATTGTTTATATGTGTGTTTGTACTGCAATGGCAGAGCTGCGTAGTTACAACAGAGCCTGTATGGTCTCCTAAAATATTTACTAGCTGGCCTTTTAACAGAAAAAGTTTGCCAACTCTTATATCAGAGAATGGGCTATAACCAAATAAGAGAATTACTGGGGAACCTGCCAAAATGTCTTGTGGCAAATACAGAGTAAATATAACAGTAAATCTGAGAGAAGAACAAAGATGGGGACAAAAATGGAAGAATAATGTGTAAATGTCCCATGTAACATCCAAAGTAAGATGAGAGGAGAAGAAAGAAAAGAGAAATAATAATTTCATGGATTATTACTCTCTCCATTACCCTAGCACTGCCCCCAGACCCGATTCTCCCCATCCGTACACTCAGCTGGCTACAATGCTCAACACAGTGTATTAGTCATGATTAAAGAAAATAATGGCTCTGATTTTAAATCCAAAGTTTGATTCCAATCCCAGTAATTCATCCTATCTGCTAGAAGAACTGATCCACACTTGAGTTACAGGATTCATTTTGTCCTTCTAGACTAAAATGAGGAATGAGCAACCTCCTGAAACCACTTCCCCAGATCCACACCCAGATCTTCACCTTCCAAGTTTTAACTTCATAATTATAAGAGGGGATGAAAATCATTATGAAATAGAAAGATGAACCCTGGAAAAGATAGGATTCTTCCCCAAGACACAAAGAAACTTGCCTAAGCCATGCATGCCTCCTTTTCTAGGGTTCCACCCTTGACATTCCAAAATGAGCTCATTGGAAAGGTTCTCTCAGGCAATGCATTTTCACACTGCCAGCTACCTAGAAGGGAAGAGAAAGTGAGGTGATCCTCAAAGAGAAATTATCAAGAAAACAAAATAATCCACATGGGTTCTGCATAAGAGAGAGTTTTAATCTCTCTTCCCACCAAATGATTTCTCATCGAGCATCATGGCCTAAATACATATTTCTGAGGACTACATTTTGTCTTTAACTCTTCCCAGAAGTTGATGGGAAAGAGTTGTGCCTCTACCAGAGAAATAATAAAGCCATTATCAAATGCCATGTTTATAGTAGGAGCCTGATAGGTTTTTGTTAATGATCGTGTCAAAAATGCAACAACATCCTCTGGCACTCTGTCCATAGAGACTCATATCAGTGTTGTCTGTTTCTCTTCAGCTGCCTATCCACAGTTCTGTTCTGTTATTGTTTACATGAACCACTCTGCATCCCCTGGTGATATTTGCCCACATAAAACCTAAAATTAGATTTCTTAAGGGGTGATTGAAGACATAAGCACAGCAGTGACAAAGTTTATAACTGCTAAAATGTGCGTGAAATACGTCAACTTAAGCATTTGCTTAATTTCACATTTACATATTAAAGATTCTATTGAAAGACATGGTAATTTTGTGCTTAGTTGGGATAAAGAAAATGAAAAGAAGCTTCAAGGTGTGCATATGTGTCTTCTTGAAAGCATTTTCTTCATCCTTTGAAAATTTGTTCGTATTTTCTCCGAAAAGCATCTTCATATATTTCTAACTCATACTGCAAGATAGGATGATAGTAAGTGTATGCCCTTTAGTACTAATGTTGTAGTTTACATTTTATTTACTTAACCTGAATAATATATCTCAAATTTTTAAATGCTTTATGCTTGCAATCTCTCTTGCATCCTATTAACCTGGACAATATACAAGAAAATTTCTCAAGATAGATACTTAGGTCGAAGGAGCTCTGAACTTGAAAATCCCTAAAAAAATTTAGAAAAGGGAAGTGACTCCTGAGGTATGGACAATGTCCACCGGCAGAAAATTGTGGCCAAAATCACTATGATTTGGAGTCAAGAAATAAGAATTCTAACACCAGCTCCGTCACTACAGGTAGCACATCCATGCTGAATTGATCAACCTCTCTAGAGGTGTCTACCCTCCTCCCCCAGAAATGACTGCTAAAAAGGTAATGAATACACCTGTAATCCTAGCACTTTGGGGGACCAAGGCAGGGGATCTTTTGATCCTAGGAATTCAAGACCAGCCTGGGCAACATGGCAAAACCCCATCTCTACAAAAAATACCTGGGCGTGGTGGCACACTCCTATAGTCCTAGCTACTTGGGAGGCTGATGTAGGAGGATCACCTGAGCCTATGAGGTTGAGACTGCAGTGAACCATCAGTGAACCATGATTGCCTCACTGTACTCCAGCCTCAGTGACATAGTAAGACCTTCTCTCAAAAAAAATAAAATAAAATAAAGAAAAATAAAAGAAAGAAAGGTAAGGAACTTAAATACAACATGGAAAGAGCAGAGCATTGATAACTACCCAGTGGTTACTGGGGGGACTCTTGGCAGCAAAGAGAACAGAGATTCCCTTAGGATGCATGCCCACAACCACCATGGTCCAACCAGGGATCCTTCTCATGATGGCAAGCTTCATTTTGAGCGTAGTTAATGTGCTGATTTTTACAGAGAGTTGGGCTTGTAAGCATCTCGAAACTATGTAGCAACATGAAGCCAGAATGCAAAGGACCCTCAAGGACTCCAGAAACCGGCACCAGCATCTGACTACTGAGGTTGGACCAACATTTCAGTTGGGAAGGGAGTTGGAGAGTCTCAGTCTGCAGTAGAGAGAGGAGCTAATTCATGTGCGTGACTTTTCACAGCACACTCATGAGAAAACACTTCCTGGAACCTGGCCAAATCAAAATTGCTCACCCACCTCAAAAACAATGAAGAAGAGGGTAGGCTGAGGGACTGGGAAAAGGTTGCAAACTCTGTTCTGTGTCACTGTGCATCCTAAAGATGTGCACACAGAGATGAGAGACCTGGCATGGTTTTGTATTTAGTTATGCAACAAAAATTGTATTCACTACCTACTATGTGCATGCCCTAATCTAGCACTGAGAATACTGTGGTAAGCAACACAGCCCAGTGCTCTCCATCAGGGAGCTGACATTCCAATGAGAGGAGGCATACAGTACGAAAACAAATAAACTCAAATACTAACAAGTGCTGTGGAGGAAATAAACAGGTGACATAATGGAAGGTGACTGGAAGATCATTTTCAGGAATGTAATCGAGGAAGCTCTCTCAGAAGAGATGCCTTTGAGCTGAATGGTGACAGAATCCAGTGATATGAAAACCAAGGTAAAGAGAGTTCAGACAGATGAATCAGTAAGTACAAAGGCACTGAGGTAAGAGGAGGAAAGAAGCCCTTGGTAGACAGACAATGTGAGACAAAGGGAGAGAGAACACACAAGGCCAGAGAAGAGGCTGAGTCCACACTGTATAGGGCCTTGAAGACCAGGCCCAGGATTTGAGATTTTTATTCCAAGTTCAATGAGCAGTCATGAAAGACTCTTAAAGATGGAAATAACACATTCTGATTTATGTAGGTAGATGTTACTCTTACTACTATGTAGAGAATGGATTTGGGGTGATGACAAGCATGGAAGCTCCAGAAAATTAGTTGTTTAGGGAAGAGATAATGGTAGCTCGGACTAGAGTATTGAGAGTAGAGATGGAGAGAAATGGGTGAGTTTGAGATATATATTTTAAAAGGCTGATAGCAAATGCAGAATGAGAGAAGGGAGCGAATCAAGGATTACACCAACACCTGTGTTTTTGGATTGAGTAATAAGGTGGATAATATTATGTTTTCCTGAGATACAGAATACTAGAAGAGGTGGAAGTATGAATGAGGGGGAGGCAGCATCAACACTCCATTCTGATGCCCACTGATGTCCACAGCAGTATGTCTACAGATGTCTAAACAGCAGTAGGATTTACGAGTCCGGAGTTGAGTATATATGTGAGGAGTAGAGATACACATTTGAGATTGATCCACATGCGGATGGAATTTAAAGTCCACGGAGTGACAAAGTCCCCTAGAGAGAGATTTTCAATAGGGAAGAAACAATGCCTAAGACTCAGTCCTCGAGTGTTCTTCCATTTGAAGCCAGGGAGAAGAGAAGCATGCAAAGAATCAGAGAAGCAGAGGCCTACGAGGTAGTAGGGCAAGGATTCATAGAGGAGCCAGCAAGAACGTATATCAGGTAAGGAGATGACAATGTTTTGGAATATCACTACAAAGTTAAAGAGAATGAGAACAAAGGTGCGCCTGTTAGATTTGACATGTGGTAATCCTAAAAAAACAGTTTTACCGAAGTGGTGGGAACAAAAGCCAGATTGGCACGGAATAAAGGGTAAATGGGAGGCAAAGAAATAAAGAGAACGAGCAACTTCCTTTGAGAAGTTTGCTATGTAGAAAAGCAAGAAATGGGGCCATAGCTGGAGAGGGTGGCAGATCAAGTAACCCAGCCCAGATCAGATTCCTACAATACAAAGCAAGTCCTCCCAGTTTTGCTAATATCACACGCTTGGCTCTCATTGCCCTCAAGATAAGCTCAGTCTCCATAGGCAGGCAGGTAAGGACCGCACAGCCCTGACCTCCATAATTCCCTAATTCCTGCCTCTCTTTCTGTCCTTGCCATCCCCAAGCCCACCATTTACTCCATACCCATACCATAATAGTCCTCATTCTCCTATCCTTTCATTTTCTTTCAAATCTCTATGCTGTCCTACATGCTTTTCTTTTTGCCAGAAATGTGTTTCCCTTCCTAATTCTTCAGTAATTGAGGTTCAGTTCAAATCATCTCCTGCGTGAAGCCTTCCAACAAACCTGCAGTTCCTTCCCTCATCTGCCTTGCATATCTCTCTATCAGAGCCTTTAAAATGATCTGTGGGTGTTTCTGTTCATCGGCTATGCATTTCCTGAAGGCAGGGATGGTCATTTCCCCATCTCTATAAATTGTACCTAGTATAGGCCTTATAGCCCATAGGTATATGTGAGATGAAGAAATGCACCTGCAGATGTTATCAAAACAACTTGAGGCAATAGTTTCAGGTCACCTCTATCATACCTTGAGCCAGTGTCTACATTGACGTATCCAAACTCTATTACCATTCTTTTTCCTTCCCATCTTCCTCCGAGGGAAATGCCTAAGGTGAATAGGTCTGTTAAACAAAAAATGAAGTGGTGATGAGCGCTCAGTAGAATCCCAGTATTGGGTAAATGCATATCAACAATTTTTAATTTCTCAAGCCTGAGGGCCATTCTCCTGTTTCACACAAGCTAGGATCATCATCAGATCAATACTTCCTGCAAAATTGCATAGAGTTCTACAAAATGTAAAAGAGTTGAGGATAGGACCCTTGTTTTATGTGAAGTAAAATCCAGGCCGATAAACATGACCCCACTGGAAATTTAACCTTCTTAAATTGATTGACAGAAAAAAGAATTTGTCATAGCAGGCTTACTTAGAAACCCCATAAACTTGCATAATTCATATTGAACTGACATGCTTTTTTAAACGATAGAGGTGGCCAGGCATGCTGGCTCACGCCTGTAATCCCAGCATTTTGAGAGGCCAAGGCGGATGGATCACTTGAAGTCAGGAGTTCGAGACCAGCCTGGCCAACATGGTGCAATCCCATCTCTACTAAAACTACAAAAATTATTCGGGCATGGTGGCACATGCCTGTAATCTCAGCTACTCGAGAGGCTGAGGCAGGAGAATTGCTTGAACCAGGAGGTGGAGGTTGCAGTGATCTGAGATCGCGCCACCGCACTCCAGCCTGAGTGACAAAGTGAGACTCCTCAAAAAAAAAAAAAAAAGATAGAGGCTCTAGAATGTCCTTTGCTTCTGAAGACAGTGTGTGAGGAGAAGCCTATGAGAAATACGAGGCAGGGAGGGCTCCAATGCAGAGGACCAGGAGTAGCCTGTCCTTTGCCGTATCACAGCTGCAACATCCACCCACTGGGGGACTGAGAACCTTGCCGTCTTCCCTCTGCCTCATTCCCAACACCTACTTGATCACTAAGTCTCATCTGTTTTAGGTTCACATCTCTAGAATATATCACTTCCTCTCCACGCCCCTCCCCACAAGTCTAAGCCCCTGCTAGTCCCTGTCTAGGCTACTGCACAGCCCCCGGTTCCTCATGCCATCTTCACAGATCTTCATTGCTTGCCTTTGCCAATAAATATCAAAAACCAAACTTCTTATCTGCTATTAAAGCCTCCCACAGTCTGGCCAGCTTTACTGATGGCTATTTTTTAATTGAATAATGTATGACTGAAAGGTATTAAATTAACCATTTCTATCTCAGAACACTCTCTCTTTACATGTCACCTAGTTTTCTCTGGCAGAACTGAAGTGAGAGCAACAACCCATGAAAGCAACATCATGAAGATTTGTACATAAGGTGGTTGATTCTGGGGGTGGGGGCTGAGCTCCCCAAGACAAGTGATCTTTTCAGGATGGTTAATGTATAAGTAGAGAAAGAGTCTGAAACAGGAGTGACTGAGAAGAACGTTTTATCCCTTTATTTATTTATTTATTTATTTTTTGAAACGGAGTCTCACTCTGTTGCCCAGGCTGGAGTGCAGTGGCACAATCCCAGCTCACGGCAACCTCCGCCTCCTGGGTTCAAGTGGTTATCCTGCCTCAGCTTCCTGAGTAGCTTGGATTACAGGTGTGTGCCACCACACCCGGCTAATTTTTGTATTTTTAGTAGAGACAAGGTTTCATCATGTTGGCCAGGCTGCTCTTGAACTCCAGACCTCAAGTGATCCACCTGCTTTGGCCTCCCAAAGTGCTGGGATTACAGGCGTGAGCCACCATGCCTGGCCCTGAGCCACGGCACCCGGCCCCCCCTTTTTTTTTTATTGACCATAGAAAATCAGACCCATCAAATCTCATTCTCTATGATTTCTCTATATCCATCAAAACTATTGACCATTCTCCCCTTCTTTTTTGGGTTTAAGTTGAAGAAAATAAGTATTATACTATTTTTTTAATATCAACACTGTCATAAATGTGTTAACTATAATTTAATAATGTATAATTTAATATTTCTTTATGCAGAAAGGGGTCCATGAAGTTCAAAGCTTCTAGAGCCCATGAAAGTCATAACATAACCCTGCTTCCATTCACTACGATGTTTTATTCTTAAGGTCTAAGTCAGATAGATGCAGCTGGCTGTCAGCTCCAAAGAGGAAGATGAAGATGTGAGTGAGAAAGCCAGTTTTAAGGTCAGATGTCAGAAAAAGTGAGAAAGATTTGGAAGCAGAGTAGAGGTCAGTTGAAATGAGTATCTCCGTAGAGCACGAATCACATGAGCCAGCAGAACCTTGCACTTTGCTGAATGTTCCCACACTTCACTTCCCGCGGGCCTGTGCCTGGGCTGTGTCCTCTGTTCGGAACTCCCTTTTTGACCTTTATTACTACTTGTTCCAATCTCACCTACTTCACTAAGGTCCATCACATCTCTCTACCAAAGCAGGTATTTTCTTATCCTTCTAAATAGAGACACATTTGCCACTCTTTCAGTCCCTAAGACATTTGTGTGTCCTTCTCATGGCTCCACTTGATAATGTGTTTTGATGGTGATTTATTTAAGCTTGAGTATCTGGTTAAGAACAGCAGCATCCTGTTTTGTATCTGTGCAGTCTCTGCCTGTTGCTTTGCACACTGTTGCTGCTCAACAAATGTCTGCTTCATTTATCACTTAGACTGACGTAATGCCATCAAGAAAACTACAGGATTTGCTCATGTTTTCCATAAATGTTCTAAATGAAAATATTTTTCTAAACCAACTGACTCCACACTTCTGTGAGCACAAAAACTCAAACTGAAGGTCTCCTAATCCAAGGTGGATATCATATGGAAGTATAAGAATCAAAAGACTTCCCTGCCACCAAAAGGAGTCCGCATAGCTGGACCCCCAGAACAGATTACTGCGATTTTCTAAAATCCAAAAAAGAGATCCCGACTCTCCACATTCCTACCATACAGGGAGTTTTGAGGAACAGATGCATTGGCCTGGCATAAAAAGCCTTCCAAGATTCTATTTCCAAGCTTGTTAGAAAAGGGATAGGGAAATACACATGAGATTAGAAGTGCAGGTCTTCCAATGGCTAGATGTAGGAATTTGACTATGGTATATTGCCCTTCTGAGGTTCCTACTCTATAAAATGGAGAGGATGAAAATTAACCAACGGGACAGGCTTTAAGAAAAACACAGGCCTGGAGTCACCTGGACAAAGTAGATGATCAATGAATTTACAAGTCATTTCACTGGGAAACACATATAATCACATACACATATTCATTGGACTAATATTTTTAAACTGTAAAATGGCAACCTAATATGTGCATGTGGATGTATGTGTGGGATTTTATATTCAAAATACATTAAAATCATTGTAAAATATGTGCTTTGAAGTAATTAACTACTTTAGCAATTTGTTTGAAACATACTAGTGTGCAAATTCCTAATATATTATTCTAAAAAATTACAGACTTTTTTCCCTTAGAAGACCTACTGTTTGTAAATGCTAATACCTATCTTTCCTGAATCATTTCCCTTCCACTGGGGTGACTATGAAAAGAAAAATTTATCCTTTATTCGTAGTTCCTAAGAATTTTGTTCTCTGCAGCTCAAAGATTCATTTTACAAAAGAGATAATGAAAGAGTTTTAGCTAAGGAAGTGGAATGTATTATGATGTAAGATAGAAATTTCCATATCTTCTACACAGCAAAAAACTCTATCTCAATCCCAGTAAATGGCCTTACAAAAAAAATATAATGCTAGCATATGGCATATTTCACAATTTTTAACTTTATTTAGCAATACTAAGCACTCTTTACTGATAAGGGTATTATCTATGTATTATCTATAAGAATTTGAAAATTATTTTGCAGAAAGTTGTTAAGTTAAAACTTACTAATGGAGGCCAGGCACAGTGGCTCATGCCTGTAATCCCAGCATTTTGAGAGGCCGAGGTGCGGGGGTCACTTGAAGTCAGGAGTTTGAGACCAGCCTGGCCAACATCGCGAAATCCTGTATCTACTAAAAATACAAAAATTAGCCGGGCATGGTGGCGAGTGCCTGTAATCTCAGCTACTCAGGAGACTGAGGCAGAAGAATCACTTGAACCCAGGAGGCTGAGGTTGCAGTGAGCTGAGATCGGATCGCACCATTGCACTCCAGCCTGGGGAACAAGAGCAAAACTCTGTCTCAAAACAAACAAACAAACAAACAAACAACAACAAAAAAAAACATGTTCTCTTAGAATAGCAGGCACTAAAATCAAAGTGTAAATTGCCTTAGAATTCAGCTTCAAAAATACCCATTGGTAAATAAAAAGATTATTTAGTAGCAAATCTTTTTTAGAATAAAAGGATTAGAGTTACTAATTTCTATAAAAATTACCACCTTCTTTCTTGCCAAGTTAGTCCCAGAGAGATTTGAAGCTAAAGAGAAAAAATGATTCTGAAATAGCTATATTAGCGTAAATATGTTATGCCACATCTAAATGTTTTGTCAATTTTTCATGGTCACTGGAAGAAAAAGCAGAAAAAACAGTACCAGCCGGTGGGCAGACCACAGGGCTGGGCTACGGGACAGGAGTCCCTGTTCTCAACACAGACAAACCCAATTAGGAAAATATTTCCCACTAAGTTGATATGACATAAATAAAATGTAGAGATAAAAATTAGACTGTTGAGATTAAAGTGCTTTAAAATGTTTGATTTTTTTTTTGCTAAAATTAAAAGGAATTAAATTAACATGAAGCGGATTTTAATTTCTAATATTTCCCTACACATATAGGTACCTCATTCTGACACAGAGAAGCTTGTCAATAAGTGTGTGTGAGGCAAATGGATCACGTCAGTTCATAGGAAGGGATCACTTACTTATTTATTATAATCACTCAGTGCATCCATTTTTCCAGACACCTTACCTACATAATTTTACTCAATCCTCAGAACTACCTGGGAAATCTATACTGTCATTCCCATTTAAAAAATAAGGAAATTGAGCATGACGGAGAGCAAATGGAGTAGTCCAAACATTCACACCTGGTAAATAGCAAAACTATTAATATAAACAAGGAATTCCCAGGCCCATGCGTTTCCCCTCAATCAGTGAGCAGCTGTGATTCTTGTCCAGAATCCAGTTCTCATGGAAGGCCTGGGACACTACAGCGCATGCCTTCAACCAAGAGAATCTGGAGCTTTACTTACTTTACCTTCACCACATTCTACAATTTTCTAAAATTCTCAGGGTGACAAGAGGTAGCTGTGGTGTTATAGGAAAAGCACTGGGCTTGTCCTCAAGTAACATAGATCAAATCCCAGCACTGACAATTATTTCCTGGCCAAAACCACTTACCCATCATCTCATTAAACCTCAGTTTCCTCTTTTATAACATGCGACTGACTTTTCCTTCCACTGTTATTATGAGGCAAGCTAATCAGTCAGTATGTGCTCTAATTCCCTGGCATGGCACACAGAACCCTGGAGACACCCAATCTAAATATTTTTAAAGAAAATGAATGCAGAATTGGTAGTCATTCCTCAGGCATAAGCCAATGCTCTGTTGTAAGTAGTCCTCCTTTCCCACAGTAAAGCCTTCAGCAAACACAATGGCCACAGAGAGATATAGAATAAATAGGAAAAAGAGAAAGGCAGACAGGAGGCAGCAATGATCAATAAACAAGCAAGCAAACCTCAAGGTCACATCAAGAAAATGTTGCAACTTGAGACCAAAGCATAAACCAAATTGGGTCCCCACACCTGTGGCACAATGGGCTCACAGGGCGACATAGATCAAGACCACGTAGGACACCTGAGTTCTCTTCCCTGTCCGACAACTAATTTTCTGCATACTTTTTAAATCGCTTCTCTTCCAAGGAAATCCATTTCCTCTTCTATGCAATGATGTGTTTATATTATACCGACTCTATGGCTGCTATTTAATTTAACTATTCTTCTAGTCCTAGTTAACTTAGTCGTATTTAGGAATTTCTGCCTAGCTTTAACAAAGGTCTTTTCAGCATCGATTGATTAAATCAATATGCTCTTTTTTTTTTTCTTCTCTTTCATTTTGTAGACATAATAACTAACGTATTATGTTTATGGATTTTTCTGGTATCAAATCGTCTTTGTATTTCTGGGATAAACCTGTTTGTCATAGTGTATTACTTTTTGAATACTCTGTTTGGATTCGATTTTTATCATCTTATTTAGACTTGTAGCAAGTTTATTCCTAACATTAGTCTCCTATTTCCTTTTATTTTATTTTATTCTTTGTCCTTCCTTACAGGATTAGACCACATTTGCTTAAGTGAATCAAAGAAATCTTTCTCTAAAGCCTAGAATAATTTACTTAATATTAGACTCACCTGTTCTCTAATGGTTAGCTAAAACTCAGCTGTGAAACCATTGCTTCATAATGTTTTTAAATATTTATTGATTATTAATCTTCTGTTTTTTACAGTAGTTGGATTCTTCAGCTTTTCTACTTGTTCTTGAGTCAGTTTTGGTCATTTACATTTTGTAAGAAAATAAAGTTGCATGTTTTCAGGCAATGAAGTTGCATGTACATGTGACTGTCACCTTTTCATTTCTAATTACAAACATTTTTATTCCCTCTTTTCCTTCATCAGATTTTTGAAGACCATGATCTAATTTTTTTGTCTTTTCAAGAAAACTGCTTTTGGATTTATTTGTCCTTTCTGCTTATTGTTTTGCTTTTTATATTATTTGTTTCAACTTCTATCTTTAATATTTTCTTCTTCCTAGTTTTTGTTACATTTTCTAATTCTTTTTCTAATTTTTAAGATGGATTTCTTTCTTTTTGTCTTTCTTCTATAAAACAAATATGTTTGCAGCTATAAATTTTCCTTTGAAGTCACTCTTAACTGTATCTCAATTTTGGCAGGAAGTACATGCTGTTTTTCTCCATCTGTACTCACTAGACTCATTCTTACCTTTTTCTGTTCTACTCTGTGCTCCTGGAACCCTTCCTTCATGGACTGTATCACCTCGGTTCTCTTGCTGAATAACTTTCAGTGGATTTTGGCCAATGGAAGGCAGCCGTGGGAAATCAGAGAACAGGAGAAAAGAGTTCTGCCCTACTCCCCACCCCAGTCCATCCTAGCAGTTTTTGCAGTGTTAATTGCTACATTTCTTCCAGGTACCATCTCATCCAGTGCACACTGTATTCCTCTAGCATGATTTACTCACCTTGTCCCTTCAAGCTTAGGGGTGACAACAGCTTCCCATTGTTGCCAGTCTTTGCAATGTTCCTTAATTCTGCCCAAACCTTTGAAAATAATCACTTTAGTAAAATCTATTCTGTTGAACCATCTGAATAGAGTTCTGCTTCCTGCTGGGATTGATACAAAATATTTATTGTGTGTAAATGGCTTATTATTTCAAAATTGATTTCTTCTTTTATCCAGTATCAAGTCTTACTTAGGAGTATATTTCTTAATTACCAAAAGTTAAGACTCTATCAGTGTTATTTTTTGTTACCTTTAGACTTACAGAGACTCAAAAATACATAGCTTTCATACATACCTTCTCAGAAAGCTACTAAAGAATGTGCTCCATCAAGATGAGAGAGTAAACCAAGAAAGAATATGTGAGATCCAGAAAACAGGGGATCCAACAGGCAGGAGGCAGAGGCTTCCCGATGATTGGAAAGGAAGTTTTCAGATGCCAGTGATGCAATCCAGAATGGAGCAGGAGTACAGGGGGGCACCAAGAGGATGTTTTTAATAACAAAATATAGAAACCTGGAACTGATATCTTATCTGATATGTTTGACTGCATTGACAGAAGATTTATAGGGTATTTTGAAGAGTTTGAAAAAATATGAGTGCTAGATACCATGATAGCCATGCAAATGAAAGAAATAAGTAATCATTAACTAACAGAAATGTAAAATATATATATAAATATAAAATATAATATGACTCCTCTGTGAGCAATGTTTATATAATCATAGTAATATAAACACTGAATATTGATTTAACCAAAAACTGGAATACTGCCATATTGAAGGGAAGGAGGAGAGAATGAATAAGCGTTGAGAGGGGTCACAAGGACTCTAAGTCCTTAATTCCACAGCAGAACATCAATGCACAAAATATAAATTGATAAATCAAAAACTGGCATAATAGGCCGGGCACGGTGGCTCATGCCTGTAATCCCAGCACTTTGGGAGGCTGAGGTGGGCGGATCACGAGGTCAAGAGATCGAGACCATACTGGCTAACATGGTGAAACTCCGTCTCTACCAAAAAATACAAAAATTAGTTGGGCGTGGTGAAGCGCCTATGGTCCCAGGTACTCGGGAGGCTGAGGCAGGAGAATCACTTGAATCCGGAAGGCAAAGGTTGCAGTGAGCTGAGATCACGTCACTGCACTCCAGCCTGGTGACAGAGCGAGACTCCAACTCAAAAACAAAAACAAAAAGGCATAATAACCATATTATTTGGGAATTAGGAGGTAAATACCAGAAGCTCACAAAACTGAAAGAAGTTTATTCTAGGAAGCAGGATCCAGGTGTATAAAGAGAGGGAAGGATCCAGGTGTGTAGAAGAGAGGGACAGATAACTGTTGTGTTGTTGTTGTGGTTGTGTAATAAGTCTTATTATTCTATTTGACTTTTTAAACTATGTGAATATATTACTTTGACAAGAAGGTAAATATTTACTTATAAAAATCCTAGAAGAAAACCTAGAAAAAAAACTCTTCTAGACATTGGACGAGTCAAAGAATTTATGATTAAGACCTCAAAAGCAAATGCAACGAAAACAAAAATAGACAAATGAGACTTAAACTAAAAAGCTTCTGCACAGGCAGGGCACTGTGGCTCACGCCTGTAATCCCAGCACTTTGGGAGGAAAAGGCGGGTGGATCACAAGGTCAGGAGATGGAGACCATCCTGGCTAACACGGTGAAACCCCATCTCCACTAAAAATACAAAAAAATTAGCCGGGTGTGGTAGCGGGCGCCTGTAGTCCCAGCTACTTGGGGAGGCTGAGGCAGGAGAATGGCGTGAACCCGGGAGGTGGAGCTTGCAGTGAGCTGAGATCGCGCCACCGCACTCCAGCCTGGGTGACAGAGCGAGACTCCGTCTCAAAAAAAAAAAAAGCTTCTGCAAAGAAAAAGAAATAATCAACAGACAACCTACAGAATGGGTACGCTTGGATACACGAGGGTAATAATAAACACTGAGGACATCAAAAGGGGAGAGGGAAGATGACGGGTAAGGACTGAAGAATTACCTACTTGGTACAATATTAACTATTCAGGTGATGGGCACACTAGAAGCCCAAACCTCACCATGACACAATATATCTATGAAACAAACCTGCACGTGTTACCTCCTGAGACTATAAAGGGGAAAAAAAAACGAAGATAAATGTTTAAAATACAGAATAAGAAAACTAAGAATCTCTGCTTTCCTTTGTCAGGCAACCATGAACAAAACAACAAAATTAATCCGGGAGAAGAGAGCCCATAACCACGTAGTACAAATTACCTGAATCGGCCCCTATTTCTCAATCTCAGTAGTCCACTGGCCCAGTTTCCAGGGAGGCTCTTTAACACAAGCAGGAAAGGCAGTAGAGCCTCACTTTGCCCTCAAAATATTAGAGGCCTTTCTTCAGCTCAGCCAATACGCTATGTAATGTATTAATAATATCAATGTTCATTGTATTCCAAATGCCAAACTAGTATGTGTATTAAGCCTTTTTCAAATTTGATAATTGACTGCTTGAAATTTAAGAGCGGTTTTATTCTGTTTCTCACAGCAATTTAATTTTTCCCTTAGTCATTCTCCCTCCTACGCCCCCACACTGAACAAATCTTCCTTCCTCCGTGTTATGGGGGGAATGGCTCCATAGCATAAATCTGGAAGCCGATCCTAAGCGCAAGGAACCAATTAGCTGCTAAGAAACACACTGCAGAGTTCTCTTGCCATTTTTTTTTTCCCTGAGATTTTGTGTTGTAATCATAGCCCTGCAAAACCAGGAGCACTGACTGTACATCAGTACTGCAGCTGCTACCGCCTTCTTTCTGGACTTTGAGGGCCTCGTTAAGGGTACAGAAGACAGGGAGCCCAGGCCAGTGAGTGAAGAAGTCTGCAGGCCATTGCAAAGAAGAAGCTGGTATTTAACAGCTGGGGAACAAATCACCGTGAACAACTATTGTTCATTTACCATAATGTCTCTGTTGATAATGTATAAGCATTTTAATGTAAATATTCTACTTTTTGTTAAAAATTTGCATAACATTTGATCACATAACCTGAATGCAAAAGAAGAGCCTCTAGTTCAGAGATTCGCAAGTCCTAGTTGGAGGCCCCTACTAGAGCTGCATGGAAATATCTCAGGAGCTTCTGTGGCTGTCAGGGGAGGGGAGCAGTAATTCGTGAGCCCCTAAAAGCCTGAGCCGTTCCTCTTTTTTTTTTTTTCCATCATTTTACACATGGGAAAAACGAAGGCCTCCAGGAAGAAGGAAGAAATTTGCCCAGTATCACACAGCGAGCAGGTGGCAAAGCTGGAACCAAACACAGGTCTCCTGATTCCTGCTTCAGTATTTTCACAGCTGTCTTTTCCTGCCTTTCTTATTTTTGGTGCTTTTCTCCTTATCAAAACTAAAAATGTATTCCTTTTTAGAGCGCTATGGAGATGTTACTTCTAGGCATTTCCCCTAAGGAGAGAAGTTTGATAAATTATTTAAATATCCACTTTTCTCTGCTAAAATGTATACTGTGTTTTTCTCTAGGTAAAATGTGAAAACACTTATTTTACCAAGCCATTTATATGCACCATTTTTCTTCTCAAAAGCTTCCCCTCTCCCATATCCATTGCTTTGTAAACCCCAAGGACGTTATAATGAAATATTGATTGTCCTCTCTCTTGTCTTCACCCTGGTCTAATGCCCCTATAGCTTCAGAATAATTTTGGTTGAGGAAGTACTAATTCAGAAATGTGTTTCTACATTTGGCTTTTTTTTTTTTTTCCAAAGACAGCACACAATATTGGCCAGGGAGTGTGCACCAGCATCTCAGCACATCAGCTCCTCTTTGCAGCATCTCCTGTTGAGACATCACATCTCATCAGCAGCAAGGATGTTGAATTTCTGGCCTCAGAAGGGATCTTTCCATTCTCAGGAGATGACAAGTTTATTAAGAAGGCGGTGGTTAACAATGAGACTGTGGTCTTTGGAAGTGAGGAGGAACTGTCTGGGCCTCCATTATAAGAGGGACACGGTTGGCTCCTGGGAAGACTGGGGGTTATTTGCCCTCATAGCACATCCTAAGGCTTGATGTTGGACACTTTCCTGGCTGGGCCAGAGTGAGGTGGGGAGCAATGCTGAGGAGGGTCCCAGTGTTTGTTCAAAATAGTAGGAGTTTTGGTCTGCTGAAATTTGTTCCAGGTTTAGAATCAGAAGAACCTAGGCTTAAAGGCCTTTCCATGGCCTACAGACTCCGCTAACTTGGACAATTTAATTTGCCTTTGCTTATATTTCTTATAAACTAGAGATAAATAAGGACTGCCTTTTTATTGATTTTGTGAGGATTTAATCAGCTAATTCACATTAAATGCTAACATGTGCTTGCAGATCCTTAGGAAATGTAAAGCCTCTCTCTTCCTTGAAAAGGTGAAAAATAATGTTGGTGTTTCTAAGGAGACACAGGGTAGCTTTTCCTAGTAAGACTTGAGAGGTGCTAGGGAAATCAATTTCCCATGGCTAGTCATTATGAAATGGACCCATATGTGAAGTTATACCCATTAAAAACAACAAATGGCAGAAAGGAGAGAGAAAGAGAGGGTTTCAGACTAGAAGAGCTATTCTGTGTTTCTAAGCCGCATAGTAAGTCACTTGATATGGTTTGGCTCTCTGTCCCCACCCAAATCTCATCTTGAATTATACTCTCATAATTCCCACATGTTGTGGGAGGGACCCAGTGGGAGATAACTGAATCCTGGGGGTGGTTTCCCCCACACTGTTTTCTTGGTAGTGAATAAGTCTCACAAGATCTGATGGTTTTATCAGGGGTTTCTGCTTTTATGTCTTCCTCATTCTCTCTTTGCCTGCTGCCATCCATATAAGACCGAACTTGTTCCTCCTTGTCTTCCACCATGATTATGAGGCTTCCCCAGCCATGTGGAACTGTAAGTTCAATTAAATCTCTTTCCTTTCTAAACTGTCCAGTCTCAGGTATGTCTTTATCAGCAGTGTAAAAATGAACCTGGACCTTACTATTGTCTCTATGGTTCTGTAGCTTGAGTTCTAGTTGGAACTATTGTGTCTACGTTTCTGTAGTTTGGGAACTTTTATGGGCCTCACTTGGGGTCTCTCATGTGGTTTCAGTCATATGGTGGCTAAATGGGTCTCATCTGGAAGCTCCACCTGGAAACTAGGGTGGCCAGGCATTTCCTCCCCCAGTGGTCTCTCCAGCAGGGTGGCTGGACTTCTTAGGTGGCAGCTCTGTGTTCCCAAAAAGCAGGAGATCCAAGAGGAAGGAAGCAGAAGCTTCCAGGTTTTCTTAATGCCTGGACTCAAAGCCCAAGAACATTACTTCCTCCACATTCTGCAGTAAAGCAGTCCCAGGCCCAGCCCAGACAGAAGAGGTGGGGACAGAAAAGCTGCCCAGAGAGGCCTCAGAGACCTGTGCCCACAGCAGTCCAGATGGCTGAAGTCCATGAGTAATACTAGCCTGTGTTTTGCACACAGAACCTTTTCACTAAATAAATGTCAAATGACTAAATGAACACATAAATAATTTTCCTTAGTCCAGATCATTTTTTAGTTTCTGGTTAAATAAAATGAAGAAGGGTTAAATTTGTGGCTGGCTCATCTGCAGCAGCTGCCATTTAGAATGTTGTTAAGCTCAGCACAGGCTCTTCAGATAGATTATTTTCCATACCCATTTAACTAGCAACTGTGTTGATAGGCCATTCATGAGCTTGCCTTAAAAACATTGCTGATTTTACAGTCTAATATTTTAAAAGACCATATGACTTGATGTGATCATAACCAATTTAACTTGGAACTGGTTGTGTGGTTGTTGTTTTCAAAACACTTCTGCCCATTCTTTCAGGGTCCTTTAAAAAACAAGGTCACAACTTTTTTTTTTTTTTTCCCAGCCTCAGGTATCAGGCTCCTGAAATTATTTTTTACCCTGGGAAACGGGCCACCTGGAGCCCATGATTTCAGGAGCCTAAGAAAAGAAACACATCTACAAGTTTGTGGCTCTCTCACCTGCTGACTGCTTTCAGGGAGCAAAGTAATTCATTCCACAAAGTAAAAGTTGGCTTACAAGAAAGAGAGGGTTCATAGAATCTTTACTAAGACATCAGTGATCAGTGACTATTGCTAGATGCTCCAGGAGAGCAGTTATAAAAGGGGAGGGGGAGATAACATTAGAACAAAAGGACATCCAAAAAGTGGTTAGAAAGAATGGAAATGAGAGTTCCGAAGTCGATTTTAAGTCACATGCTTTTTTTTTTTTTTGACTGGTTCTAGCCAATTCTTCAGGAAAGAAAAAGACCTACCCATTTGCTCAGCTGCTTTTCTCTCTCACCATGAGACTCCCTGGCCTAATATTAAACACGCCTTCCATGATCCATTCCACCTTTCTAAGTATTCAGTGCAAGATGCATAAGCATGCTCAACAAATATTTGAAGACAGAAAAAAGGCATGAATGACATATCAATTTTCCCACTAAATGTGCCTGTTTCAGCTGTATTAAAAGGCTTACTCTGTTCCAAGAAGAAAAAAAAAGGAAACTGAGATTTTTACCACTTTTGCCTTTTTTGTACAGGTATTCCTTTCATCTGCTATGTCCTACTTTGTGAAATTTCACCACTGAAATTCTATTCATCCTTTATGGTTTGGTTATGGTTTGGTTATAAATGCCAGGAAACCTTCCCAAATCTCCGCACCTATAAAGAATTCCTTCTCTTCTATATCACCCAATAAGTTCATTACTTCTAAAATAACAACTCCATTATGCCCAGTATTAATTTGACAAACTTTTCTGAATGGCAAGATGGGCACTGGAGCATACAGATCTGAATAAGGTGAAGTCCTATTCTTAAGAGAAGGAGAGAAAGAAATTTTTCAGCAGTCGCACAAGGCATGATAAGTTCAAGAACAAAGTATGCACAGGGCATAGTAACTAGCACAAAGGAAGCAGAAGAACTTCAGGGGAGACACAGCATCAGGAAATATCTGTGAAAGGAGGTGACACTGGATTAAGGAAATAAAAGGAAATCATTCCATACTAACCATCTGCAAAGGCTTGAACCTGAATATCTATGCCAAGTTTGTAATTCCATATGGCTACGGGGGTAGTGGCTGATACTTGAGGTCCACAAGATAGGGACTTGCACTGACAGCCTTGGGGTCTATCTTAAGGACTTGAAATTCCCATGGAGGTGAGGGAAAGTCACTGCCAGGTTTAAGCACAGGCACAGCTCATTTCTTGTCCATCTTTGTAACCCTAGGGTCAACAGCATGGTGCCTGGAAATAACAATAATGTCAGCATATATTGAGTGCTAACTGTGTGCCTGGCACTGTGACAGTCACTTCACATGGATTAGTTAGTAGGTGCTCAATAAAAGTATATTCCATAATCAAATGGAATTGCAGCTCCATTCCAACCAGACTGGGTAAAAATAGAAACTGTCATTATAGCTTTAGCAGAGAGAGTTCAAAAAATTATAAGTTTAAAGGAGTTTAGTAATAAAAAAGAATCAGAATAAAGGAGAAAATTTGATTATTCTTCAGCTAAAGGCCAAACCAGAAAGACTCAGGTAATTTTAAAAAAAAAAATCGGAAGGGTAATTTTTTAAGTGGTAAAAGAGCTAAAGAGGATTTTATAAACACTTTAAGGGATAAAAAGATAAACCACAGAGAAAAATGGATCTTCTAATAAATGACGAGGAAAAGAGAATTAACAATAAATGAGAACAGCTGAAATACTGAACTCATCCTTTGCAAGAAAAATGAGGGGAAATAACTTAGATTCTTAGGAAGTAATAAAAATCTTGCAAAATACTTAATAGGGATAGAAATCTAGTAAGGAAATATTCATTAAACTTAATTCATCATTTTTAAATACACAGCCCACAGCCCTCACAAGTTTCATCTCTACCAGGAATCAGACTAGAGTTAGCTCTCTCCTTCAGTGATGGCTCCTGAAAACATTGACCTTGAAAAAAGACTAAATGTGCTGTGGAAGGACAGTTCCACAAGCAGGAATGGACCCTGGACAATGCCCAAGAAAGCACATGCTGGGAACAGCAGTGACATGCTTGGAAACACCCATGGGATCTGGCTGTCCTCTCGCGATAACAGCCTCCCACCAGAAAATGCACCACTGAGCTTTTATGAGTCACTCAAGCTGTCTTGTGACTACCTCCCAAGCTTCCTGAATTTTCTTCTTTCTTCTGTAAAATGGGAGTGCTTAGTTCGTATAGCAATCATCCCTTTTTCCCTTCCAACTCTCACATTTTCTCTTTCATTTTTTTGAGACAGGGTCTCACTCCGTCACCCAGGCTAGAGTGCAGTGGCATGATCTCAGCTCACTTCAAACTCTGCCTCCCGGGTTCAAGTGATTCTTGTGCGTCAGCCTCCCAAGTAGCTGGGATTACAGGCATGCGCCACCATACTCAGCTAATTTTTGCATTTTTAGTAGAGATGGGGTTTCACCGTGTTGGCCAGGCTGTTCTCCAACTCCTGGCCTCAAGTGATCCACCCTCCTTGGCCTCCCAAAGTGCTTGGATTACAGATTTGCACCACTGCACCTGGCCTAATCCTCACATTTTTATGTCTAATATTTCCTGTAAGAGGAAGTAAGGAGAGAAGGAGAGAGAAAAACAGAGAGATACACACAGAGAGAAGCTCTGTATATGTAGACCCATGTGTAGAATATCTGTGCAAACATTGGAAAATGGCCAGGGAGATGGTCTGAAGCATTGCTTCCTGTCTTAAATGTCAGCCTGGGAATTTTGCTCATTGGCAATGAGACCTATTCCCTGATCAAAATTATAATCATCAACACAAGACTGAAACTTGAGCTTCTGGGAGGTTGGGAAAAGGGGAGGAGTATCGAAAAATGGTAATAAGTTTATAAGGAGGTAATTCAGACTGGAATTGGTAGGTAATTAATCAAATACACAGAATCTCAAAGCCAGAAAGTCTGAGAAGAAGGGGTTCCAACAAAATCCACACAAATAGTTATTATTAGAGCACATTGGCCATTCTGAGGAAAATAAACAAGGTGAGAATGTTCTGTCAGGGAACCAAAGAATAGGCAGTCACATGGGTAAGCCCATGATAAAAGCTAGGCTAAAAGAAGAGAGACAGCAAAGGCACAGTTTGAACCAATGGCAAAGACCCATCCCAGTGAAAGGCAATTTGTGGCAAGAAGCTTTGATGAATGAAAAAAAAAAATGAAAAAATAAGAGAACAAACCAAGACCTTCTACATACAGTGTCTTGGCCTCTCCAGGGTGTCCTAGCGTGTAAGGGCCAACCACAATATTTTGCAACCCATTTTCTAGTGGTGGCCAAGCCTTTTAATGATAATACAAGCAATTCCATCTGCAGAAGATGGTTAAATTCAGTCAGTATTAGCATCTTCTGAATGTCACAGGATCTCTACATGCTACATCCAGACTTTTTTAAATTTGTGAAATAAGCTTTGCAAAAAAAAAAAAAAGAAAGAAACATGTTGAAAATAAAAACCAGAAATTGGTAAAGCCAAATGAAAAATACATATAAAGTATTTTCCAAGAGTGTTGATAACAGCCTTGTGTGTTCAGAAGACACCCCCAGGTGACAAAGTGGACCTGGCCCAGCACTTCAGGAAAAGCTGCTCCCATGTGACTCCCACCACTTTGAAGGAGTACCTGTCATTGGCCTTTCACTGAAATGCATGAAAAGAAAACAATAGGGGGTGGAGGAGAATCTTAAAGCCACATTGGCAGTATCACTATCCCCAGAACCAGCTTCTCACTAGAACTGAAACGAGACACTTTGAGGAAAACTTTCACGTTAGTACAAAAACCACACAACTGTTTTCACAGGAGCAGAATAATGATCAAAATCATGGTTTCAAAGGAATCGGGGAGCAAAAGTCAACACTGGAGCTCAACATTGCCTTTTTACAGCTGAGAAAATCGAAGTTCAGGGGAGAAGCATGCCTGTCCCCCCCATCCCCCTGTCACACCTGATGGGATGTTAGACACAGCAGGGCCTGAGGGTGGGGGGAGGCGTGCCCAGCAAGGCAGAGGGCAATGGAAAGAGGAGACCCAGGAGAAGTGCCGGTTACCACCTGCAGGGGGCGGCATCGAGCGCCCTCCATAGGCTACCCCATTAGGTTGGGCGAGGCGCTCCCTTCTGGACACTCAGAGAAACGGGGGCATTTCTCATTTTGTGTTTTCACATTTTATAATTATCTGTATTTTTCTTTTCCATCTAGACCACCAGCTCTAAGAGGGCAAGGGATGTGTATTAGTCAGAGTTCTACAGAGAAACAGAACTAATAGGATAAATGTACATATGAAAGGGAGTTTATTAGGGAGAACTGGCTCACACGATCACGAGGTGAAGTCCTACCATACGCCATCTGCAAGCTGGGGAAGAAGGAAGCCAGTAATGGCTCAGTCTGAGTCCAGAAACCTCAAAAACAGGAAAGTCGACAGTGCAGCCTTCAGTCTGTGACCCAAGGCCCGAGAGCCCCTGGCAAACCACTGATATAAGTCCAAGAGTCCAAAGGCGGAAGAACCTGGATTGTGATGTCCAAGGGCAGGAAGCATCCAGCACGGGAGAAAGATGGAGGCTGGAAGACTCAGCAAGTCGGCTTATCCCACCTTCTTCCAGTATGACAGGCTGATAGGCTGTGTCACAGTCAGCTGTAACTCAGTATGATAGGCTGTGTCACAGTCAGCTGTGACTCAGTATGATAGGCTGTGTCACAGTCAGCTGTGACTCAGTATGATAGGCTGTGTCACAGTCAGCTGTGACTCAGTATGATAGGCTGTGTCACAGTCAGCTGTATACACTGAACTGAACACCTGCTATTCTGGCAGGCACTGTGCGCAATTTGTGTCTACGTATTTCATCTAATCCTAAAAGTAACTCTAGGCCGGGCGCGGTGGCTCAAGCCTGTAATCCCAGCACTTTGGGAGGCCGAGGCAGGCGGATCACAAGGTCAGGAGATCGAGACCATCCTGGCTAACACGGTGAAACGCTGTCTCTACTAAAAATACAAAAAATTAGCCAGGCGCAGTGGCGGGCGCCTGTAGTCCCAGCTAATTGGGAGGCTGAGGCAGGAGAATGGTGTGAACCCGGGAAGCGGAGCTTGCAGTGAGCCGGTCGCACCACCGCACTCCAGCCTGGGCGACAGAGTGAGACTCCGTCTCAAAAAAAAAGAAGTAACTCTGAACAGTAGGTGTTTATGCTCTGTTCCAGGCGCACTGGCAGCAGATTGGATGGTGCCCACCCACATTGAAGGTGGGTATTCCTCTCCAGTTCACAGACTCAAATGTCCATCTCCTCTGGCAACATCTTCACAGACACACCCAGAAATACTTTACCAGCCATCTAGACATCTTTCAATCCAATCAAGTTGACATCTAATATTAACCATCACTGTGCGCAACCTATTAAATGGAGTAACTCTAGTGAGTGCTCAGTAAATGTTTGTTGAATAAACAAATGGATGAACGAACTAACTGAAGACTCCAAAAGTAAATTGTTGAAGAACCCAGACATGGAACCATAAAACCAGAGCAGAGAACCACATGCTGCTCAGTGCCTCCTGTGCCCAGCTGTCCCGCTCGGTGGCTGCGGGAGACTTGGGCCAACAACCCAACTCTCTCTGGTGCCCCTGCCTTGCTCTCTGTGGACTCCTCAGGGAATAAGTAACCAAATAGCCTGGCCAACAGAGAAATAAACAAGATCTGTCAAATGCCGATGACCTATTTATCTGCCTCCTTCATGTGTTTTGAACTGAATGCCATGTGAGAAAAGTGACCTGGTTGAAGTGTTTGTAATCTGGGAAGATCAAAATAAGATTCATCCTAATGAAAGCATTGCAGGCCACACGTGACCCATGTGTGTTCAGGGAGGTAAGGATAGAGGGTGGTTGCTGAATGGGTGGGTTGCCTCTTCTTTACAATGCCTTCATTATGTAAATCCCATCGAGGCTCAAAGGCAACTTCCCCAAGGAGGCTTGTACAATGCCCCATTCAAAAACACCTTCTATCTCTAAACTCTCAGCGCACTTTCTTTGTCTCAATGTGATAGGCTGTGTCACAGTCAGCTGCATACACTGATGAGTACGCTTGTCTGTACAATATTATCAAATCGGGAGCTTCCCAAGGGCAAGGAATATTCCTAACACATCACTTTATTCCCACTCCGTAATTCAATTTCTGGAACACAGTAGGCACTCCAGCAGTGGTAAGCAGCAGCAGCAGCAGCAGCAGTAGTAGTAGTATTAGTAGTAGTAGTAGTAGCAACAGTACTAATAGTAGCAGCGGCAGCAGCAGCCACCGCCACAGCAGTACCTACCCTTAATTGAACACCTGGTATTCTGGCAGGCACTGTGCACAATTTGTGTCTACGTGTTTCATCTAATCCTAGAAGTAACTCTAAACAGTAGGTGCTTATTATCTCTATTTTGCAGGCTTCTCCACTTACAGGTGAGAAAAAGAAAGATAAGCAAGATCAAATAGCCTGCTCGTAAGTGGCAGAGCCAGGATTCACACTCACATCTCATTGACCCCTCAGTCTGTTCTCTTTCTAATTGAATGCACTGGCTCAGCTACTGAAGGCACGGAAAGGCTGCCTCTGCCTGTGATGTGAACCCGAATTCAAAGGCACACGCTGTTCCTGGGGACCCACCTTTACTCGCTATTGTTCCTACCCAGGCCGCCTTGCTCTGCCCTAGAGAGTTGTGGAATTCTGGAGTCCTGAAGCTCTGAGGGATAACTCGACAGGGGCAGAAGCCCTGGGGGTGGCATGGGCTGCCCAATGTCCCACCAGAATCTGGGGCAGAACAAGACCCAATGGCCTGGCTCTCAGGGCTCAGTGCTTTCTCCATTATTCTCCGATTTTTCTGATGTTGCGATTCCAAGCTCAGTCCTCAACGTGGAGAAAACCCCTAATAAAAGCACAAAATAATTTTTTTCTGCCAAATCTGAGAAGACAAAGTCGAGGGTGCCCATTATTTAATATTGACGACAAGAGACACAGCCTAAGTTTGGCGTATTTCCTCTATTCCAGTCTGCTTCCTGTCCTCTCTCCCCCAAACCTACTGTCAAATGACTTCGAGTTGAATCCCTCAAGCAGAGGCTATGCTTCTTACACCTCCTGAGAGGCAGGTGTCCATGCCTGTCGCCCACTTCCTGGGAATGAAATTAAAATGTCAGCCTTGTACCCAATGCATTTGCTTCCTGCGTTTCTTCACCACTATCTTTGGCCCACTAGTGCCCTGGCTGCTGTGGGGTAGAAAGGATTTACTCCCTCTACTGGCCTCTAGTGAGAGAGTGGAGTCTCTAGTTGGGCCAGCCTCCTGCAATTGCAGTCCCCAGCTGTCACCCTGGTAATTAGTTCATCCTGCTCCACCACAGAGGCTTACGTAATAAAATGGTGTCCTCTGTTCGGAAGATGGGAGCTCTGGCAACGCACTTACTCAAGCACTTCACTGCGTCTGAAGGAAGCACATCTTCACATAAACACAAACCCAGGGCAAAACAGCACAGGGCTTCTTTCTACACACATTGTGCAACACCAGAGAGAACACAGCATCTGATTTCCTCTTTGGTACATCACTCCACTGTTGTGAGAAGTCAATGAGGCTAAATAGCAAAATACATATGAAGCAGCGAGCACCATCCAGAGACAAACAGCAGATGTTCAACGGCAAGCAGTTCTTTTCCTACCTTCCAAGTTTCCTTCTAGGCAAGGCTTGAATGCAATGACTTCTGGCAACTTCTTCCCGAGTGCCTCCCTCCACCGTGGCCAAAATTACGAAGATATTTCCTTGACTATTTCTTTTGACAATAATCACATTCTGGCTTTCAGCCTTATCATTTATGTATCTTTAAGTCAATGGCAGAGACCTTGTCTCATTCACCTTGCTTGTAGCTGGCGAATGGAGTTGGATCGAATTGGACTGGAAAGGAGTTAACTTTATCAGCTCTGCCATGAACTTGCTGTGTGAGGACTCTCTGTACCCGAACCCACTTATCTATGAAACAGGAGGGGGAGACAAAATAAGAGGCTTTTGTCTTTTGATTGCTTTTGTCCTGGAGCAGCAGTTCTCCAAGTATCCTCTCCGAATCAGCATCACCAGCATCACCTGGAAACTCATTAGAAATGCAAAGCATTAGGCCCACCCTGGACATGAATCAGAAACTCTGGGGGTGAGTCCCATCATTAAAGTACAGGGGGCCAGGCGCAGTGGCTCACGCCTGTAATCCCAGCACTTTGGGAGGCCGAGGCAGGCGGATCACAAGGTCAGGAGATCGAGACCATCCTGGCTAACACGGTGAAACCCCGTCTCTACTAAAAACACACAAAATTAGCCGGGTGTGGTGGCAGGCATCTGTAGTCCCAGCTACTTGGGAGGCTGAGGCAGGAGAATGACGTGAACCCGGGAGGCGGAGCTTGCAGTGAGCCGAGATTGCACCACTGCACTCCAGCCTGGGTGACAGAGCGAGACTCCGTCTCAAAATATAATAATAATAAAAATAATAAAGTATAGGAATGGCTGTCCTTGAAAGTACAGAAAAGCATCCGAGCTTCTGAGAGCCCCAAAAGCTATATGCAAAATCCATGTGCTCATATAGATACTAGCATGTTTTTTACGTGGAGAGGGTTTGCTTAACTTTCATTGTATTCTTAGGTTCCCTGGCCTTAAAAAGAGACAGGCATCCCTGCATAGGTCTTGCCCTGCAGTTCCTTCCTGATGTAAAATGCCAGGAGTATTACTACAAAGAAAAGGAGCATGTGACAATTAACATAATCATGGCTTGATTTCCGTGCTGATTGATTAGATGAATACAAGCTAAGGGAACAGGGCAATATGCTAACAGGGAGTCCAAAAGGAAAGAGCATTTTTGTGAGTCTGCCAACTGCTCTGAAGATGAAATCACCCCCAGACCACTGTCCCTCTCAACACGCTGATGCCAGTTTTCCTCCCCCACCTCAAAAATCACAGCTGCTCAGAGCTGGAAGGGTCTTCAGAGTCCCTCTGAGCCATAGCTATGTGTTAGGACCCCCTAGGGAATTGTAGAAAGATCCAGAAATGCAGCCCACTCCCAGAGATTCCTAAATTGGTCTCAGATGGAGTCTGACCCATCTCTTTTTATACGTTCCCCCAAATGATTCTAAATTGTGGCTAGAAAAGAGAACCACTGGCCGGGCGCGGTGGCTTACGCTCGTAATCCCAGCACTTTGGGAGGCCGAGGCGGGCGGATCACGAGGTCAGGAGATCGAGACCACGGTGAAACCCCGTCTCTACTAAAAATACAAAACATTAGCCGGGCATGGTGGCGGGCATCTGTAGTCCCAGCTACTCGTGAGGCTGAGGCAGGAGAATGGCGTGAATCCGGGAGGCAGAGTTTGCAGTGAGCCGGGATTGTGCCACTGCACTCCGGCCTGGGTGACAGAGCGAGACTCCGTCTCAAAAAAAAAAAAAAAAAGAGAACCGCTAAGCCTAGGGGAGAGTTTCTAAAAAAAAAAAAAAAAAAAAAAAGATTTCCCACATACCTACACTGGAACAAAACCAGATCACTTTCATGTCTGTCAACCAGAGGCACCTGCTATAAAATGGTGGAGGAGGTGCCAGACACTCCAGAAGCAGGTCTGTGAATGAGGATTGGGTTTGATATTACAACTTATTTGTGAGCTCAAATCCTTGACCTACCAGAATCTCATGATTCTTTGTCTGTAAAAAATAGGATATTTCTATCGTCTCACATGCTGTTGTAGGAAAAATTGAGAAAATGATGCAAGCCATGCTTTGTAAATGATGCACCAGGGCAGTGCATGGTGATAAAACAATGTGCCAGGGAGGGAATTAATTTAGAGGGACTTTCTCAGCCAGAGGCTAGTGACAAGATTGCCCACTGGGTAAGAACAACAATGGGCACAGCGAGGTGCTAGAAGGGAAGGTGAGGGCCAGTGGCACCCACATGTCCAGCAGCAGCTGTGGGGACAGCCCAGTTGAGCTTGCTTCCCCCAAGCCTTTTGAAGTAGGAAGCACTAAAGGGTTAACTTATTCCAAAATTGATGCTCTTGGGCTCTGTCTATTGCTGGCAGGATTGTTGTTGTTCCTGCTAATTAAAAACAGGTGCATTTGCCTGAGACTTGCTCCGGGAGCTTTCTCAGACCCGGTTGCCCTGGAGACTTTCATCTCCACAGATAATCAGTTTAGCGGGGAGAGTTCTAGGTTCATTTGCGTATGAGAATTTGGGTTTCACCTGAGGTTCATAAAAATATCAGAAAAATTACATGTGCTTAGCTGTTCTCCAAGAGAGAAAATGGCTTGATTTAAAAGGTTTCTGCAAAGGTAGAGAGGATGGGAAATCAAAGAACATGACTTCTTGAAAGGGGCTGTGAAAACCGAGGTGCAAAGAGGACCAGTTGCCCAAAGTCACTCCACTGGGTAAGGATGAAACATAATTCAAATCCAGCTCTCCTTTTTCTGCTCTGAGCCTCAAGCTCTTGCATAGAATAAGGAGTTTGCACTACCCTAAGCTTTCATCTTGCCCTGTGAGTCCATGACACAAGTCTATCCTACTGTGGCAGAAGAGAGTTTCTTTTTCAGCGTCAACCTGTCTGGCCATCTTAGAACCAAGGTCCCTCAGCCAGGCCACACCGGGGTTTTCTGACTCTGAGCTAAGGAGACAAGAGGTAGTTGGGAGACAATGCTGAGAGGTGCCCGGTGCAGGCCATGCCACAGAACGCCTGCACCAAGGCTTTCACTTGATTTTGAGTTTCATGGTTGGGCAGATTTGAGGCTGACATTTGGAACGCATGATTTGGGTGTCAAAATGAAACTAAGAACTTGATTTATAGTGGCTGGGATTTGTGCCCAAGGATTTAATATCTGATTTTCCCCACATTTTTAAATTTATGGCTCTACAGCCAATTTAATTGGATTTGTCTTTGTTGGGGCTAAACTATTTATTATCATTTGAGAAGGCAGGCTTTCAAAATAAGAGCCTTCAAAATTGTACTGGGGATAGTGAAGAATCAGAATATCAAAATTCCAATACTCTTTGGTAATTTACCCGCACAGCAGGAAGCAGGGTGAGAGGAGTCTCAAGTTAGTGAATTACCCAGAATGACTTGGCTGGATTACAACTTCAGAAAAGTTTAGCAAAATCAACTTCTCTTTCCCAAGTCAATCACTTGAGGATTTGAAAACTTGTCTCTCTGTTCCTTCCTTTGAACAAAGAAACTCAAAGTTACCTTTCTGAACCTTCCTCTCAAATTTAGCTTTCAAGATGTTATCGAAAGCAAATTTTTGAACCATCTACCAGCTTTTCAAGATCACTCAACTTAGCTGTCACTCAACAACTCTGAAGGAGCTGCGAAAAAGTGGAAATTGCACTAGTCTTGAAGTCAGAAAATGTGCATTTGTTTTTCTCTCCAGGCTATTTGACCTTGAACAAATTACTACCCCATTTAATTTATTTTCTCCCCTATGAGACTGGAGAGTGATCCTTCCACCTTCTGACTCAGGAATCCATGAGGATCAATTGAGGTGGCATGAATACATCCTGGACGCTATTATTCCTTACACCTTGCTGGAAAGAAGTGACTCTCTGAGAGAGGGGCATGAGGCTATTACCCAGTGGCAGTACAGGATAATGTATCGGTTTTAGAGTGAGGCACACCTAGGGTCACAGCCCAGATCTGCCACTGACAACTGTCTCCTACAATCTCCGAGACATGGTTTCTTCTGCCATAAAATAGGAGTAAGATGTCACCCACTTGTTGTCAAGATTAAAGAAAGTGACTAAAATCCCAACAGTTAACACTGAGTAAACATGCAATGAAATTTCCTTCCTTAGTGTAATGGTTAAGCACAAAAATTCTGTAGCCAGACTATCTGGCTCAAATCCCAGCTGTGTAGCATCCTACCTGTGTGTCCCTGAACAAGTTGCTTAACTTCTCTTAACCTCAGTTTCCCCACCTGTAAAATAGGGACAGTGACACTACCTAACATATAGGATTGTTATAAGGGTTAAATTAGTATATTACAGTGATGTGTCACTTAACAACAGGGATATGTTCTGAGAAATGCATCATTAGACAATTTCATTGTTATGTGAATATTATACAGTGCACTTCACAAGCCTAGGTGGTGCAGCTTACTACATGCCCGGGCTATAGGGTAGGGCCTACTGCTTCTAGTCTTCAAACCTTTACAGCATGTTACCATGCTAATACTGTAGGCAATTATAACACAATAGACAGTATTTCTATATTGAAACATATCTAAACATAGAAAAGGTACAGTAAAAATATGGTATTAAAATATTACAGGATCGCCGTTGTATATGCAGTCTGTCATTGACCAAAACGTTACTAGGTGGAACATGACTGTATTTGAAAAGTGCTTAGAAAGGTGCCTGTCCATAGTATTTTTTTCACTATTTATCAAACTATTTTAACAAGAATTCACTAAAACCTGGGCTTTACTCAAGCAGCACTAATAAATGTCATTAATTATAGAAAAGCCTAACTCCAAATTTCACCCTTCATTACCTCACCTCAAAGTACTAACTATTCCAGTTGGGAAAATCTGACTCCAACATACACAATACAGAAAATAACACAGAAATGAAGTGTCCCATCAAGCCACTGCCATGCCAAATGACCCAGGGACTGAGAAGGGAAAAGGAAGTTGAGCACAAATGTGTGTGATGCCTTCTCCTGACTTTTCTAGTTTAGATATCTTCTCCTGTGCTTAGTCAGTTCAGACACTGGGAATCCTTCTTCTGTCACTCCCAGTTTCTCTAGGTATGTTGTGAAATTTCTCACCATGCATTCATTTTTAAAAAAAAAAAAAAAAAAAAAAAAAGGAAATCCCTTTAACAAGTGAATTTAGAGGCCCTACAGTTTTCATCTGTTACAAGGGAATTTTTACCTCAAATAATTTCATAGGCCAAGGTTTTATGTTGCCTCCTATTCTATATCCTGGTTTGTAGCTATTTTATTTTAAACAACGCAAGGCATGGACTGAAATTTCCCAAGAGCATTTCAAAGAGCAGTTTCTCATTTCCTGCCCGTATGAATTTATGTTCTTAAAATAGAAAGTTTCTTCGGAAATCAGGTTAATATGAACATGAAATGATGGAGAAGAAAGTTGAAAGAACATTAAACCTTTTACAAAACCCATTTATAAGAGGCTGTATCTCATTCATGAGAATGAAAACAAGCCACACATCTGCATTGGAACTTTATTTAACTTTCATCCACTCATTATTCACAAATATTTATTGAATGCCTTCTGTGTGTCAGGGGCTGCAATCCGCATTGGCATTTAGAGGCTGTTGGGGAAAAAGGACAAATAAAAGAGAAGGACAGATAAACGCAGACCACAGGCCTGTGCTGTGGCCGACTTAAGCATGGAGAGCTGTTGGAGTTCAGAGCTTGATGCTCCTAACCACTGAGAGATAATCAGGAGGGCTTCCTCTAGAAGTATCTCAAGACATAAGTCATTAAGGATTAGGAAGAGTTAGGTAGCGAAGGAAAGGGCCTTGACCACAGGAGCCCATGCCTGAAATCATAAAGGCCTAAAGGTGAGGAGAGAAAGCATGGGTAAAACATATAGGTGGTGGAGTGGCAGACAAGGCTAGAATGGAAAGCTGAGCCCAGACAAGGCAAAGCTCTGGAAGCTAAACTAACTGAGATATTTCATCTCTATCCTGAGAGGTATAGGAAGCCATTAATGAACTTTAAGCAAAGGAGGAATGTGTTTAGATTTGTGTTTTGGAAAGATAACCTGGCAGCCATGTGGATGGTGGGGCAAAGGGCATCAGGCAGGGGAAACAGAACCAGCTTGGAAGTTACAGTAATGATCCCATGAAGAGTGATGAGGGCCAGAAAAGAGGTCAGGGCCATGTGAATGGGGAAGAAGACACAGATATAAGCAGTGTTTAGAAGAAAGACACCAAAGATCTGTATTTGAATTACCTCCTATTCATCCCATTGGTGATGAAGGGATTTCAATCCTAGCCTTATGGAAATAGCCAGACACACTATATTAGTGTGTTTTCACACTGTTGATAAAGATATACCTGAGACTGGGTGATTTATAAATAAAGAGGTTTAATGGACTCACAGTTCTGGAGAGGCCTCACAATCATGGTGGAAGGCAAAAGGCACTTCTTACATGGTAGCAGGCGAGACAGAATAAAAGCCAAGCCAAAGGGGAAACCCCTTATAAAATGATCAGATCTCATGAGACTTATTCACTACCACGAGAACAGTATGGAGGAAACTGTCCCCATGATTCAATTATCTCCCACTGGGTCCCTCCCACTACACATGAGAATTATGGGAGCTACAATTCAAGATGAGATTTGGTTGGGGACACAGCCAAACCATATCACACACCACACCCAACACTAGACAGATAAGACTGACAGCAGTTTATTAATCACATATATTTGCAGCCCAGGCACACCCCACAGGGCCACATGGGGGTTGCCCTTGGGAAGAGACTGCACCAGCAAGGGCTGTGAGAGGCAGGTTTCATAATATCAAGAGAATGGGTGTCCTCTGGCTTCTGCAGAAGGATGTGATTGGCTTGTTTAATTAATTCTATGGACTGGCAGAGAGCTGAAACCCATCACTCAGGGTTAAGCAGAAACTGTGCCCAGCCCCTTGTCAAGGAGCAGTATTTAGCTAGGGGACATTATTTGCAGGAACAGATTGGGGAGGGGAACTTGTGACTAGGTCATTCCAGGCCCAACTGATTTTATGAGATGTCAAGAACTGAAAATACTGAGTCTTAATTGTAGCCTCTTACTAAAAGACACAGACAGTGAATGTGAAAGAGAAATCCAGACATCTCTGGGGTTTCTGGTTTGGGGGAAAGCCTGTGTGTTGGTAACTTCCCTGAGATAAGCGATTCAGAAGGTGCATATTTTAAGGAGATGATCATGTGTTTATATTGGGCACAGGGAGTAGAAAAGACTGAGTATAGAAAGTCTGTAGCTTGAATTGGAGATATCTAATAAGTAATTGGGATTAGATATCTGGAAGTCAGGAAAGTTTCACCCTCCACCTAATGGGCTTCTTTCTGTTTATATACTCCCTATTCAATGGTCTGCGTTTTAAGCCACTGAGTTTTTTATGGTATTTGTTATGCAGCAAAAGCTTACTGATACAGAGAGTCATCCACATGGACGTGGGTTGGAAATGAGGAAGAGCACCAAGGCTTCCAGTGAAGGATGGAACTGGCCCTGGAGGGGCAATAATGGAGACGGCAGATACAGGTGATGGGTTTAACTGACTTCTTTTCTGCTTTTTTAGATGCTTAGCTTATTATCAAAGGTTGCTGGTGAAAGATATTACCTTTATAATAACTGGGTCCTTTAGAAAGAGTCTAACCAAAATTAGGAGCTCAGTGCTGAAAAACAATATGGCTAATGGTTAAAGGCTGAGGATCTAAGGTCAGGAAGAGCTGCATTTGAATCCAGGCTCTGCTTCTCCCTTATGAGCTGCGTGACCTGGCACAAGTTATTTAACTGATTTGGTTTAGCTGCATGTCCCCACCCATATCTCATCTTGTAGCTCCCATAATTCTCGCTTGTTGTGGGAGGGACCCAGAGGGAGATGACTGAATCATGGGGTTGGGTCTTTCCCATGCTATTCTCATGACAGTGAATGGGTCTCACAAGATCTGATGGGTTTTTTTTGTTTTTTGAGACAGAGTCTTGTTCTGTCACCCAGGCTGGAGTACAGTGGCGTAATCTTGGCTCACTACAACCTCTGTCTCCCGGGTTCAAGCAATTCTCCTGCCTCAGCCTCCCAAGTAGCTGGGACTACAGGCACCTGCCACCACACCCAGCTTATTTTGTATTTTTAGTAGAGATGGGGTTTCACCATATTGGCCAGGCTGGTCTCAAACTCCTGACCTCATGATCTGCCCATCTCAGCCTCCCAAAGTGTTGGGATTACAGGCATGAGCCACTGTGCCTGGCCTCTGATGGTTTTAAAAACGGGAGTTTCTCTGCACAAGCCCTCTCTTTGCCTACTGCCATCTACATAAGATGTGACTTGGTTCTCCTTGCCTACTGCCATGATTGTGAGGCCTCCCCAGCCACATGGAACTGCAAGTCCAATAAAACTCTTTCTTTTGTAAATTGCCCAGTCTCAGGTATGTCTTTATCAGCAGCATGAAAACGGACTAATACATTAACCTCCCTGAGATTTTTTTTTTCGTCTTTAAAATGGGATAATGGTAATACTATCAGGTTGTCATACAGATTATATCAAGATGCTTTAGAATAAGCCTGGGCTTTAATGTGTTTCGTCTCTGCTGCTAACCTGATTTATAATACAAAGCAAATCCAGGCCTCTCTCTGACCTTGGTTCCCCATCTGTAAAATGATAAGCTTCAATTAGAAGATCCCTAAGCCCCATCTATCACCAACATTCTAAGAAAGCAACGTAAAGGACAAACACTCCTCAGGATGCAATACAATACAAGGCAAGAACATTCTGTGAATTTTTTAAGGCTTTTAAATAAGTGTACTGCAGCTGTGCAGTAAATTTTCATTGTTTTCTTTTCTTTTTTATTTTCCTTAAAAAAATCAGAGAGCTACTTGTCAGTACCAAGATAATGCATATCGCATCTAAGTTATATCCCGCTGACAGTCTGTTTTGTAGCATAGCTAAATATCATGCTTAGATTGCTTTCAGTAATATATATATATGAATGATAGTATATACAAAAGCTGAAAAGTGATTTTTCTCACTGTAACTACTGTAATGTTGCACAGCAATCTTGCCTAGCAGATGGACCACTGTGTAATGGCTCGCTACTAAGCCCTGTTTGATAATTTATTGACTCTTCCCTGTTGTCTCAGAAGATGCCTCATGTATTCAGATATGGCTAAGTCTACAATCTCAGAGTCTGAGGTTATCTTCTTTCCAGTTGTCCCAGCAAAGCAGACAGTGGATCACATGCACAATGTTTGTTCTGTTCCCAGGCCTATTCTCAACTCCCTGTCCATAAGGTGGGCCAGATTGTAACATCTTCCTTCCTTGTCATCTGTGAATAACACTAGAAAGCAGAAACAACACGTGTGCTTTTTTAGGTTCCTGCTGGAAAGAAGTCATGTGCTGACTGGACCAAGGGTGAGAAGGCCCATGGATTTTACCTACATGGAAAGGGTCAGAAAATTTTAAATGAATGTATTAGCTATCTATTGCTACATTTTATAATTCCTCAAAACGTAGCAGCTTAAAACACACACATTTGTTGTCTCATGATTGTTTCAGGTCAGGCATTCAGCTTTACAATTTCTCATGAAGCTACAATCACAGTGTTGGCCATGGCTAGGGTCTCATCTGAAGGCCTGGTTGGGGAAGAATCTGCTGCCAAGCTCACTCACAAGGTTGTTGGTAAAATTCAGTTCTTCAAAGGGTTTTGGACTGAAAGCCTCAGTTTATTACTGACTGTTGGCCAGAGTCCATCCTCATTTCACTGCCAGGTAGGCCTCATCAACATGGAAGTTCACTTCATCAAAGCCAGCCAGAGACAGGGTGTACAAGCAAGATGGAAGTCACATACTTTTGTAACCTAATCACGGAAGTGCCATCCCATTACCTTTGCCATACTCTATTGGTTAGAAGCAAGTCAAAAGGAGCAACTTAGAAGGTATGAATTAGAAGGTGTTAATACCAGGAAGCAGAGATTATTGAGGGTCACCTTAGAGTCTGCCTGCCACATGGAGGGTCAAAACTGGGCTTTCATGCATGGTTATATAGTGGGGACACCAGGAGACTAAACATTGCTCAGCTCCCCCATTCACATGCCCTGAGGCATTACTGTGGCAGCCCTGGACAAGGAATGGCCTCTTGCAAAGTATCTGTTTCATTTTATATGAAAACACCACATGTAGTAAAAGTAGCCCTGAGTCCAAAATGTACATACTTAGGGAGAACAGCAGCTCCCTAAGTAGGAAGGGTTTGGAGCTGGAAAGTTCACATTCCAGGTAAAGGCACTCAATTTCTTTCTCCCTATCTGTCCACAAATTTGTGACCTTGTCAGATATAACATCTTCTAAATAAACCAGTTGTTTGGGACAAATGCAGCTCAGGCCTCCCAGTGGGACCCCTGGTTTTTAACTCGCAGCATCCAAGTTCCAGCCCCTTCCTTCTGAGAAGGACGGGTGCTCCAGTCTTTGTGAGCTTGTGAATAAAGGAGTAGGAA